>NC_000002.12:106883557-107186587 GCF_000001405.40 Homo sapiens
ATTTGGGAATTTCATCCCATTTTTTTTAAGGGATGAGATTTCAGATTTCAATGCTTAGAAAATCAAAGCTTAACATACACCTGCCATGAGGGTACTATCTGATTCCCTTAGACATTTATGCATGCTGAATTAAGTACTTAATTTAATTTAAGCAATTAAATTTTAAGATCATATTACAGAAAATCCAGGAAAAGAAAAAACTCAATCAATCAGGAATAACACAATACATTTAAAGAGCAAATGCATTAACAAAGACTGTCCTTATTATCATGCATAAGATATTTTTATTCAAAGTCTCACCCATGAGGTAGCAATCTGCAAACTAATTAAGAGCTTCCCAGAGGACAAATATCTCCAAGTTTTTGGAAAGGAACCTATCATTTATTTACCTAAGAAGGAGTGGCAGAAGCCTAGAAATCAGTTTGTCTTTCAGAAAAGATTTAATCATTTGAGAAATGCTTGGATAAATTCTAAACCTGGAGGGTAAAATTTCAGTCAGTATCAGTATAAGCAATAGACCAGAGCCTCACACACTGAAATCATCTCAGAAAGAAGAGAAACTCGGGGGTGGGGGGGTGGAACCTCCAGAAACAAGCACGTACAGGAATTTTTTCAGCAGTCCCTTCGCTATTTAATCTTTGCTGGCTGGATTGGCCACAACTCCCTAGACTCAACTTATGTCTTCACCCCACAGAGTAAACCTTTTCCCTCTTAATTATCCTCATCAGAAACTCAACACAGATAACTGCCCTCTTCTGCATAATAAATCATTCACATATTTTCAAATGTTAAATTGTCTCAACTTTGAATCCTCTAGTCTAAAAATCCTGAATTTTGTATCCTTGCTTCCTAGATCCTGTGCACCACATAGCAAACTCACCAAATGTTGGTCCTTGCTCTGACCTCACTCTTTCCAGGAGTATCCATCCAAAGCCTCTCTAAACTGTGGAGCTCAGTACTCCATATAAAGCAGTGACTCCTATCACAATCTCTACAAGACATTTAACTCAAAACTCCAGAAGCTTTCACAGCACCAAGCAAAAATGTAAGATGCTACCATTTGTATCTATTGCGGCAAAAATTGGATAGAGTGCCTTTTTAACTTTGCAGTAAAATTCAAGGCACTTCACCTATTATTTTAGACTTTCATCAGTTTTGAGCACAATATCCATTCACCTTTGCCAACAGTTTCTTTTAATGCATTAGTACAAAATTCCTCAAGTGGTATATAAAAATTTTGGTTGTCAGTTCCAGAAAAATAATGGGGGAAGGAGAGTGGGTAAAAACAGGTTCAAGGCCACACATCAGTTTTCCTTTTAAAAAAAGTTTTAACCCTAAATTTGCAGCGCATATATATATATATATATATATATATATACATACACACACACACATATATACATATGTGTATGTATATACATATACATCATATATATATAGCACTTCACTTTATTGGAATTCTTCCTTGGTCATAAATTATATTTCAAGTTGGCAAAAAATGTTGATCAGAATTTCAAAAAAGGGAAGCATCAAAGTAACCAGCATGGGGTTTTTCAAGTGTGCAGAAAGTTCTCTAAATACAAAATGTGCTTCCAGCCCACCAAAGACCCCCCTCACCCAAGCAGGCAGTCCTCGGCGAGGAGGGTCAGCATGCCCCTTTATGGTCAGAACGGCAGTGGTGCAAAAGACAATGATTTCAACCAAATATGGTTTGCCTCTCGCCAAATTTTTCGCATGTCCAATAAAAATAAGTTCACAAAAATCCAGCCAAGCATTACTTTCCCCCCAAAAGTGCTTCTCAGATTACAAAACAGCTTTGAAAGTTCAGCCTGACAAAACAAATATGGTACTAGGAGGAGAGACCTGGAAGGCAATCACAAAAAGTCTCATTTAAATTCCTGGAAAGCACAGCTTCTCCAAACACAGCTATTCAGCTCTTTGGAAGGCAGCACTTGCGGGAGCCATTGAGTTTAACTTCACTCAGTCCCCCAACACAGAACCGGCAAATCCGAATGAGATGGACGTCACACTCCCTACTCAAAAGAATGCATCAAATATCCACTCCGTAACACCGCGGAAAGTAAACCCAAAAGCGGAGTTTGCCGCCTGCCAACTACATAAGAATTAACACTCGGGTATTTAGGATTCTAAAGATCCCTACTACCCCAAACATTATAGCCACAGAGAACCAGAAATGAACAGAACACACTTTAACCTTTAAGAAGTGCAGTTTTGTACGGGGGTTGGCTGAAGAAAGACAAAAATCTTCACTCCCTTCCAGAGCCAAAAGAGCCAAAATAAAAGATCACCTTTACTGAGCCACAGGGGCACAACTGTATCCGCCCGTCCCCAAAGCGCAAGCCGTCCTCCCGTTCGCTTCTCCAGAATTTCCTGCTTTTCCCCAAACCACCTTCAACATTCCCCACACACGGGTCTCGCTCCTAAACACGGAGTGTAACTCCGCGCACAGCAGCGCGGAGGCTGCAGCGCCACCAAGAAAGGCGTCGCCAACCCTTACCCAGTGCCCTCCCTTACCAGCCTTCTTCCCACGCCGCGCCTCGAAGCGCACGACACCGTGGTGCTCGGTGCTCCCCCTGGCAGCGCGGCACTGGAGTCCAAGGCGTGCGTGTCACATTTTATTCCCCGGCAGCCGCTCGGGTGCGCGCGCTACGCGCTCCCACACTCACGCTGGCGCCCGCTAGAGCTGGGACCCTGGCCGGGGTCCCCGACTCACGCCGCGGAACTTGGGGGCTGCAGAAGGCGAGTGCGCGGCGGGAGTCGTCCTGCCGCAGGCTCGAGTCCTCCTCCTGCCACCGTGGGGTCTCGGAGCTGCCCCGCGCTCCCGTCCCAGGCGGCCTGCGGGATCACCTCTCCGGGGCCAGCGCTGCTCCGCGCCGGCGGCAGCTGCAAGCGCGGGCGGCGGGGCACAGCGGGTGGCTCGGCCTCAAAGCCGGCGGGAGGCTACGCTCAGCCCCGCGCTGCACGCCTCATTGTTTCGGGCAGCGCGGCGGCGGCTCCCGCGGCCAGAGGAACCGCGGCCCCGAGCCCCGGGGAGAGGCGGCGGTTCCCGGCCCACGCACCGAGGCTGCGCCGCGCCCCGCCCCCGAGCTCCGCTCGCCCCAGAGCCCCCTCCCTCTCCGCGATCCCTTTCATCCTTCCCGCTCCAGGCTCACCTAGCTGGCGGGAGCCGGGCACTGGGAAGTTGGGCTGCCCCCTCCCCGCGCCCCCGGCCCGGCAGCTCGGCCCGCCGGCGAGCGCAGGCGGGGCGCTCCCTGGCTGCGCGCGGATTTCTGCTTGTCGCGGAGAGTGACTGCAGACTTGGGCTGCGTGGGGCGGTGCGGGGCAGCACGGCTGCCTAAAAAGGCGTGTTTCTCCCCGGCCGCCGCCTCCATCCAGCCCTAGTTCTTCCGAAGGTTACCTGCACAGTACCCGCCTGGCACCGCGCCTGGACACCTCCGGGGCACTCGGGTCCCGGGCGGCGGCAGGAATGCAGGAATGCGCACAGGCTGTGGGCGGCCAGGAGGGAGTCCCGGCGCCTGCCCCGGCGGAAGTGAGTCTTTGTGTACCCTGTCCAACACCTCCCCCCGCCAGCGCGGAAGGCCGGGCTACCTGCGCGCCTGGCAGCGCCTGGCAGCCGGCTGGGTGGGGCGCAGGGGAGCGCAGCATCCTCCCCGGCTCGCTAGCTCCCTTTGTTCATCTCGCTCAACCAGGCTCCGCACTGCCGCCTGGCCCTCGCTCCCAGAGCTTCTCTAAGGATATGGGATGGACTTGGGAGCGGGCCACCTTTCATTTGGGAAGGGTAGCTCGCCAAGTCCGGTGACGGTGCTCCCTGGAGACCCCCACCTGCCCGCCCCTCCACACTGCCGGTCCCCAACCCCAAGAGGGACGGAAAGTTCTTGGGGTAGAAGCCGGCGGGACAAGTGGTTGAAGCAGCCTCCGGAGCCAGTGGGCGGCTGCGAGCTGGGCAGCTGGAGCCTGCGGGCGGGGCCGCGGGGAGGTGCCCATCGAGTGTCGGTCTGGTCGCGTGCGGAATGTCCACTTGTCACCGCGGCCCTTGCGTTTTCTCGAGACGGCGGCAGCTGGTCCTAGGACCCCAAACCGCGCCGCCCTTTGTTTGCTGGTAAATACTCTCCTGTGAACTTCAGCGTGTCTCTCCGCGCGCACTCCTGGCATTGGGTGCCCCACCCCGCTGGTTCTCTCGCGGACCCAAAGAGCTGTTCAGGTGTAGGGGAATCCCAGGTAGATGGATAATATTGCTAAGGTTGGGCCCATCTCAGGGGGACTGGTTAGTCACCCCTCACCCCACCCCACACCCTCAGTCGCTAGAAGGACACACGTTTTGGAGACAGAGATCTGCCATTAAATGTATTATTTAAAAATCCGCAAATACTTTTATTCAAGTAATTTAGACTTTTTTTTTAGGGGGGAAAAAGCAATTAACTGGCTACCCAATTCATTCAGCATTCATTAGTGCCTACCTTAGCCTGGAACTCTGAGCTAGACAGTGGGCGCCCAGAACTCCCTCAAAGAGTTTACAGAAATGTAAAACAGCACGGGAATTAAACTAAAATCGAGTGGGTATAATGCACTGTGTTCAAACAAAAGTGTGGGCCGAAAACGCTTACTCAGTATTTCCCCAATTGTATTAATTATGTCTGACACATGGAATTCTGCGGAACTGCCTGAATGAACAATGTGTTACACAGATATTTTTTAAAAAAAGAAAAATTATGGCCGGGCGCGGTGGCTCACGCCTGTAATCCCAGCACTTTGGGAGGCCGAGGCGGGTGGATCATGAGGTCAGGAGATCGAGACCATCCTGGCTAACAAGGTGAAACCCCGTCTCTACTAAAAATACAAAAAATTAGCCGGGCGCGGTGGCAGGCGCCTGTAGTCCCAGCTACTCGGGAGGCTGAGGCAGGAGAATGGCGTGAACCCGGGAAGCGGAGCTTGCAGTGAGCCGAGATTGCGCCACTGCAGTCCGCAGTCCGGCCTGGGCGACAGAGCGAGACTCCGTCTCAAAAAAAAAAAAAAAAAAAAAAAAAAAAAAAAGAAAAATTATATTTTATAAATGTGAAATACATACAGTGTGGTTAAAAGTGACCAAAACAAAACAGAAACAAACAACCTGATAGAGACCCATAGCTGGTGGGGATAGAGAAAGGAAATACTGCAGAAAGACTCACCTTCTTAATAGTAGAGGGGCGCAGAGGGGGTTGCAAAGTCTGTGGGCTTCTGTTTCTCTTCTGTATAATGGATGTAATAGTACCTACCTTCAGCCTGGCGCGGTGGCTCACACCTGTAATCCCAGTACTTTGGGAGGCCGAGGCGGGCGGATCACGAGGTCAGGAGTTCGAGACCAGCCTGGCCATAATGTTGAAACCTGTCTCTACTAAAAATACAAAAATGAACCGGGCGTGGTGGCAAGCGCCAGTAGTCCCAGCTACTCGAGAGGCTGAGGCAGGAGAATCGCTTGAACCTGGGAGGCGGAGGTTGCAGTGAGCCAAGCTGGTGCCACTGCACTCCAGCCTGGGTGACAGAGAGAGACTCCCTCTCAAAAAAAAAAAAAAAAAAAAAATTATATAGTATCTATCTTCAAGGTTTGTTGTAAGTAGAGAGCATGTGTTAAAAGCATCTCCCCCAGTGCCTGACATGTTATACCTAATAAATTGTAGTAATTAATAAATGACAGTGGCCATTATTAAAACACTTTACCTTGAAACAGAAAAAATTGTACACTTTTTATAGTGTATATATATCTTATACACTTACTATCCTTTCTGCGTAAATACTGCCAAAGTTGATATCTTAAAGAAATTTTAATGAGTTAAATAAAAGTGTCCAAATAACAGTCAACTTTATAGAAGTAGAAAAACTACCATCTTAAGGCAAATATGCAAATTACTGTTGTAAAACTTTAAGTGGATTGAGTTCATTACTTATGATCAAGGTAGTAAATACACAGTCACTAAACCGACTTAAATCTATTGCTTCCCAAAGGAACCACAAAGCCAGTTTATATACAGGAAGCTATATGCTGATGATTGCTTCTGTCAAAGTGTAATGGTAAATAAAATATTTTGGCACCCTTTAGTTTAATTACTCAGAGACACAAGGAGCAGATTATTTAATTATTTTATTGGTCTGTAGATTCATGAGGAATTCCTGAGTACCTCTGGCACTATAATATTATTTTCCTTACAAAATCATCAATAACAACAAAGCACAATAAACTTATTCCTACAGATAGGCAGCATTCAGAAATCCACTTGCTGTTATCCATTTGCTCATAATAATATGAATTTCCTTTCTTTCTTTTTTTAAATTCAGGGTTCCTCAATTCTCCTTTTCTCACCCTGTGTTAACTAACCAGCTGAGCTTTCACAGGGACAATTCCTTCCTGTTTCAGGAACTTGAAGCACATCATGAACAATCAACCAAATCAGGAAGCTCAGTTACTCAGCTGAGAAGCATTCAGGTGGGACAGGGATGAAGAATAAATATCTTCTAACTCCACCATTGGTGAATCTGGGCTATTTTATTTCTCTTACCTATTGTTCATATAAATATATTTTTCTCCCATTCATTATGCCACTCAAATTTCACAATAAAACTATAGATTATTTTACAGATGGGAAAACTCACCGATAGAAACTTTCAGGACCACTTTCTCTAAACAAGTTGCCTTCGTTTTCTGATTTACCTGAGATTTTCCATCTGTAGCATTGCAAAAACACATTGATTTCTTCCCTTGCTTGAGAAATTAGTACCTCAGAAAGGAAAATCTATATCTGGGCTCCTCCTATTTAATCAGTGAAACGAATTTTCATGTGGCCGATCAGTATTTAAAAAAAAAAGAATTTCAGATTCTTGCTTTTTGGAACCCATTATCCACTGACAAGATCAGGTAGAAACATTTGTTTCCTAGCCAACCCATAGATTTTTTTAAAAAAGTAGTTCCCTTTGTCTTTGGAAATGTTCATAAGGAAATAGACCACCATTAGAAAAAAAATGCTTCAGGTATTTGCATATGTATAGGAGACAAAATCCTCGGCCAGCAGGAGCTTCTTCTACCTTTCTGTCAGTGTTTTCAGGTGGAGAGAAAAACATTATTTTTTAGCATCAGATATAGGAATGATGCCATTTTCAGTATCTGCAGTAGGAACAATAAAACCAAAATGCAACTGGTTACCCTTAGGCTTGCTGACACCCGCGCTAGTCTGTGGGCTGCCGTCCAGGAAATAGAGGCTGGCCTCAGAGGCGGGGTCCTGGGGCCACAACCTGACCTCAGCTGGCAATGAGCTGTACCAGACAGAGCAATAGAAAAACATGTCAGTATGTGAAAGAAACTATCCTTTCCTAAACTTCTCCTTGCAGCCCACTATCCAATATTAAAAAGACAGAACTGAAAGTTGGATCTCTGGGTTTTAGTCCTGACTTTGTCCCTTTAGTGATGTTATTTGAACTTTCTGAGTCCAAAGAACCTCATCAGCAATAGAGACAAACATCATCAGGTAGCTGCACACAAGAATCTGAGTTCATATCCAAGCTTACAGACATTCACCAAACCACAGCACTTCACAGTTTATGTAAAGACTTTTCTATCCATTATCTCATTGGATTTCTCCAGACTCTGAATGATGAAGTGCAGAGATGAGGGAATTAAGGATAAGGGTGTATAGGCCAGATAGAGGTAGCCTTGCCACTTCTTAATTCTATGGTAATAATAATTACATCTAATCATTAATATTTTAAGGTCTATATTCTAAATCCTTTGTAAGCATTAACTCATTTAATCCTCATAACAGGTTTTATTTTAATTTCTTTCACATTTAACTTTTTATTTTGAAATACTTTCTGATTTACAGAAAAACTAGATAAATAATACCAATTGTCCATATTTCCCAAATATCACCACTTTACTGTGTTTGCTTTATCATTCCTCAACTGTTTTATGTTTCCTCCTGAACTGTCAGAAAGCAAGTAACATACAACATACCCCTTTAACCCTAAATACTTCATTTTGTGTTTCCTAAGAACCGGAACATTGTCTTATGTAACAAGAGTGCAGTTATCATAATTAAGGAAATAGCATAATTAGGGAAATAGATAATACTACTATTATCTAATCTCAGAGTTTATTAAAATTTCACCAATTATCCAACTAATGTCCTTTAAGCAAAAAACAAAGAAGAAACCCCACATTCCATTCAGGATCCAATCCAGAATCATGTGTTCTAGTTAGCTGTCATGTTTCTTTAGCCTATTTAATCTGAAACAGTTCCTCTGTGTACTGGTTACATGATATTAACATTTTTGCAGAATTCAAACTATTTGTTTTGTTAAATGTTCCTCAGTTTGGGCTCATCTGTTGTTTCCCCCATGATCAGAGTTAGATTAAATTTAGGTTATGCTTTTTGTCCTGTATCTTTATCTTTTTCACCAGGAAGGCTACAGAGTGTTACGTTCCTCTCAGTGCATGCTTTGCAAAAGGCCCATTATGTTTATTTGTTCCAGGCCTGGGTGAGGTTAACTGGTTACTTGGTTAAGGTGGTACCTACCAGTTTTCCCCACTGTGAAGTTATTAGTCATTCCTTTCAAATTAAAAGGTAATGTATGTGGACATACTTGGAGGCTGTCTCAAAGAGGAACAGAAGGTGAGGAACAGTCACTGCTAGTTTTAGCCACCATTTATGGTTCCACCTGCAACGCTGGTGATTTTCTACTTTCATTGCTCCTTTGCACTTTGTGGTTAGTGTTTTGCAATAAAAAGGAGTGTTTTTTTTTTCTTTTCTTTTCTTTTTTTTTTTGAGACAGAGTCTTGCTCTGTCACCCAGGCTGGAGAGCAGTGGCACGATCTTGGCTCACTGCAACCTCCCACCTCCTGGGTTCAAGTGATTCTCCTGCCTCAGCCTCCCAAGTAGCTGGGATTATAGGCACACATGCACCACCACGCCCAACTAATTTTTGTATTTTTAGTAGAGATGGGGTTTCACCATGTTGGCCAGACTGGTCTTGAACTCCTGACCTCAAGTAATCCACCTGCCTCAGCCTCCCAAAGTGCTGGGATTACAGGTGTGTGCCACTGTGCCCCCACCATGTGCAAGGGCTTTCTGTCACCTTCCTTTAAAGAGGAGTTCAGTTCTAGAATTTGTGGATATAGATGTTAATAATGGAACAGGTGCCTGCTCTTACTGTCTAGTATATTTTCCAGGCAACAGAGTAAGCCAAACATACCCCCCTAACCAATCACACAGGAGGCCCTACTTCTAGTTAGTCACTTCCAGCTCCTCCACACCAACAGCCTCCAATCAGGGCACACCTGGAGCCTTCCCTCCCCTCTTTCCACCAAGAAGCTTTCCCACTCCTCTGCCTGCCTTTGAGTCTCTGCCAACACAGGTGATGGTGGCCAACTCCCTTGCTATGGCAAGCTCTGAACAAACACCCTTCGTTTGTTCTTATTTCAGTGGTTTTTGTTTATTTCCACACAGGCAGAAGGGAGACAAATCAGAAAGTTACCAGAAGGACACCTAACTCCACTCCAAGACCTTGAGGAGGCTTTGAAGATGGACTGAAGAGTAGTCAAGAATTTTCCATTTTAAAAATAGTGCTAAGAGAACAAACAGCTCATATGTGATGTTTCTTTGATTACCTTTTCAAAGATCTCTCCCTAACAAGCTAGCAATATAATTAATTAAAACCCACCTCAACTGCTGGGTAATTTTCCCTTGATTAGCCCTGCAATTTGTTATACATCTCTCACAAAACCCTAATCACTCTAAGGTGGAGCAGCCTGTACTGACGCACAATTGCAGCAGAGTTGAAAACACCATTCCATTTCAGAAGTCTAAATCCTACAGCAATTTAATTTTTTTTCAGTCAATGATAGAACTGGTATAAAATAGCTTTAGTTATAGAAACTAATGGAAAATAATGACGCTAATATAAGAGATATCAGAAGCATGAATACAAAGTAGAAACTTTGGACTAATTTTTTTTTCAAAAACCTTACACAGTTTTTTAAAAGTAGTACTAGATTGCCTCATATTTCTCTTGTTCAGCTCAAGTTATTCCCCCCAGTATATTTCTAGGTCTCCAACACAGCTTAAAATCAATACATGCTTCCCAAGAGTATTCTTACATGATTGGGTTGATCATAAGTTATATATTAAATAGCACAATTTAGATAGCCATAAATGTCTTTTTTATTGTTGTTGTTGTTTTGAGACGGAGTCTTGCTCTGTCACCCAGGCTGGAGTGCAGTGGTGTGATCTCAGCTCACTGCAAGCTCCACCTCTCAGGTTCATGCCATTCTCCCGCTTCAACCTCCCTAGTAGCTGGTATTACAGGAGCCCACCACCACGCCCGGCTAATTTTGTTTTTGTATTTTTAGTAGAGATGGAGTTTCACCATGTTAGCCAGGATGGTCTCGATCTCCTGACCTCGTGATCTACCACCTTGGCCTCCCAAAGTGTTGGGATTACAGGCATGAGCCACCACGCCTGGCCTAGATATCCATAAATTTCTTAATTCAAAAAATAAACAAAACTGAAAAAAATACCAAAGTAAACTGCATTACATTACATGCAAGAAATAATTTTTAAATTTTTGAGTGACTTGGCTAGGGGAACTAATTATCTTGTGACATGTAGAAATATGAGAGGGAAAGAATCAATTTCTTCTACCCTTTCAGTTCAGCTTAACTTATGGTGGCAGTATTGATGAGACATAATGAATAATTTGTTCTGAAAAGGTTAGCACTTTTTAAAATGTGCCCTTTTTTTCTAGTTTACATGCTGATATAGTTTGGATGTTGTCCCCTCTGAATCTCATGTTGAAATTTAATCCTCAGTGGTAGAGGTGGGGCCTGGTGGGAAGTTTTTGGGTCATGGGGACAGATACCTCTTGTTGAGTGCTGTCTTCTGATAGTGAGTGAATTCTCAAGAGATCTGGTTGTTTAGAAGTGTGCGGCATCTTCCCCAACTCTCTCTCGTGCTCCTGGTCTGGCCGTGTGATGCACCCACCCTGCTTAACCTTCTCTCATGAGTAAAAGCTCCCTGAAGCTTCCCCAGAAGCTGAGCAGATGCTGACGCCAGGCTTCTACAGCCTGCAGAATCGCAAGCCAGTAAACCTCTTTTGTTTATAAATTGCCCAGCCTCAGGCATTTATTTATAGCAATGCAAGGATGGTCTGACACACGTGGGTGGTGGAGGATGCTCCGGATGCTCCTATCTATGAGTCATTGAGAGATGATAAGAGGAAAAATACATATAAGTTCATGATTTTCCTACTGTTGAGAATGGTAACGTCCATGGAAGAATGCTCTAGAAGGCACAGTCCAAAGATGTCAGCATGGGCTGGCCACATGCAGGCAGGTTCTTGGGGCCACAGGCCTCTATGTGTGGCCAGGGGCTCTGGGGGTGCTCAAGGCCCTGTCCAAAGGGCTGGTGGAGTCAGATGTATTATTTTTGTAATACTACTAAGTGTCATTTGCCTTTTTCACTCGCTATCTCTCGTGAGGCAACGTGGATTTTCTTGAGGTTGTAGCATGTGATACTGCAGCAGAGTGACTGCACATGCAGCCATGAGGATCTACCTGTTTTTTAAGCCAGACATTAAAACAGTTTGCAAAAGTGAGAAATGATGTGATTCATCTCATGAGATTTTAAAAAATAGAGTGACTTTTCCAGCAAAATATGTGCTTTCAGTTAGCATGTGCAGTATTCCTCCCTTAAACTTGGTTTTTGTTTTGGAGGTTTTAGTTACCTGCAGAAATGGTCCATCACTGTCTGAAAATAGTCAATGGAAAATTCCAGAAATAAAAAATTTCTAAGTGTTAAGTTGTGCACTGTTCTAAGTGGTGTGATGAAATCTTTGCTGTACCACTCTGTCTTGCCCAGGATGTGAATCCTCCCTTTGTCCAATGGGTCCATGTTTGTCTCTGCCACCCACCCCCTGGTCACTCAGCTGTTTCAGCGATCAGATACACCGTCTGAGTATTGTGGTATTTGTGTGCAAGAAACCATTATTTTACTTCATAATGGCCCCAAAGGACAAGAGTGGTGATGCTGGCAATTTGGATATGCCAAAGAGAAAGCTGTAAATTTCTTCCTTTAAGCAAAAGCGAAAGTTTCTGACTTACTGAGAAAAAAATTAGATGCTGAGGTTGCTAAGATCTGCAGTAAGAATGAATCTTCTATCCATGAAATTTCAATGAAGAAAAAAATTGTACTGGCTTTACTGTCACATCTCAAACTGCAGAAGTTATGGCCACAGTGAGTGCTAGGGGCTTAGTTAAGGTGAAAAGCTCATTAAATTTGTGGGTGGAAGACACAAAGGGAAACGCTGAGACTGACAGCTATCCGGTTCTGTATTTTCCTTGGTTTCAGGCATCCACTGGGGGTGTTGAAACAGATGCCCCACCAGGAAGGCGAGGCTACTGTAATAGCTTATTTTTGTTATTTTTAAATGAATTATTTTTAAAATTTCCCAGTTTTGATTTCAAGTACAATACGTATCAATAGATAAAGCTGATAAGGCCCACACAAATAAAAGTTCTTTGGGGGCCAGGAGCGGTGGCTCATGCCTGTAATCCCAGCACTTTGGGAGGCTGAGGCAGGTGGATCTCTTGAGGCCAAGAATTTGAGACCAGTCTGGCCAACATGGCGAAATCCTTGCTGAAGAGGTGAATGAGAAAATCCCACAAGATCAAGCCCCTGGATATCAGGAGAAGAAGGAATAACAAGAAGCAATGATAATAGGGGTGAGCTATTTATTAAATATTAAGGCAGTAAATACTTTTAAAGTGTAATTACATATATTCTTTGACATCTCTTTCCCTGCTTGAATCAATAATAGCGAGGATGTCATCTGTTGTGTTCTGTGTTCTGTAAATATTTGTTAGGCGAATGCCGAATGATCAGTGCTAGCTCTGCCTCTTCACCTGACATTCATGAGGTAGCTTCCATCTAAGTACACTGTCCTCTTGCTTGTAAAAACTGGCTGCCCTTACTTTAGTTTCTTTCCCTCAACCTACCCTGCAAATGGAGGCTTCCCTCAGCAGGGATGCTCAGCTCCTCAGCGGGGCAGCAGGATACCAGCCTGCTCCTGAGATGATGTCTCCCTGTCTGTTGGGGGGGGGCACCTGCTGACCTCTTCTGAAGGCCAGATCAAGAGTGTGTCTGCCCACTGGGTACCTAGAACTCCTCAGGCTTTGACTGTGGCCAAACTCATTACCCAAGCCCACACTCACGCCAACCTCCTTCTCCCCTAGTAAGCCCTGTCTCTGTGTTTAATGGGCAGTGTTTGCAATCCAGAAGGAAGGCCGGTGTTAACTGTTACCCATGTGTGCTCATTATAGAAAAGTTGCATGGGTACCTTTACCAATGGGCATAGGTTTGACTTAATAAGGCTTGACTTGAAAACAAAATCTGAAAATAGCCTGGAATGTATAGGAATGGGCCCCTGAAACTAAAATTAACAATATTCCATGTCTTCAGCATGGAATATGGTTTGGCATTGATAGAAAATGAAACAGTGATGGACATCAGCAATGATGTTAGAGATCAGCTAACATGCAGACTAAACTGAGTTTTAATTTATCCACAGCTCACAGGAGTGAAAAGAATACAAAAGGCAGGTCAGGATGTAGCTTAGCTAATAGCATCATCTTCCACCTAGGTGCCCAATCTAAGAAGCCAGGAGTCAGAGGATATGTATACATCACTTTATTTCTAATAGCTAACTAAATCCTTTGGATCTTGTATTCACATAATCTATTTAATATATTCTTTTATTTATTTATTTTTTTGAGACAGAGTCTCACTGTGTCAACGAGGCTGGAGTGTAGTGGCACGATCTCGGCTCACTGCAACCTCCACCTCCCAGGTTCAAGCAATTCTTCTGCCTCAGCCTGCTGAGTAGCTGGGATTACAGGCCCCCACCACCATGCCTGGCTAGGTTTGGATTTTTAGTAGAGATGGGGTTTTGCCATGTTGGTTGTCCAGGATGGTCTCGAATGCCTGACCTCAGGTTATCCACCAACCTCGGCCTCCCAAAGTGCTGGGATTACAAGTGTGAGCCACTATATCCAGCCAATTTAATATATTCTTGAAAAGAATATTTTCCTAATGCTTTGGGTAAGTTTCTTATTCAACTTGCACTAAAATTATTATATGGGCCAGTCTCCCTAACTATAATTTCTCCTCAATTCAATCCACCCCTCATGGCCACCATATTATGCTCCTAAAACATAAAAATAATACACACACACACACACACACACACACACACACACACACACACGAGTTTATCTATCTCTATGCATAGAAATATCTATGTATAAGCTTATCTATGTACAGATTTACCAATCCACTCTCTCCTCTTTAAAACTTTCTTTGAATCTGTGAGCTTCAGAACAAAAACTAAACACTTTCAAGATGGTATTCATTTGCTAGTTCAAAATTCATTTTCCAGCCACATTTTTGCCATTTCTTATAATTTTTCCATATTGGAAAAATAACCGTATTGGTTATCTCTTAAACAGAATACAATTGATCCTTGACCGCTGCAGGCATTATGGTGCTGAAACCCTGTGCAGTTGAAAATCCACATATAACTTTTAACTCCCCTAAAACTTAACTACTAATGGCTTCCTATGGACTGGATGCCTCACCGATAATATAAGCTGTTAACTAACTCATATTTTATATGTTATATGCATTATGAACAGTACTATAATAAGCAAGCTACAGAAAAGAAAATGTTATGAAGAAAGTCATGAAAAAGAGAAAATGTATTTACTATTGATTAAGTGGAAGTGGATCATCCTAACAGTCTTCATCCTCGGCATCCTCACGATGAGTAGGCTGAGGAGGAGGAAGAGAAGGTATTGGTCTTTCTGTCTCAGGAACAGTGGAGGCGGAGGAGTTGGAGGAGGCAAGTGGAAGGGGAGGCAGGAGAGGCAAGCACACTCCACTTGTAACTTTTTCAAAAAAATTTTAAAGTTCTGGGGTACATGTGCAGGATGTGCAGGTTTGTTACACAGGTAAATGTGTGCCATGGTGGTTTGCTGCATCTATCAACCCATCATCTAGGTATTGAAGCCAGCATGCATTAGCTCTTTTCTCTAATGCCCTCCCTTGAAAGGCCCCTGGGAGTGTTGTTCCCCTCCCTGTGTCCATGTGTTTTCATTGTTCAGCTCCCACTTTATAAATGAGAAGATGCGGTGTTTGGTTTTCTGTTCCTGTCTTAGTTTGCTGAGAATAATGGCCTCCAGCCTCATCCACGTCCCTGCAAAGATGCATGCATGTGTATGTTCATTGCAGCACTATTCACAATAGCAAAGACATGGAATCGACCCAAATGCCCATCAGTGATAGACTGGATAATGAAAATGTTGTACATACACACCATGGAATACAATGCAGCCACTTGTAACTTTTATTGAAAAAAATTCATGTATACGTGGACCCGTGCATTTCAAATCTATGTTGTTCATTGGCCAACGGCGTTTAATTTCACTCTGGCTTTATACATTCTTTAATTAGACCCACAGTTCCCAAACAGTGTGCTGAGGTGCCCAGGAAGTCACAGCAAATTTACTAAGATTCTGCAGGATAGTTTACATTTCCATGGGAAACACAGAATACGCAATTTTCCTGTGGGATAATGTAACTTGCCAGTCTCATCATTAGAGCATGCAATATTTGTATTAATGATGTTATATCTTCTTGAAATTGTGTTTCCAGTGATTGCTCTTATTAAACATATGTAAAAAGCACAGTGGAACCAGAAATGAAGGTGGCAGTTCTCAATATGATTCTGCATTTGAGAACGTGTGTAGCACTCAGCAAGAACACACATTCTTAAGCAATTTGGGATATTTAAGATGAAGTGAAGGCATGTTTTTTCCTTCAATTTATATGTACTGTTTTTCAAATAACTACAATTAATTCTCATTATCTGCAGTAGTTATGTTCCATAAAGTCACCCCAGACAGTGAATTAGCAAATACTGAACTATTATTCCTAAGGGAAATACAGGAGTGGTTCCTGCAAGCTTCTGACCACAACAGTTTCATCAGCCAACCAATACATAACCTTGCTTTATGTGAGCTTCTGTTTAAAAACACCTTGTTTTATTTATAGTGGATTTATTAATATAGAACTTTTGGCCAACAGCACAGTAATGTAACTCCTGCCTGAACAAAGAATATCTAACAAATATATGTTCTCTGTAAGTTACATCACAGCCTTCCTGAGCTTAGGGACACTAGAAAGCACTCCAATACTATGTTTTGGTTCATTTTAAACAGCAAATTCACTAACATAAAGCACAAAAAAATGAGAGAAATGTGGCACCAAACCACAGAAAGGACATTCACTTCAACAGGAAGACAGAGCAACGTGTTGTCACCTCTGCTGGGAACATGTGGCTCAAGTGACTCAAAATGTTCACCATCTTGTGCATGTCCCTGAGTGACTTGAAAAAGCACTGTGAGGCTTGGTCTTGGGGTTACCAACACGTAGCAAGTAGGCAAACAATGAGGATCCTCTGTAAGTTGTCAAAACAGATACTTTTTAAATTGTGCGAACTTAACTAATGATTAAATGGAGCTATGCTATTAGACATTTCTTTTGGCTTAGATGCACCTTGAAGCATTTCTGAGACGCTAGAGGTCATGGTAAACTAAGTTTGAGGAACTTTCATTTAAACCTGTCTCCTCCCCAAGTTATGTATATCTCAGTTTTCTTTCCCAACCCAATGGAGCTATCCCTTCTTGACATTGGCCACTTCCCCTTTTGGCTTCCGTACCGTAACAGCTGCCTCTATCATGAGACTGGTAACTCTCTGAAATCCAAGCAAGTATTTCCTTGTTTGCCCACCTTTCTTGCTCCCCACTAGGTCACAATGTCCTAGCATCATCAACCCTAACAAGTGGAATTTTGCAAGCTCGTTTTCTGGTTCCTTATCGCTAGACACTTTGCATTGTCTCAGTCTTGCCCATTTTATTTCCAGGATTCCTGAATTTGGAGGAAGGAGGGAAGGGTAGGATCTCATTTGTGTTCGAAAAGCTTTCATGTGCTTCAGTCCTTGCTGAGCATTGTTTGCCCTTCAAGCCGTCGGTGTCTCCTTTGCGTCCTGGGGTTGGCACCACGGTTTGAGAGTGCTGCTTGCTGTTGTCTCAGTACACCAAAGGTGCTCCAAGCAGCATCCTCACCTATGGACTTCATCCGTCTTCCAAAAGTACACCATTTTTTTTTTAAATTATACTTTAAGTTTTAGGGTACATGTGCACATTGTGCAGGTTAGTTACATATGTATACATGTACCATGCTGGTGCGCTGCACCCACTAACTGGTCATCTAGCATTAGGTATATCTCCCAATGCTATCCCTCCCCCTCCCCCCACCCCACAACAGTCCCCAGAGTGTGACGTTCCCCTTCCTGTGTCCATGTGATCTCATTGTTCAATTCCCACCTATGAGTGAGAATATGCGGTGTTTGGTTTTTTGTTCTTGCAATAGTTTACTGAGAATGATGATTTCCAATTTCATCCATGTCCCTACAAAGGACATGAACTCATCATTTTTTTATGGCTGCATAGTATTCCATGGTGTATATGTGCCACATTTTCTTAATCCAGTCTATCATTGTTGGACATTTGGGTTGGTTCCAAGTCTTTGTTATTGTGAATAATGCCACAATAAACATACGTGTGCATGTGTCTTTATAGCAGCATGATTTATAGTCCTTTGGGTATATACCCAGTAATGGGATGGCTGGGCCAAATGGTATTTCTAGTTCTAGATCCCTGAGGAATCGCCACACTGACTTCCACAATGGCTGAACTAGTTTACAGTCCCACCAACAGTGTAAAAGTGTTCCTATTTCTCCACATCCTCTCCAGCACCTGTTGTTTCCTGACATTTTAATGATTGCCATTCTAACTGGTGTGAGATGGTATCTCATTGTGGTTTTGATTTGCATTTCTCTGATGGCCAGTGATGATGAGCATTTTTTCATGTGTTTTTTGGCTGCATAAATGTCTTCTTTTGAGAAGTGTCTGTTCATGTCCTTCGCCCACTTTTTGATAGGGTTGTTTGTTTTTTTCTTGTAAATTTGTTTGAGTTCATTGTAGATTCTGGATATTAGCCCTTTGTCAGATGAGTAGGTTGCGAAAATTTTCTCCCATTCTGTAGGTTGCCTGTTCACTCTGATGGTAGTTTCTTTTGCTGTGCAGAAGCTCTTTAGTTTAATTAGATCCCATTTGTCAATTTTGTCTTTTGTTGCCATTGCTTTTGGTGTTTTAGACATGAAGTCTTTGCCCATGCCTATGTCCTGAATGGTAATGCCTAGGTTTTCTTCTAGGGTTTTTATGGTTTTAGGTCTAACGTTTAAGTCTTTAATCCATCTTGAATTGATTTTTGTATAAGGTGTAAGGAAGGGATCCAGTTTCAGCTTTCTACATATGGCTAGCCAGTTTTCCCAGCACCATTTATTAAATATGGAATCCTTTCCCCATTGCTTGTTTTTCTCAGGTTTGTCAAAGATCAGATAGTTGTAGATATGCAGCGTTATTTCTGAAGGCTCTGTTCTGTTCCATTGATCTATATCTCTGTTTTGTTACCAGTACCATGCTGTTTTGGTTACTGTAGCCTTGTAGTATAGTTTGAAGTCAGGTAGCATGATGCCTCCAGCTTTGTTCTTTTGGATTAGGATTGACTTGGTGATGCGGGCTCTTAAAACTACACCATTTTTATGGAAACCTGGTAGGGCCTTGGCCTCTCTCCTCCCTTGAAACAGGAGATTTCTCTGTACTGTATAAAAAAGGGCTCATCCAAAGACATTACTAAGAGAAAATGCAATTCACAGAATGGAAGAAGACACTTGCAACATTTACAAATGAAGAAGCACAGCAGCTCTATAGAAAATAAGCAAGATTGAGCAGGTGACTCACAAAAGAGGACATGCAGATGACCCACAAACCTGAAATGATGTTCAACCTCCTTTGTAATCAGAGATATGAAAATTAAATCTGTAATTATTTTCCATAACAGAATTCTTAAAATTTAATAAAAGACTGATGATACCAATAATTATAAATATTGTCACTGTATTATTTCTATTTATCCCAATCTGCAAGCATTCCAAAGTCCTTCAACCATAAAACATAAATAAAATATGATATATCCATATGTGGAATATTATACAATAATAAAAATAAGTAAACTATAGCTACATGCAACAACATAGGTGAGTCTCACAAACATAATGTTGAGTGAAATAGTTCAGACAAAGGACAAAGAATGCATGTCCTTTGAGCATTGCTGGATCATTTTACATTCCCACCAACAATGTATGATTGATCCATTTTCTCTGTATCCTTGCCAGCATTTGGTATTGTCCCCATTTTTAATTTTAGTTGCTCTGGTACATGTGTTCAGATATATCATCATGGTCGTAATTTACATTTTCCTAATGGTTACTTACGTTGAACATCTGCTCATGTGAGTATTTGCCATTCATATATCTCTTCATGTTGTTAGACATTTTTTAATTGGATTATGTTTTTAATGTCGATTTCTGAGAGTTTTTTTATACAGTATAGATTAGACTTTTGTTAAATATGAAATTTACAAATATTACTTTGTCTTTTCATTTTAACAGGGTCTTTTGCAGAGCAAAAGTTTGAAATATTGTTGTAGTCCACTGTGTCAATATTTTTCTGTTATAAATTATGTTTTTAGTGTTATATCTTAGAACTATTCACCAAGACCCAGGTCCCAAAGATGTTATCTACTGTCTTCTAAAAAGTTTAATTGTTTTATGTTTACCATTTAAATCTACATTGAGTCAGGTTTGAGGCTTAGGTCTAGGTTCAGCTTTTGCCAATAGATAGCCAATCGCTCTAGCACCGATTGTTAGAAAGACTAGCCTTCCTTCATATAAATGCGTTTATGCCTTTGTTATTAGTTGGTCATAATTGCATAGAGCTATTTGTAGGTCTTTAATCTGAACCATGGATCTCTGTGTCATTACTACCCCAGTCCTACACAGTCTTGATTACTGTAGCTTTCTAAGTTTTAAAATTGGGTTAAATGATTCCTCCCACTTTATTTTCAGAATTGTTTTAGTTATTTTATCTAGTTTCTTTGTCTTTCCACATAAGTTTTAAAATAATGGTGTCTATATCTACAGAAATTATTCCTGGGATTTTGATAGGAATTTTGTTAAATGCATTTGTCAATTTGGAGGAAATTGACTTCTTGACTCTATTGAGTCTTCTAATCCATAAATTTGGTATGCCTCTCCATTTATTATCTGCTTTGATTTCTTTCATCAGTATTTTGTAGTTTTCAGCATACAACTCCTGTACAGGTTTTAGATTTATTTCTAAGAATTTAATCCGCATGTTCATTGCTAATATATAAACATACAATGTATGCCTGTATGTCAATCTTGTATCGTGCAAACTCATTGAGTTCACTTATTAGTTCTACGAGTTTCTTTGTAGATTATTTTGGGTATTTTCTACATAGACTATCATGAAAGTTGTAAATATGGGCAGTATTATTTCTTCTTTATAATCTGTTTATCTTTTATTTCCTTTTTTGTCTTGTTGCTCTGTCTAGAACTTCTAGTAGTATGTTGAATAGCAGTGTTAATAGTGGAAATCCATGCCTTTTCCTGGTGGTAAGGGCAAAGAATGGACTCTTTCACCACTATGTATGATATTAGCTGTAGGTTTTTAGAAATGTTCTTTATGAAGTTGAGGAAGTTATTCTTTATTCATTGCTTTCTGTATTGTCAGTATTTGTTATTAATGAGTGTTATATTTGACTGTCAATTCTGTATCAATTGATATGATCACGTGATTTTGCTTCTTTAACCTGTTAATATAGTGGATTACATTGATTGCTTTTTGCATATTGAACCAGTCTTGCATCTCTAGAATAAACCCTACTTGGTCATGACATAAAGGCCTACCTTGTCTTTATAATATCGACACTTCTATTTGCTAATATTATATTAAGAATTGTCACATCTATATTATTAAGGGATATTGGACTGTGGTTTTGTTTGTTTTGTTTCGTATTTAGGTCTTTAACCTGAATCAAAAGAGAAGCGATTCCTTCTCTTTTTTTTTTTTTTTTTTGGAATATGTTGTGTAGAATGGTGTTAATTCTTTTTAAAACATCTATTAGAATTCTCCATTCCCCTTTGAGCCTGGAGATTTTAATTGAATAAAAATTACAAATTCAATTCCTTTATAGTTGTAGGGCAATTCACATCTACTGTTTCACATTGAGTGGGTTGTGATAGTTTGTATTTTTTGAGAAATAGGTTCATTTCATCTCAGTTGTCAAAATTATATGTGTAGACCTCTCCATAGTATTGTATTTTTTAGTTCTAAACATTTTTTTCTGGCTCTTCTTTATATCTTCAAATCTTTTCTGAGATTTTTCCATATTAAAAATTTGTTTTAAGTCTTTTTATAATTGGCCATTGAAGCATTTTTATCATGGCTTCTTTGAATCCTTGTCAGATATTTCTCACATTGATTTCATCTTCGTGTTGGTGTCTATTGCCTTTTCTCATTTAGTTTGAGATCTTCTTAGTGTTTTGTATGACAAGAGATTTTTTTATTGAAACTTGAGAGTTTTGACTAATATAAGATTCAGGATCTTATTTAAATTCTGTGTTTCAGAAGGGCCCATCTAACACCATTCCATTGGGGAAAAGTGACTGACAGTTGGTTACTCTCAAGGTGGTGGAGAAAGCCCCAGTTCTTCATTTGGCTCTGTTGATAGCTGGGGTCAGGGTCAGACTCCCTGGTGTTGTTGGGTAGGGAGAAAGTTTAGGTATTCACCTAGTCCCCCCGACCCCCCCATACCGCCTTGGTACCCTGGCATATTATCCTTTCTAGGTATATTAAAAATGATAGATCTGAAAGTATTTATCTGTCAACAATTAATCGTAAGGCAAGAAGGAAAATATGAATTTAGACCAGATAACTATTCTGGCTGACGCTTTTTTGAAATAATGAGAGCGCACTTCAACAGAGAAGGCTTTGGAAATGCAAAGCCAGAAGTCATTTAGGCAGAAGAGAGGTTCTTCCTACAGACAACTTTTCCAACCCCCTTAGTTTGGTTTCCCCAGAAGCAGACCTTGAGACAAGCATGTGCTTGTTTGGAGGTGATCTCAGGAAACACTAATAGGAAGGAAAAGGAAGGCAGGAAAGAAAGACAGCCAAAAAGGAGTGCACCGTGAGGCAAATGACCAACCTGGGCATTGGAGCTCGATCTTGCTGAGATGCTGTGGGTACCAGCACGGTACGCATAGCTCAGAATGTGGAGGAGCTGGGGTGTGGATGCACGATTTTCTGTTCCTGTTAGGAGGAATGCTTCAGAACAGCTGGGGTATGGATGCATGAGTCTCTGTTCAAGGGCTGCCTGGGGATGAACGGGGTTTTACCAAGCTGGAGTGACAGGACTCCAGCTGCCAGAGAATGTTCCCTGGCACAAAGATGAAATAATGGCATTTGGGCCAGGCGCGGTGGCTCACGACTGTAATCCCAGAACTTTGGGAGGCCGAGGCAGGTGAATCATGAGGTCAGAAGTTCAAGACCAGCCTGGCCAAGGTGGTGAGACCCTCATCTTTACTAAAAAATACAAAAATTAGCCAGGCGTGATGGTGGGTGCCTGTAATCTCAGCTATTCGGGAGGGTGAGGCAGAGAATTGCTTGAACTCAGGAGGCGGAGGTTGCAGTGACTGTCTCAAAAAAAGAAAAAAAAAAAAAGGAATAATGGCATTTGGAAGTCAGCCTGGTGCACTACAGTGGCAAAGCCTGATGCAGGGTGGGCACTGTACCACAGCATCAGCAACATTACCTAGATGGTACCTGTAATGCTCCACTGCCACATTTTGGTAGTCAGCATAAAATACCTGGATTTTAAAAAATGCCTCCTTTGGCTGCATCCTTCCTCCATGATTTTTGTTTCTCTGTATGATGGGAGCATTGTTTAGGAGGAATGCTTCAGCATCTCCACTCCCCTTTGTGAGAACTTTCCCTGTCCCAGTCTTCTTCAAGAGCATCCCCGTGCTCTCAAGAACCCCACGCTTAATCTCTTTATATAGCATTGGACAAATCCATGCTGAAATGATAGCAATTGAGTGTGTTATCACTGCAGGCTGAGTTGCATTCTGAGAGGAGAATGAGGATCTAATGGCATTTCAGGCATCTGAGCCTTTGAGAGTGGCTGCCTGTTGTGGGGTGGGAGGGAGATGCCAGCTTCGATTTTTTCTGGCTTTGATAACAGACATAAGCAACTGCAAATGGGTCGCCACCTACAGCTGTTCTGGAAGTAGTCCACATCTGGCTTCAACTTAAGGACAAGCAGTGCCTCTCTGAAGATTTGATTTGGCAGGTGAGCAATATGGATGATTAAATTAATACTTAGGACCTGGTGTTCTAAAGCAAATGCCTGGGAGGCAGAGCTCTATCCTTCCTGAGCCACTGAAGGTTGTGGGGAAAATAATTTAACACTTCAGTTCTTCATCAAGAGATTGGAAAAAATATGAACCACCACACAGGGGCATTGTAAGAATCAATTAAAATATAATTGTTTAATTTTCCCTACAATCACATAGGATGATTTCCTTGCTGGGGACCCTATGATGCTTTGTAAGAGGGAGGTACCATTTCTGCTCCTTGGTTGCTGCAAGCCTTAGAAACATGTAAACATATGAAGAAATGTATGGAAGAGACTGTGTCCCCTATTTCCTAAAGAGTAACAGCAACTTTACCCTTTCTGCATGTTTTATCTTAGCCTGAAATGTAAGATTATGGAATCTGACAAGGAACACCCTTTTAAATGCCATAAGTGTATCTGTCAAAATACTCGCATGGTTAGAAACATCTTACCCTATATAAGAAGTCTGAAATTTATTTAAAGATAAAGATTCTCTTTTAAATTCTCTTTATCTGCTACCTCTAATGGCAGTCAAAAATGACATGGATTTTCACTTAAGAAATAGAATTCAAAGCCAATCAGTGAAACCAAGCCAGGACTTTCCCCAAATCTGGCTTAGCTTGAAAGAAAATATTTTTGGATAAACACCAAACATTTTATTGAATTTTCTTTTAATGTTAGACCAAGAATTAACACAAACAGGAAGATGGTTTTAGGTATATACCTCCTAAAGCCAAAGTTTTGAGGTATATAGCTCCTAAAGCCAAAGTTTTGAATGATTCAGCAAACCATGGTTTTTATGCAGCATTTGTATCAGTTTTCCCCTGGAAAACTGTGCAGGGAAGTGTGGAGTGGCAAAAACAAGAGCTAACACAATGTCTTAAAACAGGTCTCTGCTAGGAATTTTAGTGGCAAGGATTGAGTCAGTGGCCAAAGAAAGAGTGAAGACAAAATTGCCACAAAACCGTTGGCTTAAAATAATAGAAATTTACTTCCTCCCAGTTTTCATGACCAGAAGCCCAAAATCAAGCTTTTGGTAAGATGACCCCCTCTGAAGACCCTATTAGGGAGAATCTTCTCTTGCCCCTTTCAGCTTCTGGTGGCTCCAGGTATTCCTTGGTTTAGGCTGTATCACTCCTGTCTCTGCCTTAATCTTCACAAAGCATTCTGTATCTCTAGGTCTCTCTCCTCTGTGTGTCTCTTATGAAGTCATTGGATTTATGGCCCACCTGGATAATCTAGGGTGATTTCATCTTGCAATCCTTAATTCCATCTGCAAATGCCCTTTGCCCAAACTATGTCACAGTTATAGGTTCCAAGGGTTAGGACTTGAACATATCTTTTTAGGGACCATCATTCAATTCACTTCAGCACTTTTTTTTTAGATATACTTCCCAGAATTAAAGTTGTAATAACAGTAGGCTATATTGGAAAAGCAAACATCTTTCATTCTCTATTTATATTTTCCCTTTCCAGCATTTCTGCTCTCTGAAAAAAACATTACTAATCCACTTAAAGATTTGCAAATTCCTCTAAAGATTTCCAAATGCCCACTGTTCTCTGCTAGTGCAAGAAGCTTCCTCCACATGGCAGGGGACAGGGCTTCAAGAATTGAGGTCACCTTCTCATTTGGTCACCTCCACAACTGCAGAGATCAGAGGCCTCTGGTCACCTCCCACCCCTGGTCAGCTCCAGACAGACCTATCAGGTGTGAAGATCTTGATTGGCAAGACCAAGGTCCTGGGACCATCTATCTCAGCCTGAGCGGGGAAGTGTGGAGTGGCAAAAACAAGAGCTAACACAATGTCTTAAAACAGGTCTCTGCTAGGAATTTTAGTGGCAAGGATTGAGTCAGTGGCCAAAGAAAGAGTGAAGACAAAGAATATTTCACCGGCTGACCAAAAAATCAAACTTCCAAAATGGGTGCATTTCTCTTTTCCACTATTGAGGTCCCTGTTTTCTTGGTATGTCTAGACAGCCTGATGAGTATTCTTTTTTGTGTGTGTGACAGTGGCCACTCCAGGCCACCCCAGACTGCCCTTTTCAAATGGAATAACTGTAATGCCACACAACCCTTTCGTGACTGGGTTGCCCAGGGAGCTTGTCTATACCAGAGTGGCTAAAATTATGTCTTTATCAGCTTAACTGTAAATGTCAGAGTTGGCATGCTGCATTCTGGTTGCAGACCTCTGTGTCTTCTGACTTTTCCAAGGGAGGGCCAACACCTGGTGAACTTTCAGGATTCATGCTTCTCATTCCCATTCAGGTTGAAAACTGATTGTTTTCCACAAACATCCTGGCACCCCCTACTCTTCCCTCCTCTCTTACTATGTGGTCTCTGCACACACGAGCTCCCCTTCACCTTCCGCCATGAGTGGAAGCAGCTTGAAGCTCTCACCAGAAGCAGATGCTGGTGCCTTGCTTCTTGTACAGTCTGTAGAACCATTAGTCAAATAAACCTCTTTTCTTTATAAATTACCCACCCTAAGGTAATCCTTTATAGCAACACAGATGCACTAAGATGGAAGTCTTCCTTGTCCCATCAAATATGGCTAAGAGTTTGGGTTCACACTTTACAAAAATGGCTGCTACGAGTCAACTCCTGATCTGAGGAAAATGATGGGCAGGTTGTTTTTTGTGGGATGGGCAGATACCTTAAAAAATGTCTGCTGGGGTAGAGGTTCCAAGATGGCTGAATAGGAAGAGCTCCAGTCTGCAGTTACCAGCATGAGTGACATAGAAGATGGGTGATTTCTGCATTTCCAACTGAGCTTTGAAGAGAGTAGTGGTTCCCCCAGCACAGAGTCTGAGATCTGAGAATGGACCGTCTGCCTCAAGTGGGTCCCTGACTCCCGAGTAGCCTAACTGGGAGACACCTTCCAGTAGGGGCCAACTGACACCTCATACAGCTGTGTGCCCCTCTGAGACGAAGATTCCAGAGGAAGGATCAGGCAGCAACATCTGCTGTTCTGCAATATTTGCTGTTCTGCAGCCTCCGCTGATGATACCCAGGCAAACAGGGTCTGGAGTGGACCTCCAGCAAACTCCAACAAAACTGCAGCTGAGGGTCCTAACTGTTAGAAGGAAAACTAACAAACAGAAAGGACATCCACACCAAAACCCCATCTGTACCTCACCATCATCAAAGACCAAAGGTAGATAAAACCACAAAGATGGAGAGAAACCAGAGCAGAAAAGCTGAAAATTCTAAAAATCAGAGTGCCTCTTCTCCTCCAAAGGAATGCAGCTTCTTGCCAGCAATGGAACAAAGCTGGACGGAGAATGACTTTGACGAATTGAGACAAGAAGGCTTCAGACGAACGTTAATAACAAACTTCTCCTAGCTAAAGGAGGATATTTGAACCCATCGCAAAGAAGCTAAAAACCTTGAAAAAAGATTAGACAAATGGCTAACTAGAATAAACAGTGTAGAGAAGTCCTTATATGACCTGATGGAGCTGAAAACCATGGCATGAGAACTATGTGACGCATGCACAAGCTTCAGTAGCTGATTTGATCAAGTGGAAGAAAGAGTATCAGTGATTGAAGATCAAATGAAAGAAATGAAGTGAGAAGAGAAATTTAGAGAAAAGAGAGTAAAAAGAAATGAACAAAGCCTCCAAGAAATATGAGACTGTGTGAAAAGACCAAATCTATGTCTGATTGGTGTACCTGAAAGTGACGGGGAGAATGGAACCAAGTTGGAAAACACTCTGCAGGATATTATCCAGGAGAACTTCCCCAGTCTAGCAGGGCAGGCCAACATTCAAATTCAGGAAATACAGAGAATGCCACAAAGATACTCCTTGAGAAGAGCAACTCCAAGACACATAATTGTCAGATTCACCAAAGTTGAAATGAAGGAAAAAATGTTAAGGGCAGCTGGACAGAAAGGTCTGGTTACCCACAAAGGGAAGCCCATCAGACTAACAGCAGATATCTCGGCAGAAACTCTACAAGCCAGAAGACAGTGGGGGCCAATATTTAACATTCTTAGAGAAAATAATTTTCAACCCAGAATTTCATATTCAGCCAAACTAAGCTTCATAAGTGAAGGAGAAATAAAATCCTTTACAGACAAGCAAATGCTGAGAGATTTTGTCACCACCAGGCCTGCCTTACAAGAGCTCCTGAAGGAAGCACTAAACATGGAAAGAAAAAGCCAGTACCAGCCACTGCAAAAACATGCCAAATTGTAAAGACCATCAATGCTAGGAAGAAACTACATCGATTAACAAGCAAAATAACCAGCTAACATCATAATGACAGGATCAAATTCACACATAACAATATTAACCTTAAATGTAAATGGGCTAAATGCTCCAATTAGAAGGCAAAGACTGGCAAATTGGATAAAGTGTCAAGACCCATCATTGTTCTGTATTCAGGAGATCCGTCTCACATGCAGAGACACACATAGGCTCAAAATAAAGGGATAGAAGAAGATCTACCAAGCAAATGGAAAACAAAAAAAAGCAGGGGTTGCAATCTTAGTCTCTGATAAAACAGACTTTAAACCAACAAACATCAAAAGAGACAAGGCCATTACATAATGGTAAAGGGATCAATTCAACAAGAAGAGCTTACTATCCTAAATATATATGCACCCAATACAGGAGCACCCAGATTCATAAAGCAAGTCCTTAGAGACCTACAAAGAGACTTAGACTCCCACACAGTAATAATGGGAGACTTTAACACCCCCACTGTCAACATTAGACAGATCCACTAGTCAGAAAGTTAACAAGGATATCTAGGAATTGAACTCAGCTCTGCACCAAGCGGACCTAATAGACATCTACAGAACTCTCCACCCCAAATCAACTGAATATACATTCTTCTCAGCACCACATTGCACTTATGCCAAAATTGACCACATAGTTGGAAGTAAAGCACTCCTCAGCAAATGTAAAAGAACAGAAATTATAACAAACTGTCTCTCTGACCACAGTGTAATCAAACTAGAACTCAGGATTAAGAAACTCACTAAAAACCACTCAACTACATGGAAACTGAACAACCTGCTCCTGAATGACTACTGGGTACAAAACAAAACGAAGGCAGAAATAAAGATGTTCTTTGAAACCAATAACAATGAAGACACAACATACCAGAATCTCTGGGACACATTTAAAGCAGTTTGTAGAGGGAAATTTATAGCACTAAATGCCCCCAAGAGAAAGCAGGAAAGATCTAAAATTGGCACCCTAACATCACAATGAAAAGAACTAGAGAAGCAAGAGCAAACACATTCAAAAGCTAGCAGAAGGCAAGAAATAACTAAAATCAGAGCAGAACTGAAGGAGATAGAGACACAAAAACCCTTCAAAAAATCAGTGAATCCAGGAGCAGGTTTTTTGTAAATATCAACAAAATTGATAGACCGCTGGCAAGACTAATAAAGAAGAAAAGAGAGAAGAATCAAATAGACACAATAAAAAATGATAAAGGGGATATCACCACTGATCCCACAGAAATACAAACTACCATCAGAGAATACTATAAACACCTCTATGCAAATAAACTAGAAAATTTAGAAGAAATGGATAAATTCCTGTACACATACACCCTCCCAAGACTAATCCAGGAAGAAGTTGAATCCCTGAATAGACCAATCACAGGCTCTGAAATTGAGGCAATAATTAATAGCCTACCAACCAAAAAAAGTCCAGGACCAGATAGATTCACATCCAATTTCTACCAGAGGTATAAAGAGGAGCTGGTACCATTCCTTCTGAAACTATTCCAATCAATAGAAAAGAAGTGAATCCTCCCTAATTCATTTTATGAGGCCAACATCATCCTGATACCAAAGCCTGGCAGAGACACAACAAAAAAGAGACCAATATCCCTGATGAACATCGATGTAAAAATCCCCAATAAAATACTGGCAAACAGGATCCAGCAGCACATCAAAAAGCATATCCACCACGATCAAGTGGGCTTCATCCCTGGGATGCAAGTGTGGTTCAACATACGCAAATCAATAGACGTAATCCATCATATAAACAGAACCAAAGACAAAACCACACGATTATCTCAACAGATGTAGAAAAGGCCTTCGACAAGATTCAACAGTCCTTCATGCTAAAAACTCTCAATAAACTAAGTATTGATGGGATGTATCTCAAAATAATAAGAGCTATCTATGACAAACCCACAGCCAATATCATACTGAATGGGCAAAAACTGGAAGCATTCCCTTTGAAAACTGGCACAAGACAGGGATGCCCTCTCTCACCACTCCTATTCAACATTGTGTTGCAAGTTCTGGCCAGGGCAATCAGGCAGAAGAAAGAAATAAAGGGTATTCAATTAGGAAAAGAGGAAGTCAAATTGCCCCTGTTTGCAGATGACATGAAACCTAAATGCAATGGGTGTAACTGAATCCCAGGGTGGCAAGGGCCAAGTGGGGGCTGCACTCAACCATCAAAGGCAAGGTGAGCATGATTAAGGCAACGGACAGTAGAGTCAAGGCAGCAAGCAGAAGGGTTTGACTACTGCAGACTTAGGGCATGGGCTAGCTGATGATGGTGTTCCTAGAACCAAAATAGATAGCAAGCCTACTAAATGTTTACTTGATCTGTATAAGCAGAAAGTTCTAGGTCAAGTGAACAAAAGTCTAACCTAAACTATAAAAATAGAAGTCACTCAATTGATTACAGACTTGAGTCAGTTTACAGACCTAGAACCTCTTGGATGAAGGGGAGGCTGCGTTGCATCCTGTTGAGGAAGGACCCTTATATACCACCAAACATTTATATTGTTAATCTTTCTCCTATCTTTCTTTCAGTTTTTTATTAGGGTAACAGTGCATTGGCGAAAAGGAAATAATCAGTTATTTTGGGAGCTGCTGGACCCTGGCTCTGAACTGACACTAATTCTAGGAGACCCAAGCATCACTATGGTCTATCATTCAGAGCAGGGGCTTACGGAGGTCAGGGGATCAATGCAGTTTTAGCTCAGATATATTTCAGCGTAGGCCCAATGGGTCCCCAAATTCATCTTGTGGTTATTTCACCAGTTCTGGAAAGCATGATTTGAATACATTTAATCAGCAGCTGGCAGAATCCCCACATTGGTTCCCTGAGCTATGGTGTGAGGGTTATTACGATGGAAAAGGCCAAGTGGAAGCCACTAAAACAACCTCTGCCTAGAGAAATAGTAAACCAAAAGCAATATCACATTCCTGGAGGGTCTGTGGAGATTAGTGCCACCATCAAGGACTTGAAAGATGCAGGGGTGGTGATTTCCACCACATCCCCATGTAATTCTCCTATTTGGCCTATGCAGAAGACAGATGGATCTTGGAGAATGACAGTGGATTATTGTAAGCTTAACCAGGTGGTGACTCCAATTGCAGCTGCTACGCCAGATGTGGTTACATTGTTTGAGCAAATTAACACATTTCCTGGTGCCGGATATGTAGCTATTGATCTGGCAAATCCCTTTTTCTTCATCCCTGTCCATAAGATCCACCATAAGCAGTTAGCCTTAGGGGTTTATCAGCTCGCTAGCCCTGTGTCATAAGTTAGTTCACAGAGATTATGATCACCTTTCCCTTCCCTGAGATATAACATTGTTCATGACATTGATGACATTATGCTGACTGGACCTAGTGAGCAAGAAGTAGCAACTACTCTAGACAAATTGGTGAGATATTTGCATGCTGAAGGATGCAAAATAAATCTGATAAAAATTCAGAGGGCTTCTACCTCAGTGAAATTTCTGGAGGTCCAGTGGTGTGGGGCACCTTGAGATATCCCCTCTAAGGTAAATGATAAGTTGTTGCATCTGGCCCCTCTAAAACACACACACACACACACACACACACACACACACACACACACACACAGACAAACAATAGGCACAAAGCCTAGGGAGCCTCTTGGGATTTTGAAAGCAATGTAATTCTCATTTAGATATGTTGCTGTGGCCCTTTTATTGAGTGAACCAGAAAGTTGCTAGTGTTTGCTAGTGGGTCACTAGGGGTAATGGTGAGCGGTGGGACCCAGAACAGAAGAAAGCTGTACAACAGGTCCAGGCTGCTGTACAAGTTGCTCTACTGCTTGGGCCATATGATCCAGCAGATCCAGTGGTGGTTGAAGCATCAGTAGCAGATAGGCAGGCTGTTTGGCACCTTTGGCAGGTCCCTAAAGGTGAATCACAGTGCACAGATAACTATTCTTCTATTGAGAAGCAGCTCTTGGCTTGCTACTGGGCCTTAGTGGAGACTGAACATTTAACCATTGACCATGGAGTTACTATGGGACATGTCCTGCCCATCATGAACCAGTGCAATCTGATCCACTAAGCCATTAAGTTTGACAGGCACAGCAACAGTCAAATAGAAGTGGTATATATAAGGCTGAACTCAAGCAGGCCCTGAAGGCACAGGTAATTTACATGAAAAAGTAGCCCAAGTACCCATGGCCCCACTCCTGCTATACTGCCCTCACTCTCCTAACCTGCATCTATGGCCTCATGGGAGTTCTTTTGGATCCATTTGCAGAGGAAGAGAGGACTCAGGCTTGGTTTACAGATGGGGCTTCACAACATACGGGCACCAACTGGAAGTGGAAAACTGTAGCACTACAGCCTGTCTCTGGGACGTTCCTGAACAGTGGTGAAGGAAAATTCTCCCAGTGGGCAGAACTTTGAGCAGTGCGCCTGATTGCTCACTTTGCTTGGAAAGAGAAAGAACCAAAAGTACAATTATGTGCTAATTCATGGGCTGTGGCCAGTGGTTTGGCTGGATGGTCAAGAATTTGGAAAGAACGTGATTAGAAAACTTGGCAACAAAGAAATTTCAAAAAGAGCTATATGGATAGATGTCTCTGAATTTGGCAAAAATATGGAGACATTTGCGTGCCATGACTTCAGCCGAGGATTTTAATAAAGTGGATAGGACAACCCATTCTGTGGATACCAGTCAGCCTCTTTCTCCAGCCACTCTAGTCATCACTCAATGAGCTCATGAAAAAAGTGGCCATGGTGGCAGGGGTGGAGATGATGCATGGACTCAGCGACATGGACTTTCATTTACCAAGGCCAGTCTGGCTATGGCCACCACTGAGTGCCCAATCTGCCAGCAAAAGTGATCACACTGAGTCCCTCACATGGCACCATTCCTTGGGGTGATCAGCCACATACTTGGTGGTGGATTGATTACGTTGGACCATTTCATCATGTAAGGGGCAGCAATTTGCCCTTATTGGATTCAATATTTATTCTGGATAAAGATTTGCCTTCCTTGTATGCACTGCTTTGGCCAAAACTACCATCCGTGGACTTACAAAATGCCGTATCTGCTGTCATGGTATTCCACCCAGCATTGCTTCTGATAAATGACTGAGTTCACAGCAAAAGAAGTGTAGTGATGGGCCCAAGCTCATGGAATCTACCAGTCTCACCATGTTCTCTGCCATCCTGAAACAGCTGGTTTGATAGCATGTTGGCATGGCCTTTTGAAGACTCAGTATGGTGCCAGCAAGGTGGCAATGCCTTGCAGGGCTGGAGCAATATTGTCCAGGAGGCTGTGTATGCTCTGAATCGGCAACAATGTATCATCCTGTTTCTCTCATATCCAAGATTCACAGGTCTAGAAATCAAGGGACAGAAATGGGAGTAGCACCACTCGCCATTACCCCTAGTAACCCACTAGCAAAATTTTTGCCTTCTCTCCTCATGACTTTATTCTCTGCTGATCTAGAGAACTTATTTCCAAAGGAAGAAATCCTTCCACCAGGAAACACAAAAATGATTCCACTGAACTGGAAGTTGACTGCCAGCCAGCCACTTTGGACTCCTTATACCTCTCAATTAGCAGGCAAAGAAGAAAGTTACTGCGCTCACAGGAGGGACTGATCCTGACTACTCCACAGTGGAGGTTAGGAAGAACATGTCTGGAGTTCAGGAGATCCCCTAGGGCATCTCTGAGTATCGCAATGCCTTGTGATTAAAATCAGTAGGAATTGACAATAGCCCAATTCAGAATCCGAATGGACCAGACTTTTCAGGAGTGAAGGTTTGAGTCACCCCACCAGCTAAAGCACCATGGCCAGCTGAGGTGCTTGCTGAAGGTAAAGAGAATATGAAATGCCAGTCTGAGCAACACAGTGAGATCCTGGCTCTACAAAAACTACAAAAATTAGCCAGGCATGGTGGTGTGTGCCTGTAATCCCAGCTACTCAGGAGGCTGAAGTGGGGGGAACATTTGAACCCAGGAGGTAGAGGTTGCAGTGAGCCGCGATCATGCTACTCCACTCTAGCCTGGGTGACAGAGGAAAACCCTGTCTCAAAAAAAAAAAAAAAAGAGAGAGAGAGAGAAAGAGAATATGAAATGAATAGTGGAAGAATGTGGTATGAATACCATCTATGTATAAGTAATCTTTTACAAAAATGAGGACTGTAATTTTTATGAGTAGGTTCTCTGTATTTTGTTATAAATGTGTGTGTGTGTGTGTTTGTGTGTGTGTGTGTATACAGTCATGTGTTGTTTAATGAGGGAGTATGTTCTGAGAAATGCATTGTTGGGCAATTTTGTCATTGTGTGAACATCATAGAGTGAACTTAGACACATGTAGATGGTACAGCCTGTTATACACCTAGGCTACGTGGTATAGTCTATTGCTCCCATGCTACAAACCTGTACAGCATGTTACTGTACTAAATACTGTAGGCAACTGTAACACAATGGGAAGTATATGGTAATCTTATGGGACCATCATTATATGTGTGGCTCATCACTGACTGAAACAGAATTATGTGGCACATGAGTATATACATATACATACATATATAACAAATACCTTTGTTTTCTCCCCTCTCTTTTCCCCTTATCCGGTAACATAAGTTGTATTGGCTTTTTATCATAGTATATAAGTTATAAGATATCGAGAAGAGTAAACATCATCAAGAACATCAAAAAAGGACTTTTAATCCTTTTTGAGGAAAGCAGTTAGTGCACTCAGGGTAGGTTGAAGTATGACCGTTTTTGTGTTTATTAGGAGGTTACGTGCGGTTTAAAGAGATGCATGTGAGTGCCAAGTTGACAAGTTTAGACTTGTAGTGGATAATTTTCTGTGTCAACTTGGAGGGTGTTTTTGGATGAGGTTAATACTTAAATAAGTGAACTTTAAATAACCAAATTGTCCTCCACAATGTGTGTCAGTCTTATCCAATCAGTTGGAGGCTTGAATAGAAAAATAAAAAGATACCTCCCCCTCCCCCCAGCAAGGGGAAATTCTCTATCAGATTGCCTTCAGACTGGAAGCTCATCATTGGCTCCTCTGAGTTTCCACCGTATTGGCCCAGACTGCATATGTTGTAACCCCCTGCCTTCATAATCATGTAAGGCAATTCTTTCTAATAAGTCTCGATGCACATCCCCATTTTTCTGTTTCACTGGAGAATCCTGACTAATAGGCCAGATGACTCGAACGTCAGGAGAAATTTAATAGTCAATAGTTGAAAACAATTATGGTCAGTCCATTCTTCTTACCAGAGATGGCTGTAGGAATGCAAATATATTTCTGCCCATTCCTACAGCAATCACGGATAAGAGAAATAGAATAACGATAATTGCAAAATTTAAAACTATAAAACTTCTGAAAGATAACAGGAGAAAATCGAGGTGGCCTTGCGTTTCTTGTTGACTTTTTAGATACAACACCAAAAGCATGATATGTGAAATTTAAAAAAATGAATAAGTTGGATTTGATTAAAATGAAAAAGTTTAGCTCTGTGAAAGACACTGTAAAGAGAATGAGAAGACATCCATGGCCTGGGAGAAAATCTCTGCAAAACACATATCAGATGAAGGATGGGTATCCAAAATATTCATAGAACTCTTAAAACTCAGCAATAAAAGAACAAACAACCCAACTTTTAAATGGGCCTAACATCTGAACAGAATTCAATACTGATAGTAGCGGTGCTGGGACTCTCTAAAAAGCATTCCTTCATTATTAAAAGGTGGCATGAAGAAGGACCATTCTCTTTCTAGGTCTTGGATGTTGCTATGTGAAGATAGGATGCTTCACCTTGCTTCAGCCTTCTTGCAGCCGTGGAAGGGACAAGTGAGGTGGTAAAAGTCAAATAGCAGAACAAGAAGTGGAGGAAACCTGAGTCCTTGGGGCAGTTGTGATTCTCAGCCAATTGTCAAACTTCTTTGCACCTGGACTTCTCATTTTATGGCATAGTAAATCTGTTTATTGTTTAAGCTAAATGGCTCAAAGCATTCTGACTCAGTTTTTTTTTTTTAATTGCTTGTGCTGCTTGGATTTTAACAGTTAAGTTAGAAAAGCATTATAATTGTCACACAGCAGCAGGTTCAGAGATGGTGCCCTGGGTTTACTTTCAACCCCCAAATCCTCTTTGGTGAAACGATTCTGGGCACAATTCTCTCACCATTCTCCTGATTTATTTACAAATGAGGACACTGGATGATATTGTTAACCTTTGGTGATGCTAACTAAAGTTCTTTACTTGGCCTTGATTTACTTGCTAACTAAAGTACTTTACTTGGCCCGGTTGATGATAGTGAGCTGAAATAGTCTACCTTTTCCAGGTAAACAAGCCCACATGAATTCCTGTTCTCAGCTTTATGTGAATCGTGAAAAATGTGAGGATGACATAAATACCTGAAAGTCATTTTCGCTTAGTGTAAATCTGAAAGGGAAGTCAGGGCACTATAATGAAATATGCTTTTTTTTTTTCTAAAAGGTCAAACAAAAAGATCTCATCCTTAAAAAGAAGGAACTTATATTAATATATTATAGTGTAAGACACATGCACAGTAAATATTAGAGCACTGCCTGCTAACATTTAAAAATGTATGAGTTGTCAAGATCATGGTGAGTAAAGTAAGAACAAAAATCCCTCTCTTCTGTTGATTTTCCTGTGTCTTTTTTCAATTTATTCAGTACTGTTAATAATTGAGTAAAGGAGCTCTTACTGCTGAGCTGTATGAGGACAGGGAGAGGAAGGAGAGATGAGATGAAATTATGTGTGGTCATGAGATTGCTCGTAGATGCATTTATATGTAGTACCCTTGAAAACAACCCATAGCAAATGTCCAGGACCCAAAGGGACAGAGGCTCAGTCTGATGAGACACAAATGGAGCACCTTTGAGGAGTCCTTCTTCTAACTTGGTGTACTTTAATCTTTTATTTTCTTGGGGGTGTGTGTAACAGGATGCTCTAATTCCATTATTGGAGACAGAATTTTATGCTTGTTTATGCCCCTGGATACATTAAACAGGAGAGAAATATATGGACATCTAGGAGTGAGAGAGTGTAAAGCTGGCCCTTGTGGGCAGAAACAGATGACAAATTCATGGACAGTATGTTTGTTTTTAAAATGAATGATTTTTAAAGTTCTGCAATGCTTAAATTAAGATATAGACTATAGTATACAAACACATGTGGAAGAACATATGAATGCCAAGGGGGACTTCTAAAACTAGGGGTCTTCGTAGGAATAGATGACACGTGGGTAGCATGGAGCCACAGAGCTCGAAGAGACATGTATTCTCATCTTTGCTTTCTTTACAAATTAATTAATTAATTAATTTTATCTAATAGACTTTATTATTTAGAGCAGTTTTAGGTTTACAGAAAAATTGAGCAGAAAGTACAGAGTTTCCATGCACCTCATCCTCTCTTCAATGTTCTCTATTACTAACATTATGCATTAGTGTGGCATATTTGCTACAATTAATAAACATGGATACAATACCGTTAACTAAAGTCCACAGTTAACATTAAGTGTTGCATATTCTATGGGTTTCAGCAAATTCATAATGTCACATAGCCACCATTATAATAATGGCTTCATGGATCTAAATATCCCCCATGCTCCACCCATTTATTCCTCTTCACCTTCCCCTAACCTCTAGCAACTACTAATTTTAAAAATGTTTTTTTTTGCCAGGCATGGTGGCGCGTGCCTATAGTCACGGCTACTCGGGAGGCTGAGGTGGGGAAATCGCTTGAGTTTGAGGCTGCAGTGAGCCATGATCGTGCCACTGCACTACAGCCTGGGCAACAGAGTGAGACCTTTTCTCAGAAAAAAAAAAGGGTTATTTTTATATGATAAAAAACACATAACATAAAATTTGCTGTCTTAACTGTTTTTAAGTGTGCAGTTCCATAGTGAAGTATGTTCACACTGTTGTGAAATAGCTCTCCGGGACTTTTTCCTCTTGCAGAACTGAAACTCTATATCCATTAAACAACTCCCTATTTTCTTTCCCCCCAACTCCTGAAAAATCACCATTCTACTTTCTGTCTCCATGGATTTGGTTACTTTAGGTACCTCATATGAATGGGATCATACAGTATTTGTCTTTTTGTGACACAAATATTTCACTTAGTATAATGTCTTTGCGTGTGGGGGGAAACTCTACCTTTTAGGGTCCTAGTGAGTCTAAGAATTAAATTGACAGGAGACAGATTAACAGAAGAAAAGCATGCAAATATATCTAATACAAGTTTTAAGTGGTACAGGAGCATTCATAAAGAAATGAAGACTCAAAGAAGCAGTTAGAGTCAGTTACTTATAACCTAAGTAAGACAAAGAATAGTAAGCTGCAAAGATGTGATAAAGCAAAGGGGATTGTGGTAGGAAATTTAACTGGGTGGAGAAACTGCTAGGAAGATAAAGTTTAGTTTAACAAGGCTTGTTTGTACAAAATTCTTTCTGCCTCAATTTTCTCATCCTTGATGATAAGAATGTTGCTTTTTCTTTAGCGTAGGGAGGACAAATTTCAGTGGGAATTTCTTCTTCTGCTTTTAAGAAACAGCAAAAAAGTCAGAGTGATTGTTTTGCACCTGCCATTTTGAAAGTGCCTTTAATGTAAGTAGTAAATATGCCAGAGTGGTATGTTTGTCACTCCTTCATCCTCAAGGTTCATCCATGTTGTAGCATGTGACAAGATTTTCTTCTTTTTACAGGCTGAATAGTGTTACCTTGTACATATATGCCACGTTTTAAAATCCATTCATCCAACAATGGACACTAGGTTGCTTCCACCTGTTGGCTATTGTGAATAATGCTGCTATTAACATTGGCGTGCAACTATCTCTTCGAGACCCTGCTTTCATTTCTTTTTGAATATTTATGCAGAAGTGAGATTGCTGGATTCTATTTTTCACTTTTTGAAAAACCCTCATACTCTTTCCTACAGTGGTTGCACCATTTTATAATCCCAACAGCAGCACACAGCTTCCATCTTCTCCACGTCCCCACCAACACTTGTCATTTTCTTTCTTTCTTTCTTTTTTTGGTATTAGCCATCCTAATGAGTGTGAGATGATAGCTGGTGCTTTCTATTGCAATTCTGTGATGATTAGTGATGTTGAATATCTTCTCATGTGCTTGTTGGCCATTTTTGTATCATCTTTGGAAAACTGTTGATTCAAGTCTTGCCTGTTGTTTAACAAGTTTATTTGATTTTTTTGTTGTTGTTGAGTTGCAGCAGTTCTTTTCATATTCTGGGTATTAACCCCTTATCAAATATATGATTTATAAGTACTTTTTCCCATTCTAGGTTTCCTTTTCACTCTGTTGATTGTGTCTTTTGATTCATGAAATTTTTTGTTCAATGTAGTCTCATTTGTCTATTGTTACAATTGTGGCTTGTGTTTTTGGTGTCATATCTAAGAAATTATTTCCAAATCCAATGTGATGAAGCTTTTGCCTTATGCTTTTTTCTAGGTGACTTATAGTTTTGGGCCTTATAGTTGCTATGATTCGAGTATTTGTCCCCCAGAATTCATGTGTTGGAAGCTTGATTCCCAATGCAGCGTTCTTGGGAGGTAGGACCTACTGAGACGTGTTTGGCTTATGGGGTTGGGTCACTTATGAGTGGATTACTATTGTTACCCTGAAAGTCAGTTGTTATAAAGCAAGTCTGTCCCACATGCTTCTGGTCTTTCACATGCTCTCACTCACCCTTCTGCTTTTCTGCCATGTTATGGTGCAGCATGAAAGCCCTCACCAAAAGCCAGAACAAGGCCCTTAGGCCTTCAAGCTTCCTGAATCATGAGCCAAACTTCTTTTCTTTATAAATAACCTAATCTGTGCTATTCTTTCATAGCAACCTACACTAAGCACATATTTAGGCCTTTAATTCATTGTGAGTTGGATTTTGTATGTGGAGTAAGATAAGTTCCACTTTTATTCTTTAGCATGTAGATTTCCAGTTTGTACAGCATCTTTTGTTGAAAAGACTGTCCTTTCCCCATTTAGTGGTCTTGGCACTCTTGTTGAAGATTAGTTGACCATGTACGCATAGATTTATTTCTATGCTCTTTATTCCATTAATTTTTATGTCTGTCTTTTTGTCAATGCCACATGGTTTTGGTCATGGTAGACTTGTACTATGTTTTCAAATAAAAAATTGTGAGTTTTCCAACGTTGTTCTGCTTTTTCAAAATTGTTTTGGCTATTTAGGGTCACTTTAGGTTCTACATGAGTTTTAATATGATTTTTTTCTATTTCTGCAGCAAAAATACTAATGGGATTTTAATAGGAATCACATTGAATCTGTAGACTGCCTTGGGTCATGTTGACATTTAACAATATTAAGTCTTTCAATTCATGTGTATGGGATGGGTTTTCCATTCATTCTTTTCTTTCATTATTTTCAGCAATGTTTTGTAATTTTTAGTGTACAAGCTTTTCATCTCCTCGGTTAAGTTTATTCCCAAGTATTTTAATCTTTTTGTTACTACTGTAAATGGGATTTTTTCTTAATTTTCTTCTCAGATTGTTCATTGTTAGTGTGTAGAAGCACAACTGATTCTTGCATGTTAACTTTGTTTTCTGCTACTGTGCTGAATTTGTTTCTTGGTTCTAACAGTTTTTTGTGTGGATTCTTTAGTGTTTTCAACATATAAGATTATGTCATCCTCTTGATTTTACTTTTTTTTTATTTGGATGGCTTTTATTTCTTATTCTTGACTAATTGGCCTGAATAGGACTTTCAGGACTCTATTGAGTAAAAGTAATGAGAGCAGGCATCCTTGTCTTATTCCTGATTTTAGAGGAAAGGCTTTTAATCTTGCACCATTGAGTGTAATGTTAGCTGTGGGCTTTTCATACATGGACTTTATTATGTTGAGGTAGTTTCCTTCTGTTTTTAGTTTCTTGAGTATTTTTATCATGAAAGGATATTGAATTTTGTTAAGCGCCTTTGTTGTATCAATTGAGATAATCATGTGGTTTTGTCTTTCATTCTGTTAATGTAGTGTAATACATGGATGGATTTTCACATGTTAAAACATCCTTGCATTGTGGGAAGAAACTCTACTTGCTCAAGGTGTATAATCCTTTTAATATGCTATTCGATGTGATATGCTAGTATTTCATTGAGGATTTTTGTTTCAGTATGTACTAGGAATATTAGTTTATTGTTTTCTTGTCAGATAGTACTAGTCCTGTGACTTTGAAGTTCTTTCAAATTAATGCTTTGACTACTATAGATTTTTTGTCTTTCCATGTAAACTTTAGAATCAGCTTGTTGATATCCACAAAGTAACTTGCTGTGATTTTGATTGAGAATGCATTTAGTCTGCAGATCATATTGGGAAGAGCTAATATCTTGACACTATTGAGTCTTCCTATCAGTGAACATTGGATACATCTCCATTTATTTAGATCTTTGACTTCTTTCATCACAGTTTTAAAGTTTTCCTCATGTAGCTCTTATCCATATTTTGTTAGATTTACACCCATTTCATTTTTTGGTGCTAATGTAAGTGGTATTGTGTTTTTAATTTTAAATTCTAATTGTTCATTGTTGGTTTGTAAGAAAGCAATTGGTTTTTGTATACTAACCTTGTAATCTGCAACCTTGCTACAATCACCTTTTAGTTCCAAAAGTTTTTATTTTGTTTTTGTTAGCTCTTGGGAAATTTCCACATAGCTAATTATGTCATCTGCAAACAAAGGCAGTTTATTTATTTCTTCCCAATCTTTATGACTTTTTAAATGTTTTTATTTCATTAGCTAGGGCTTACAAATGATATTGTGTAGAAGTGATGAGAGTGAGCATCCTCACCTCATTACTCATCTTAGGAGAAAAGTTTCTAGTTTCTCATCATTAAAATATAATATTAGATCTAAGTTTTTGTAGAGGTACTTATCAAGTTGAAGAAGTTCACTTCTATTTCTAGTTTTTCTGAGTTTTATTTATTTTTTATAAATAGATTTTAAATTTTGTCAAATGCTTTTTCTTAATCTATTGATATTATGATTTTTCTTTTTTAGTTAGTTGATATGATGAATTATATTAATTGATTTCGAATGCTGAACCAGTCTTGCATACCTGGAATAAATCTCACTTGGTCGTGGTATACAATTCTTTTTATATATTCTTGGATTCAACTTGCTAATGTTTCACTGAGGACTTTTGTGTCTATATTCATCAGATATTGGTCTGTAGTTTTCATTCTTTGTAATGTCTTTGTGAGGTTCTAGTACGATGGTAATGCTAGACTCTCAGAATGAGTTAGAAAATATTCTCTCTCCTATTTTCTGAAACAGATGTAGAGAATTGGTATCATTTCGTTCTTAAATGTTTCACACACCTAATCAGTGAGGCACCATCGGGGCATAAAGTTTTGTTTTTGGAAGGTTATTAATTATTAATTTAATTTCACATATATATATAGCTAGATAGATATTTGACTATCTTTTTCTCCTTGCATGAGTTTTGGTATATTGTGTCTTTCAAGGAATTGGTCCATTTCATGTCAGTTATCAAATTTATAAGCATGGAGCCATTCAAAATATTTACTTTTTTCATTGTCTACGGGATCAATAGAGATCCCTATTTTATTGTTGATATTAATAATTCATATCTTTGCTCTTTTTTCATGGTTGGCATGGTTAGAAATTTATTAGTTTTATTGATCTTTTTGAAGGATTGGCTTTTGGTTTCATTGACTTATTTTCCAATTGTTTTCAATGCCAATTATTTCTGCTTTAATTTTAATCTTTTTCTCTTGCATTTTTTGATTTAATTTTATATGTTTTTCTATTTCCATATATATATTAAATCTCCCTAATATATGCATTTAATGCTGTTTCTCTCTAAAATAACTGCTTTTTGTGCATCTCACATATTTTGATAAGTAATATTTTTATTTAATTTAGTTTAGAATATTTTTAAAATTTCTCTAGAGAATTCTTTGACCCATGTGTTAGTTAGAAGTGGTTTGTTTAACTTCCAAATATTTTGGGATTTTTTTTTTTTTTACCTATTTCATTGATTTCTAGTTTAATCCCATTGTATTCTTACAGCACACTTTTTATGATTTCTATTCTTTTAAATGTGTTGTGTGTTATAAGATGCCCTCTATCTTGGTGAATGTTCCATGTGAGCTTGAGAAGAATAAGCATTCTGATGTTGATGAAGTATTCTACAAATGTCAAATAAACACCACAGATTGATAGTGTTGTTCAGTTCAACTATATTGGGGGAAACTGCCCCCATTATTTCAACGTAGGTTATTTCTATTTTCCATAAGTGTCGGCCAACTGAGAAATAAAGAGAGACAGTACAAAGAGAGGAATTTTACAGCTGGGCCACCAGGGGTGACATCACATGTTGGTAAGACCATGATGCCTGCCTGAGTCTCAGACCAGCAAGTTTTCATTAAGGGTTTCAAAAGGGGAGGGGGTGTAAGAACAGGGAGTAGGTACAAAGATCACATGCTTCAACGGGCAAAAAGCAGAACCACTAATAAGGGTCTAACAAAGATCACATGCTCCTGAGGGAACAGAACAAAGGGCAAAAGCAGAACCACTGATAAGGGTCTATGTTCAGTGGCACGTATTGTCTTGATAAACATCTTAAACAACAGAAAACAGGGTTTGAGAGCAGAGAACTGGTCTGATCACAAATTTACCAGGTTGGGGTTTCCCAACCCCAGTAAGCCTGAGGCTTCTGCAGGAGACCAGGGCTTATTTCAGTCCTTATCTCAACTGCACAAGACAGACATTCCCAGAGTGGCCGTTTATAGACCTCCCCCCAGGAATGCATTCCTTTCCCAGGGTATTAATATTAATATTCCTTGCTAGGAAAAGAATTAAGCAATATCTTTCCTACTTGCATGTCGCAAGAAGAAAAATATGGCTCTTTTTGCCCAACCCCACAGGAAATCAGACCTTATGGTTGTCTTCCCTTGTTCCATAAAAATTGCTATTATTCTGTCCTTTTTCAAGGTGCACTGATTTCATATTGTTCAAACATACATGTTTTACAATCAATTTGCACAGTTAACACAATTATTACAGTGGTCCTGAGGTGACATACATCCTCAGCTTACGAAGATAACAGAATTAAGAGATTAAAGTAAAGACAGGCATAATAAATTATAAAAGTATTATTTGGGAACTGATAACTGTCCATATTAATATGAAATCTTCACAATTTATGTTCCTCTGCTGCAGCTCCAGCCGGTCCCTCTGTTCGGGGTCCCTGCCTTCCCATAACACAACTACATGGTTACTGATTGTTTGCCTGCTGGATTTGTCAATTAATGATAGAGGTATCCTAAATTTTTAACTACAATAGTAGTGTGTCTATTTTTCCTATAGTTCTATCATTTTTGGTCTCACTTATGTAACACTCTTATTGGGTACATATACAGTAAGAATTGTAATGTCTTTAGAGAATTGACTACTTTGTCAATATATAATTCTCTTTTTTATCTCTGATAATTTTTCTTGCTTTGATGGCTGCTTTGTCTGAAATTAATATAAATATCCTAGCTTTGTTTTGATTAGCATTCACATAGTACATCTTCTTTATCTTTTTTCACTTTATCTGTATCTTTATATTTAAAGTGGATTTTTTTGTAGAAACATATAGTTTTTTTAATCTACTCTAACAGACTGTATTTTAATTGGTATATTTAGATTATTCACATTTAAAGTGATCATAGATATAGTTGGATTAATATCTACCATATTATAACTGTTTTTTCTTTGGTGCACTTATATTTTATTTCTTTCCTTTTGGTCTTCCACTGTTTTTCTGCCTTCTCTGGCTTTAAATGAGCATTTATATGGCTCTATTTTATCTTTTCTCTTAGCATATCAAATATACTTCTTTAAAGAAATTAGTGTTTGTTTTAGTGTTGGCATATACAACTAATATATACAATATACAACTAATTTACATCCACTTTCAAGTAACACTATACCACTTCATGGTCACTGTAAGTACCTTATAACAGAGTATTCTTAATTTTTCCTTCCTATTTCTTATGACATTTCTATCACTCATTTAAATTATCTATAGGCTATTACCACCAGTCTTAGATCAGCTAAGGCTAAGAAAAATAGGTTTTATTTTAACTTTTTATTTCTCAGTGATCTTTTATGTAGATCTGAGTTTCTAACCTGTATCATTTTCTTTCTCTCTGAACATTTTAACATTTTTTTGCATAATAGGTCTACTGGCAACAAATTCTTTCAATTTTTGTTTCCCTAAGAAAGTCTTTATTTCCCCTTCACATTGACAAAAATTTTGGGAACTATTGAAAAGTTTGCTGGATATAGAATTCTAGATTAGTGGGTTTTTATCTTCCAATGCTTTAAATATTTTACTCCACTCTCTTATTACTTGCATTGTTTCTGAAAATAAGACTGATGTAATTCTTAATTCTGGTCCTTTATAGGTGAAGTGTTTTGATTTCCCCTTTCTGCTTTCTGGCTTCTTTCTAGCTTTTTATTTGTCTTCAATTTTCTGCAGCTTCAATATGAGATGTCCTGATGTAAATGTTTGTGTGTGTTTATTTTGCTTGGGGTTCTCTGAACTTCCTGTGTATCTGTGGTACAATGTCTGTTTTTAATTTTGGAAAATGCTCAGACATTGTTACTTCAAATACTTCTGTTTTTTTCTGTCTTTATTATCTTTCTGATACTATTATTATGCATATATTATTCCTTTTGTAATTGTCCCAACCTTCTTAATTTTTTTCTGTTTATTTCATTTTTTCTCTTTATTTTTCTATTTGAGAAATTTATATTGACATATCTTTAAGATCACTGGCACTTTCTTTGGCAGTATCTACTCACTGATGAGCCTAATAAAAAGAATTTTCAGTTTCTATTATAGTGTTTCGATTTCCTTTTGATTCTTTCTTAGAGTTCTCATCTTTCTGCTTATATTACCTATCCATTCTTGCATGTTCTCCACTTTTTCCATTATATCCCTTAGCATATCAATCATTGGAACTTTAATTTCCCAGTCTGATAACTCCAAAATCTCTGCTCTATTGGAGTCTGCTGTGATGCTTTCTCTATCTCTTCAGACTGTGTTTTTTCCCTGTGAGCATGATTTATAATTTTTGTTGAATGTCAGACATGTTATATTCAGTAAAGGAACTCAAGTAAATAGATCTTGAGTGTGAGGTTTCATGTTTATCTGACTAGGTGTAAGGCTGTGTTTACTGGGTTTCCCCAGACACTCCTTCTTAAATAGGGTTTTAGAGAGGCTTTCAGTTCTTTTAGCTATAGTCTTGTTATTATAAATGAGCCCTTTATAGGTAGTGTAAAGTGTTTGGTGAAGAGGAGATGTTCTGTAGTCTTCTGACAAGGTCTCAGGTTTTTCACGAGACTGTGCCCCTGAGCTGTTACCTTCATGAATGCTGTTCAGCTCCCTCCCCACTTTACTTCCCTTTTATTAGAGCTTTGTGAATCCCAAATCACTTAGGCTTTGGTAAAATAGTTTTCCTTGAGGGCAAACATCATAAGGAGGTCAAAATTTTGAGCATATTTCGAAATGGTTACTTTTCCTCTCCCCCTGACAGAAGCAAGAGGGGAGATTTTGTTTGTTTGTTTGTTTGTTTTACCAATCTTTATTCTGAGAACCTGATGAGTTTCCTGAAACTAAAACTGATAAATATGTAGGGTCTCACCATTGATCTCTAAAGCTCACAATCCAATGGGTGGGATAGAGATGGAAAGAAATAATTGCAATATAGTGAGCTAAACAAACACTTCGTAAAAGGAGGGTATGATTTGAATCTGTCTTAGGAATAGTGAGTCTTATATCTGAGTAAAAACAGGGTGGGTGAGATGGAAATTTGGGAGAGGGATGAAGGCCTCTCCCTCCATCCAGGCCATGGTATGGTATAAGCCCATGCAAAATAGTAAAATACTTCATAGTAAAATATTGCTTGCATGTTAAACATGTTTTTCCAACTGTGACATCATTAGAAGGCTGATATTTAAAACAAGAAAAAGCATATTCTTATTCTCTGTCAGACCCTTATTTGCCTCTAGCCCAATGTTACCATGACAGTTAACTTCCCATGTAGCACTCAAGTGGCAGGTCAAGTGCTATGTCCTATATGAGGTGCTTTCCTGATGCTGCACCCCATTTAATTAAAACAACCATTTTTAAGACATTGTAATTGCTGGTTTACACATGGACAAGGGTCCATGTTTTGCTCAATGGACCCTTACCTCCTCTCTGGCAAGGAGCTTGCTTTTTCATCTCAGCATCTCTGATACCTAACCAAGACCTTACCATGATACTTACTCAAAAATGAACACATAGCGTGGTGCTTACTGCCACGTGTGATGCAGGACTTCAGTCTCACAGCGTAAGTCCAGTCTATCTTGTTTAGTGGCTGTGTGACTTTAGGCAAGTTAATTAACCTTTCTGACTTTCAGTTTTCTAAATAGAAACAAAAAATAAAATACAGAAATTTAATACACATGAAGCACTTAGTGCAGTGTTTATTTGCACAATGAACTTTCCATAAGGGATAGCTATTTCTAATTATTATTTGGTGAATAAGCAAAGGGTGATCTCCTGGCAGAATACTTTAGATGGAGGCCGTCACAGATTTCCAGGGACATATACAATGTGTTATGCTTTCTAGCACACTGTAAGAATATCTGCTTTGGCTACATGCAGTGGCTCACACCTGTAATCCCAGCACTTTGGGAGGCTGAGGTGGGTGGATCACCTGAGATCAAGAGTTCAAGACCAGCCTGGCCAACATGGTGAAACCCCGTCTCTACTAAAAATACAAAAATTAGTCAGGCATTGTGGCGGGCACCTCTAGTCCCAGCTATTTGGGAGGCTGAGGCAGGAGAATGGCTTGAACCCAGGAGGCAGAGGTTGCAGTGAGCCTAGATCATGCCACTGCACTCCAGCCTAGGTGACAGAGCTAGACTCCATCTCAAACAAAACAAAACAAAACAAAAAACAAAACAAAAAACAAGAGCACCTGTTTCACACAGATTCCTGTTTCCCTAAGGTAGGTTGATTCAGGTAGGTTAACCTCGCTGGGTCTCAAGTCCCTCATCTTTTAAATGGGGGTCATTTAATTGGTTGCCATGAGGACTAAATGAATAAATATCAATATTAAGTGCTTCGAACAGTCACTCTCTAAGTCATAGCTACTATTATTAGTAGTATTATTAGCAGTAATAGTAGCAGTACAAACTATACCCTGCAGTTGTTTTCAGGCTTACTTAAATGGGTAAATGTATGTGAAATATTTGGCCCCATGCAGGCATAGAGAGATCTCATTAGATGTTAACTGTTAGCCTCTCTTTGGTGGTGCACCCATTCTATTTCTTAAAAGCAGCACCTTGGGAGGAGGCTCTCTGCCTCCCATCTTCTCTGCTAGGGGATACATCAGCCCCAAGAACATCCTCTCCCTCACTCTCCCACTCCTCTCTAAGTGATTTCATTCTGTACATGAGACACTGTGATTTTTATGTGAGAAGCACAAAGCATCTTTCATAGAATTTTAGCTTCAAAGACAACATCAAAAGGTTGTGTTTGATGTTTCCGAAGGCAGCATTTCACTTCATGACTATTCAACGACAGGTGATTTGACTGATTTTTCTTTGTCAGTGTTCACCCAGATGTTTGGCACAGCTTGACAAGGAGAGTGTCTGAGCGCTGCTCTTCTGTCGTTGTCAAGAGCCATTTGGGAATATACTTGAAATCCAACAACAAAGATACACTCCTCCTCAGCTTTTCTGTTCACTATATGGTCATATCAGTATCCTTGAATGACAAACACACTCCAGCATTCATCCTGATGGTAACTTACATCATGTGAGTCATGAGTTCAAGGAAAGTCTAATCTGCGGCATTCTAATCTGAACTCCAAACAGCCCTGGAGATTATTATCCAGTAATGTTATTTCCTTACTTCCCTTCTCTATATTCTAGGTATTATAGGAGGCTATAAAAGAAGATAAAAATGAGATAACTAAAAAAAATAAAATGAAGAAACAAAAATAAAAAATAACTAGAATGAGGTAATAAAGTTGAAACTTTAAATGTGTTCACAAAGTGGTGGTTAAAAAAAATACAAAACACCAACCCAAATAGACAAGTGGGTGTTTTTTTGTTATTGTTGTTGCCTCTTGTGCTCAAAGTTGTCTGTCTCTATTTGGTACAATGAGGCAAAATCACAGTTAAAGAGTAAATGCAAATATCACAATTTCTGACTTCATTTAGCCTCACTGCATTTACCAAAGCTGTGTATAACATCTTGCCTATTCAAAATATAACATATGGACCATGTGGGTGAGAGTGCTAAAAGAGCCTTCATTTGTGCAGTCTTTGACTGGGGAGGCTTCAAAACAACCTGAATGTTAAGTTGCTATTTTAAAAAAAGAGATAAAATTTTGACTTTTAAAAACCATTGAAAAGAAAGGAAAAGATACCATAGGTGAAGAGTTTCCTAATGTCTGCAGGGAAGGTTAATGGAGACCTCTGGGAGAGCAGGAGTATTCTGAGGTGCCCCTGCCACAAGAGGGCTCCCTGGGGGCGGGGGTGGGTACAGAGTCAGTGAGAAGTCTCCAGAGCAGGAGGGTGCAGGCTTGGAAGCGTTTGAATTCTAACAAAGAATGTGTTTGAACTATTGAGGTGTGTATATATGCTTTCGTGTGTGTGTGTGTGTGTGTGTATGTGTGTGTGTGTTTGCAAGAAAACCCCTCCTGATTAGCATCATTTTGTTTGCAACAAAACCCCTCTTTACTAGCATCTCAAAAAGAAAAGTTCCAGTAGTACAACTGGGAATCTAGCATTTGCTTCTGCATTGCTTCTATAAAGTTGCATTCTTCAAAAAGGAACTCCTTTTCAGTTTAGGTCAAAATAGATTGGAGAACAAACTAACTTTCAGAGATATTTTAGTGAATTTTGGGCCAGTTATATAACAGTTGTATTTGTGTGTCTGTGTGTGTGTGTGTTTGCAAGAAAAATCCTCATGCTTCTTTGTAGTAGAATCTGTATCAAGGAAGACCATGGATAGGAAAGGAAAAATTTTAGAAATCTACCAGAAGTGGAGTACATGGCAAGTTGTATGAATGTTATATTTTAAAAGTTCAATCTCTCACTAGTGAGAATTTGCAAAGTAGGACTTTTAAACACCTTTCAAATGTGTTTAAATAAAAATAGTCTGATTCATTATAGAAAACTGTATTTTTTATTTTAGAAATAGCTAGAACTATTTTAATATGAAATCTTCTTTATTTAAATATGTGCAACTTGTTGCATTTTGTATAGATAATGAATAGAATTTCAATGTAGTTGTTAAATTAATTCCTGAGAGTTTCATTTCATCATATACGTTTTCCTTCCAATCTTTGGGTGACAAATTTCAAGGTCTAAAAGAAAATTAAATATCACATTTTCAGTCGAAGCTATGTTTATTTGATCAATGTAGGTCATTGTTTTAATATACACACGTTCCACGACACCAGCTCTCCCCTCTCCTGCTGAGGGATCTGCAGTCTGCAAAGCACACGACTCATGCAGTTGGGTAGTCCTGGGCTTGAAGCTGTCTTTTTCTTGCACAAATCTCGTGACTTCAAACAATACACTCACTAAGCTATTTTGCCACTTGTTTATGTCTAAAATAAAAATGATAATTCCTACTTTGTAGTGTTCTTTGGGGATTGAATAAATGATGTATATTAAAAGTTTGGTTCATAGTAAGTTGTCCTTCAATAAACAGTGTTATTATGGAGAAAAATGGTAAATTCCATTCCTCCTAGAGCAGGGGTTATTTAGCCAAGGTCCATCTGTATTTCCACGAAGCGCAAGCTGAAATTTAACATTTCCCTCCATTTTGAATATAGGCAGCAAATTGCATCACATTTGGGAACAGTTTGGGGGCCCCAATTATGGCTTTGTGAAGTATTGCTTATATTTGGATTTACAGAGTATATACAATTCCTATCTCTCTTTGAACTATGGATATTCCATGTTCATGGGTAGGCATATTGTAGGCCTCAGGCCAAATCCAGTCCTCTATCTGTTTTTGTAAAGAAAGTACTATTAACACAGCCATCCCTATGTGTTTACTATTGTCTAGAGCTGCTTTGGCTGACAAGGGTAAAGTTGAGTAGTTGCTACAAAGACCCTATGTCCTGTAAGCCTAAAATTTACCATCTGTTCTTTTCAGGTAAAGTTTTCTAACCCCTGAAATGCAAAATGCACCAGTTGCTACCTAGGTCAGATCACTGCTGCTTCATATACAATTCTTTTTCTGGTAGGAGTCGACAGCAAACAGGACATTGAATATCAAGGGCCTATCATGAACCAGCTACTCTGTTAGGTACAGGAAATGCAAAATGAACAACAATGACAAAGCAGTTATTGCCCTAAGGGCTTTCTAGTTGGTAGTGGACATAATAACAAAACAAACAACTGCAATATACAACCGTGATGTAGGTAATCATAGTTGTATCATAAGTACATGTGACAGTGGTTCCTTCTGAAGTCAAACTTTATGACTGACTTAATTAAACTGTGTTGTTACTAAGCAAGTAGTTCGGGAAATGTACCTTCTATGTTTTTGTCCTCAGAGAATTAACATTTGCTTGAGGGAGCTGAAATTATTAACTCATGAAACACCAGCAAGACCCATGGGCCATTATTCACTCATTCATGCATCATATGCAACATGGAGTATAGGTCATGTGAGACCATGGTCTATAAGGGCAGTATAGATGGTAGGCAGAGCACTGAAAAGATCTGGAACAACCTCATGGAAGAGGATTGGGACCAGAGTCAACCCTCATATATCTTGGTTTCTGTATGTCACTATGGAGTTACTACTTTACTGGTCTCAATCAAATTTTTTATTGATGGCCTGATTTTGGAGGAAACAGAAGTAACACTGTATACAGTAATATCGACTTTACAAGTAATTTCTTAAGAATAGGTTTCTTTATGGCTATATGATTTATTTACTTTGTTATAATCATTTTCACAGGGAACATCTCCTGACCTTGACTTTAATCTTAAGAGACACTGAGTAACTTATTACATCCTCATCAAAGAACAAAATTTATTGTTTAAATCTCTGCTCTCCTCATGCAGATCATTTATGATTTTATGGATATTTGTCATCTTACCTTTTTTCTTGTGGAAATAAACGAAGACCACTAACAGAAAATAAACAGAGGTGATTTAGTCAAAGCTATCTGTTCCAGGGAGTTAGTTACTATTACTTATTTTTTGCAGAAATGCAAAGTCAAGTACAAGTATAAAAGCTTTATAAGGTGATAAAAGAGAAGGCTTAAAGTATTGAAGTTTGTTGGCCTGTTGAAGACTGTTGACCTGGGGAAGCTGGAGACAACCTAATCAGAAATGAGGCATCCCTCGTGATTGATTTGGGAGCATATGTGGCTTTCTTTTTTTGGCCCTTTGTTAGAAGTAAGAGCAAAAAGTAGGGGAGCTGCCAGTCATTGACCAAGTCCTGGCCAACATGAGTTGATTGTGGCAGACTTTGTGATTTGGTTTCCCAGACTATTAGCTACAGATTGTAGGTCAGAGTCCTAATGTTATATACAGTCTGGCTGTTGTCCCTTTGTTTATTTGAGTCTCTGACTTTCCAATCTGAGTAGTTTCAAGTGTTTAGCCCATCCCATCTCCATAACCTTTTCAGTTGCTCTTATTCTGATGATCTTCAGTTTTATTTTTTCTTGAACTGCAGGGGGAAGAGCTGGCCATCTATTACAGAAACAGATTTTGTCTACGTTTATACATAGCGCAGATAATCAAAATTTTTGTTTTGTTTGTTTTTTCTATATGAAGGTGATGTTTAACCTGTCCTACTGAAACACCATGTTTTGATGGATGTGTTGGCTTTTTAATTTAATTTAGTTTAAGTTTAGTTTTCCATTATAACATATCGAGTCTGTAGTGGCTCCCTCTGTTAGTCAGTGCTCTCTAGAGGGACAGGACTAATAGGATAGATGTATACATGAAAGGGAGTTTATCAAGGAGCATTGACTCACACGATCACAAGGTGCAGCCCCACAATAGGCCATCTGCAAGCTGAGGAGCAAGGAAGCCAGTCCAATTCCAAACACCTAAAAAGTAGGGAAGCTGACAGTGCAGCCTTTAGTCTGTGGCTGAAGGCCCAACAGCCCTTGGCAAACCACTGGTGTAGGTCCAAGAGTCCAAAAGCTGAAGAACTAGGAGTCTGCTGTTCAAGGGCAGGAAGCATCTAGCATAGGAGAAAGATGGAGGACAGAAAAGTTAGACAGTCTAATCCTTCTACGTTCCTCTGCCTGCTTTTATCTTAGCCATGCTGGCAGCTGATTAGATGGTGCCTACCCAGATTGAGGGTGGGTCTGCCTCTCCTAGTCCATTGACTCAAATGTTAATCTCTTTTGGCAACACCCTCTCAGACACACCCAGGAAAAATACTTTGCATCTTTCAATCGAATCAAGTTGACACTCAATATTAACCCTCATACTCCTCATTTTTATTTTGGATTGAATAGGTAGCTAAAAACCTGTAGTCTAAGTAGAGGTGATTTTTTTCTTTCTACACTTATAACTGGCAGAATAATCCTGGTCCAGGCCTAGTGCTTCCTCAAGGGAGATGTCCCTGCTCCTGACCCTTTTGTCTCCAGTCCATTGTGTGCCTAGGGAAGACATTATTCCTCAGGTTCTGACTGATTGAGGTGGGCATCTCATCCAAGTATGGGGGGTCTACATGCTTTGTAAGTGGTTTATGCCAAGACCTGCTGGACTAATCTGAATCTCTCTCTTGGAAATTTAAGCTGAAAAATATGAAGAGATAGAAGAAGCTGGAACTTGGCTCTGAAACTAATAGGATGCTTCAAGAAAGACCATGAGGTAGAATATGAGTCTAAGGAAGGTGAACTTAGAAGAAAACAAAAATTATGGCTAATCAGAAGCCGTGATGTAGGGTGAATGTTTGGATAGAAATAGAAGAAGTCAGAAGGGAGGAAACAGTATAATTAAACTAAAGAAGCAGAAGCACAGAGGAACTGAGACACATAAGGAGCAGAGGAAAACTCAGATTTTTGATGACTTACAATGTTCTAGGGTCTTACCATCTTATATATGTTATACTATATAAATACATTTATTATCTGACTCCTCTGTAAGAATGCAAGAAAGCTGCAGGCAATACCATGAGCCTGAAAAGAAAAAAAACAGAATTTGGGCCCACCAAGGTAGCCAAGATAGGTTTTCACAGAATCAACATTCAACTTCGGTAATTTTCTTCATCATTTGTTTGTTTCCTTTTGCATTGATTTCTACTCTTCTCAGCTTTCTCTTATAGACAGCAAAGATTTGGCTCTGCCTTTTGTATTCAGTCTGAAAACCTCTGCCTTTTAATTCGAATGTTTACATAAGTTACATAAACAGTAATGATTGAGAATTATGTTAATTAGTATATATTGAATTAAGAAATAAGGTTTATAATTTTATGATTCTATAAAAGTTATTTGCATTGATTTGGAACTTTACTATTAACAGATCTCAGTGGCTGGTACAGGCTAAAAGTTTTTATTCTGTAATTTACAGATCATTGTTAAAAATATAGATATGTTGGAATCCAATAATATGCCTTACTAAGCCCAATATTTAACCTTTTTCATTGACAAAATGTGATTTTAATAACTTTCTTGTCTTTGAGTAATAAGGCAATATATAGACTACCTATGGGATATACATATTAAGTAGCCTTTCCCAAAACTTTCCTTTTGATGAATTAGTTTTTTTCTAAGAATAGATTTTTTTAGATTGAATATTGAGAATGAAAGGTGTAATTATAAGAGGACTAGACAGAAAGCACTAATGATAACCCAAAGCATGTGATTCTACATATTAACACAATAATTTCTGAAGCTAAAAAATTAAATTCTATGTTGAGTAAAGTTGAGTATGAAAGTACAAATCAGACCATGAATATTGGCAAAATATAACACAACCATGTTTTAGAAGAAACTCAAATTATGTGTGTCTTTGTGTGTTTGTCTGCACACAAAGCTGTAAAATCTGCATTATCTCACCTAAAATATTTTTTAAATTTATTTATTTTCATATTATTGTATTTTATTACAATATGTGTAGTGTATACTAACTTAAGGGGATATATGTAAACAAAATTAAAGTCATGGGGAAAATGGCATCTTGCTTCAATCTTCAACTTAAAGTTACTCTTAACAATCAATTTATACCATTATGTCAAATTTTAGTCATCACTGCAGAATTTTAGACAACTGAAAAGAGACAAAGTAACACCAAAGAATTAAGCACATAAAGTGATATTGATTAAAAAGTTGAAAGTAAAATCTACCTTGACTAGAACTGAACATTCAGATCTATCTCTCCAGAGGAAAATCTAACTTGAATCATAACGGTTCATATTTTGACTAGTTCATACCATGTCAATTAGCCACTTATAACTTGAAAATACCTTTCCTCAGATGCATTTGACTATCTAAAATCCTACTGAGCATGCTGTTTGGCATGTCTTATTCCTCTGAAATGAAATGAGATGAAAGTCATCTACTTTCTAAAAACCAGAAAATCAGTTTGCTTGTGATTTAAATTTCAAAAAATAGTTTGAGGAAAACACAAAAAGAATCAACTGTTTAAAGTCTTATCTTTTCTTCATTGCACAACAAGCTACTTCTACCAAAAACAAGGAGTATGTGGATGCTTTCTAAGAACTCAAAAATGGGAAAACCAATATCGGAAGTCTGGGTGCATGAATACATGTGCCCACATATGTACAGACTTAATCTCCATATCTGCCAAAACAGATTTTAACAGGTAATCCCAACATTCTAAATTCAGAAAGCAGAGATAAACAGTTTTGTTTCTAAATCAGTGGTATTACTAGATGAAATGTTTAGTAGAATACTGCACATATAGTTCAGCAGTACTTTGATTATATCCCATTTAAAAAATCAAAATAATAAGCATATTCTTCTAACAGCAATGAATTCTCCCGCTTTTTATTTATTTTGACATACTGATATTTCTGTAAACTTGCAAGTGGAAGATAAGCTGTTCAATAAAAGCCTTCTTATATATAGAGTATACAGAAATTATTTTAAAAGTCTGTTTATGTAACAGATTATTTTGGTACTAACAAAAATTAAGATACAAAGAATTGGCTAGAGAGGAAACCATCACTAAACCAAGACACACAGGGCTTTCCTGCACTTCATTTCAGGAAAAAAATTTCCAAGTAATTCTTACTGTGTTAGAAGAATAAAGTACGTTTGTCATAGTATACATTATTGTATTCCCTTAAAGCGGGGACTATTTAAAATTTTTAAATTAAACAATGTCCAGGCTTACTTCTGTCTGTACATTCATGAATAATCGTATCACTGGTTACACACAATTCTCTCCTCATGCAAAAAAAACCCCTCCAAAAAAACAACAACCAAAAAAACCTCAGTTCGTTGTTTTCTTAAGTCTAAGTAAGCCAAACAAACTAATAATAGCAATTTAATTAGCAAGCTGTAAATCAGGGAGGTATAGAAATTCAGCAGTTAAATTATTTCCTGTCTATAGTACTGCTGCTACTCAATTTATTTTCTTCATGTATTAGAAGAATTAATAGGCATTGATGGTCAAAATAAGAATTTCAATATCGCAGCAAATGACAGAAGAGTGAGAGAAAGAGTTCCTAATGTTGTGACAATCTTAATGATCCTTTAAAAGGTAAAGGACTGTGTGCGTATGTGTGGAAAGGAGTAGAAAATAAAAGAAGAAGGTTAAGACAGATATTTAAAGGGAATGCCGAGATAGCTCCATTAGAATATTTATTTCAAAAAAACTGCTCTGAAGTCTGCCCAGTGTACCAAAAACATAAAAAACAAAAAGCAAAACAAAGCAAAATAAAAAACAGAGCCGACATTAGTGCAAGTTTAATCTGATAATTTATTTGTGGGGAAAAAGCTAGTTTTGATGAGATAAACTTCAGTCCTTTCCTTGTAAATACAAAGAAACTCAACAGGAATTTTAAAGGTAGTAGGCCAGAAAATGCAACAGTAACTCTTATAATCCTTTTCAATTAAACAGACAAATCAAGTTGTAGACAACTGTTAAAATATTATTCAGCCTTAATATTTATCAGTCTATATATCCTGTTGTTCAATTGGCTTTTGATTAAAAAAAACCCAACACAGTTTATAAGAGATACCACCACATTTAGAGTGATGAAAATAAATTACTTCCTCTCCCCCTTAAAGATACTGTTTAACTTCTAAAGCATAAAAAGCTATATACTATCTTATACATATTAACAAGTGTTTTACATAAGTAACGCAGTTTTGGAATGATGATATTACACTGTATTTGTGGTAAAGTACTAGACACAAGAATATATATATCAATTAGGCATTTTCAGTCTAATCAGTCTCTAAGGTTATCATTTAATTCTTGGAAATTTATAATAACTGGTATGCATTTTGGTACTTAAGTCATGAATTGTGGAAAACCAGAAGCAATGTATTATAGTAACAGGGTTTATATCCAACAGTTGCAGTGTTGAACAAATCTATGAACTTCGTGATTTGTTTAGCCATTGGTCACTTGCAGTAGATCCTTAATTTGATTCTTTAGTATTCGTGCTTTCTCCATCTGTAGTCTATAACATTTCTTCACCTTTGTCATCATCATGTAGGTCTTTTGAAACTAATTGTCTAGCTAGTTCGATATTGAGTCCTTCACTGTAGTGAAGCTTCCTTTTCATTTCAAATTGTCTGTTTTTTTCTCATTCTTCAGCTAAGAGGTCCTCCTCTCCACTGCTTTCTTGTTCCTGAACCCAATATTTTGGCTCTAAGCCTTCAGCAGCAGCTAATTTCTTAGCTAAGATATCTGATACCATGGTTTCAGTGGTTTCTGTATCACTACATGCATTTTCATCATCACCCGTTATACCATGGTAAGGAGGGCTTGGCTCATCTATTTTCATTAAACCATAGTCTTTGTCTGCTGGATGATATGTTGACAGGATGTTCATTTCATCACACTTCTGGCATTTTTTACTCAGCTCCTCGTGGACAGTTCTGCAGGGCTGTTCCGACAACGCCACCATAGAGGAAGTCCTGGAGGTCTTGTTCTTCAGGATCCCCTTGATGGGCTGGTGCGAGGCTGCCATTGCCCAGCACTTGGGCTGTGGGCTCAAGGTCCGTGAAGAGAAGGGTCGGGCGCTAGCAGAGACCTGCAAGCAGCGGCAGAGCCTGCTCAGGGCTAAAGCGGCCGCACCTGCACCTGCTGTCTCAGAAACGGCTACCAGAGAGGTTGTCGGGACACAACGACCCTGACGCCAGAGCCAACGCTGAACTGGTAGCAGCTCCTTATGTGCCCTTAGCCGCTGGCACTTGACCCTTAGCAGCCTGCAGTTGACCCACTGCTGACGGTGAGACACTGGCCAAAAGATTCTAAAGGGTATATCAGAAAGGATGAGTTAAGTTGTGCTGCAGTAATAAGCAGCCCCAAATCAGCAACTTGCCACACAGTTTCTTTTGTCTGTTTTTTTTAGTTACACTGTATTTCTCTCACGGCCAGCAGGAGGTTTGTTGCAGCTACTTAGGTATTCAGGCTGCAGAGACTCTGACTTTACATGGCTTTTATGATCTAGGTGCTGGAGAAGATGTTGCAGTTTGTTTGTTTGCTCTTAGAGTTTCTGCCCAAAAGTGATACTTACTATTTCAACTCATGTTTCACCATGAAAGCAAGTTACATGTCCATGCGTAATTTCAAAGGGAAGGGAAAGTAGATCCTACCATGTGCTTAGAAAGAGAAGAAGAAGCTGAAATTTTCTTTAATTTAATTTAGTTTTTTATTTTTAAATTTTTTATTTTGTAGAGATGGGGTTTTGCCATGTTGCCCAGGATGGTCCCAACCTCCAGAGCGCAAGTGATCTGCCTGCTTTGGTCTCTGAAAGTGCTGGGATTACAGGTGTGAGCTACCATACCTGACCTCTGAATTTTTCTAAACATCACTATTGACTACCGTAAAGGGTAGTTTTTACTTTGGCTATGAATGAAGATCCACAAACAGGGCAGAATGCTTAAGCATAGAAATCCGTGGCAACTTGGTGTTCCCTTTCTGTTGATATACCTCTTTTCTTCAGGAAAAAAAAGACCCTGGGAAAGTGCATGATGACATCTAAGGTTGTTCTACTTATGCCTTTAGAGTATTAATTTTTTTAAATGGCTCCCTGATTACATATTGAGTTAAAATTCTTTTTCTTTGAATGAGAAAGAAAAAGTGTTGGAAGAAGGCAGGAAAAGAGGCCAAGAGTAACAAAAAACAGATGGGAATAATAGAAAAGCCATAACAAAATGGCTTATTTAGATTCAACCTTCTCAATAATTACTTTTTATGTAAATTATATAAACACTCCAATTAAAAGGCAGAGGTTTTCAGACTGAATACAAAAGGCAGAGCCAAATCTTTGCTGTCTATAAGAGAAAGCTGAGAAGAGCAGAAATCAGTGCAAAAGTAAGCAAACAAGTGATGAAGAAAATTAAAGAGGTTGAATGTTGATTCTGTGAAAACCTATCTTGGCTACCTTGGTGGGCCCAAATTCTGTTTTTTGTCTTTTCAGGCTTATGGTGTTGCCTACAGCTATTACTGGCTTCTCTGCCGCTTAGTGGTCACTCACTGACCAGCTTCTCAGACTCTTCCTATGGTCCATGAATCAAAAAATATTTTGAGAAGAAAAGCAATATGCAGATAAACAGGTGCACCTTAAGAACTTCCTTTCTCCTTCAAAATCTGGACACTCAAATCTTTGGAGTACCCCAGACACCCTCCAATTTCTTTAAAAGGATTTAAAATAAATTTGTAAGTATTTACAGTAGGAATAATGTCATTCTGCTGCAAGCCACTCCATTATAGCCAGAAGAGAAAATTATCTGTAAATGATTATTGACTAGCACTGATTAATGTCCATGGATTTGGCCTTGTTGTGAAAGTATTTTGCATCCTCTAAATACAGGTATGTCTATTGAGTTATTTATAATAGTATTAGTATTAGTAGTAGTGGTGGTGGTGGTGGTGGTGGTGGTAGTAGTAGTAGCATTTGCAATTTAACTTAGTTTTGGATCTGTAATTCATTGCTTAAAATATTTAAGAAATTTAGCTTAACAACTATAGATTTAAAAATACAGTCATTTTGTATACCAAAAAATGCCTTTCACATCCATGCCGTATAGTCAAAGGAAGTAGAAATTGCCAAAACTCTCATAGTGAAAGCTTGAAATAGTTGCTATAATTAATTCATATTTCTATCTCTCAGACAGTGACTACCTACCTATTGAAATGTCTGTCTGACTTTCAAGAAGAACTGGATGACTTTCAGCAAAATATGGTTCAAATAACACAAAAATTAAGCTATACGTTTAATCATAGGAAATTTAATATTTTTGAAATGTTTCAAAGTTATGCTTGTAATCCTAAAGCTGCTAAATATATCAAAAACCAAACAAGCATGAATTTTGAAAGGCAGTGTGCCACCATAATGTTAAAAGTCTTTTAGAATAATTCTGTGTCTATGTAAGTAAAAAAATTTTAGCAAAAGGAAAGAATGATAAATTACTATGTGAAGTGTATGCTGTTGGTGGTTAGTTAATTAAAAAAAGCAGCCTACAAGATACAAAAAAATGCACATTTTTTTCTCCAAAAGCCTGCTGTTAAATTGATAATGCAGCTTCTATTTGATGGTGTCATCAAATCGAGGAAACAATATGTTTCTGTATTAGAGTATGGAAGTACATGCTTTTCTCATAGCTTTAATTTTCCAGCATTTTATCTGCAATCATTTTATTCTAAACTCACATACAATTGTTTGGTCTGTTGGTTGGTTGATTGGAAGGCTCTGTGGCCCCCATCCGAACTCCCTTCTGTGTGCCTTAGCAAGTCATATATCAAAAGGGCTTTTTGGCAGTTAATAGCTGCCGCTTCTCTTGATTTGCTTCTTTTTGCTGATATTGTGACCAAATCTTTCAGACATTTGTTTTTGTGCTTTTAAATGCAAATTCCAGTCTGTGGGAGAGAACACGTTTTGAAAAATCTTGCCCCTTGCTTTGTGGTTTGCATATTAGAATGACTCATGGTCTGCATTTCGGATGATTGCTGACCATGATATGCTCTGAACAGTTCCTAATTAAAATGGGTGACTTTTACTTCTGGAGTTTTGCTGGGGTGTTCAATATATCCAATTAACTTTTACCCTTGAAGCCAAAATTACAATAAGCGGAACAGTACTCTGGATACTATGTCTGGGCTGTTTGAAAATATTTAGAGATTATTTAGGAAGATATAATTTGCTTGATTATGATCTTTCTAGATTTGGCAGAATTTAGAACTCTGTAACAGTTTTTCATATTACATGCATTTTCTTGAAGTCATTTTGAGTAGAGATACTTTTCAGGAGTATATTATGGGCCATTAATTAAACTCCATCAACGAATGTCAGCATTGAAATCATATTAAAAGTTGATCATTTTTAGTTTGAAATTGTAGTCATTTATGATTGAAGTTATAGTCTAAGGCTATAGTCTAAGGTCTAAGGCTATAGTCTAAGGTCACACTACATTGAGGCTATAGTCTAAGGTCACATTGAGTACTCATCTGCATAAACACTTCATCAACCCCTTTGGAAGAGCAGGCCATCACCCTATCCCTCCCTCATGCATTTTATCATTTTTTTATATGAATATCTAGAAATATTCACAGGCAAATGGCCAAGAAAGTGAGATCCCTAGGACGTCAATATTAACATTTCCAACAAAGGAAAAGTCATTCTCATCCTCTCAGAGCGTGTAACTGATTAGAGAGTGTACTTGAAGGTAGAAGATAACCAGAAAAGTGTTGCAGACTGCACCTTAGGCACCTCTTTGATGCCACTTCTGCTCTTTTCAGACTCAGGTGTTTGGACACTTGTTCCTGGCTCGTCCACTACTGATTCTTCCTAGATAGCCTCCCTAACTCATTTTATGAGGCCAGCATCATCCTGATACCAAAGCCTGGCAGAGACACATTAAAAAAAAGAGAATTTTAGACCAATACCCCTGATGAACATCGATGCAAAAATCCTCAATAAAATACTGGCAAACTGAATCCAGCAGCACATCAAAAAGCTTATCCACCATGATCAAGTGGGCTTCATCCCTGGGATGCAAGGCTGGTTCAATATACACAAACCAATAAATGTAATCCAGCATATAAACAGAACCAATGACAAAAACCTTATGATTATCTCAATAGATGCAGAAAAGGCCTTTGACAAAATTCAACAATGCTTCATGCTAAAAACTCTCAATAAATTAGGTATTGATGGGACATATCTCAAAATAATAAGAGCTATCTATGACAAACCCACAGCCAATATCATACTGAATGGGCAAAAACTGGAAGCATTCCCTTTGAAAACTGGCACAAGACAGGGATGCCCTCTCTCACCACTCCTATTCAACATAGTGTTGGAAGTTCTGGCCAGGGAACTCAGACAGGAGAATGAAATAAAGGGTATTCAATTAGGAAAAGAGGAAGTCAAATTGTCCCTGTTTGCAGATGACATGATTGTATATCTAGAAAACCCCATCGTCTCAGCCGAAAATCTCCTTAAGCTGATAAGCAATTTCAGCAAAGTCTCAGGATACAAAATCAATGTACAAAAATCACAAGCATTCTTATACACAAATAACAGACAAACAGAGAGCCAAATTATGAGCGAACTCCCATTCACAATTGCTTCAAAGAGAATAAAATATCTAGGAATCCAACTTACAAGGGATGTGAAGGACCTCTTCAAGGAGAACTATAAACCACTGCTCAATGAAATAAAAGAGGACACAAACAAATGGAAGAACATTCCATGCTCATGGGTAGGAAGAATCAATATAGTAAAAATGGCCATACTGACCAAGGTAATTTCTAGATTCAATGCCATCTCCATCAAGCTACCAATGACTTTCTTCACAGGATTGGAAAAAACTACTTTAAAGTTCATATGGAACCAAAAAAGAGCCCGCATTGCCAAGTCAATCCTAAGCCAAAAGAACAAAGCTGGAGGCATCACACTACCTGACTTCAAACTATACTACAAGGCTACAGTAACCAAAACAGCATGGTTCTGGTACCAAAACAGAGATATAGACCAATGGAACAGAACAGAACCCTCAGAAATAATGCCACATATCTACAACTATCTGATCTTTGACAAACCTGAGAAAAACAAGAAATGGGGAAAGGATTCCCTATTTAATAAATGGTGCTGGGAAAACTGGCTAACCATATGTAGGAAGCTGAAACTGGATCGTTTCCTTATACCTTATACAAAAATTAATTCAAGATGGATTAAAGACTTAAATTTAGACCTAAAACCATAAAAAACCCTAGAATAAAACCTAGGCAATACCATTCAGGACATAGGCATGGGCAAGGACTTCATGACTAAAACACCAAAAGCAATGGCAACAAAAGCCAAAATTGACAAATGGGATCTAATTAAACTAAAGAGCTTCTGCACAGCAAAAGAAACTACCATCAGAGTGAACAGGCAACCTACAGAATGGGAGAAAATTTTTGCAATCTACTCATCTGACAAAGGGCTAATATCCAGAATCTACAATGAACTCAAACAAATTTACAAGAAAAAAACAAACAACCCCATCAACAAGTGGGCAAAGGATATGAACAGACACTTCTCAAAAGAAGACATTTATGCAGCCAAACAACACATGAAAAAATGCTCATCATCACTGGCCATCAGAGAAATGCAAATCAAAACCACAATGAGATACCATCTCACACCAGTTAGAATAGCGATCATTAAAAAGTCAGAAAACAACAGGTGCTGGAGGGGATGTGGAGAAATAGGAACACTTTTACACTGTTGGTGGGACTGTAAACTAGTTCAACCATTGTGGAAGTCAGTGTGGCGATTCCTCAGGGATCTAGAACTAGAAATACCATTTGACCTAGCCATCTCATTACTGGTATATACCCAAAGGATTATAAATCATGCTGCTATAAAGAGACATGTACACGTATGTTTATTGCATCACTATTCACAATAGCAAAGTCTTGGAACCAACCCAAATGTCCAACAATAGACTAGATTAAGAAAATGTGGCACATATACACCATGGAATACTATGCAGCCATAAAAAAGGATGAGTTCATGTCCTTTGTAGGGACATGGATGAAGCTGGAAATCATCATTCTCAGCAAACTATCGCTAGGACAAAAAACCAAACACTACATGTTCTCACTCATAGGTGGGAATTGAACAATGAGAACACATGGACACAGGCAGGGGAATGTCACACACCGGGGCCTGTTGTGGGTTGGGGGGAGGGGGGAGGGATAGCATTAGGCAATATACCTAGATGCATTAATGGGTGCAGTACACCAACATGGCACATGTATACATATGTAACAAACCTGCACGTTGTGCACATGTACCCTAAAACTTAAAGCATAATAATAATAATAATAAAAAAAGCAAGTTCAAAAAGGAAAAAAAAATTAAAAAGAGGTTTTAGAGAAAACCTAAGTGCTTTTAATACTACAGTGCCACCACAGACCTAAACTGGGACTCTGTCTGTAAAGCAGAACCTGTGGCCATCCGAATCTCAGCAACTAACGTCCTGCAGCCACCATATAATAGAGATTTCTGTTTGCCCACCTGTACTGTTATTGGTGCTTCTCTGTTGACTCTGAAGTTTAGTAAGAATAGCAGTCTGAGCTTTGTGCTGTCTTGGTCCGTCAGTGCTGCTATCACAAAATACCTGAGACTGGGTAATCTATAAAGAACAGAAATTTATTTCTTATAGGTCTAGAGGCTGGAAGTCCAAAATGAAGACAATGGCAGGTTTTGTGTCTGATGAGGGTCTGGTCTCTGCTTCCAAGATGGTGCCTTGAATGCTGAGTCCTCAAATGGTGAAAGGTGAAAGGACAAAACAGCCTAAATAGTTCCCTCCAGCTTCTTAATAAAAGCAGAAGTCCATCCTTGTGGGTGGGGCCCTTATGGCCTAATTACTTCTCAGAGACCACACCTTTTAATATTGTTTCATTGGCAGTTAAGTGTCAACATGAATTTTGGACGGAACACAAATATTCACACCATAGCAGTGCCCATGCATGTGCAACTTGTAAGGTGAGAAAATTAACCCCCTTTTGGAGCAAGCCTTTTAGCAATGGAAGTCAGTGGATATTTTTGTTTCTTCTATGTACCAACTATAATAAAAGCTTCAGAAAGGGGCTCTCAAAAGACAGTAACAAAATATGAACAGTCAGGCTTGCTTGATGTGAAGTGGTAGCCAGCCAGGAATGCACTTTTGCATTGTCTCTTCCCATTCCTTGCTTTCTTTCTCAAACTCCTGGTGCATGAGATCCCATTGCTTAATAAAGCAATACCACATAGGCTTATGCCTCAGGCTCTGCTCTTTGAGTAACTAGCCTGAGAATATTGGGAACAGTTACATCTATAAAAACAAATTTGGCACTGTTTTAGATGAATACATTAAATCCATTTCAGTTGGTGCCTTAGGAAAATAGCTACTAGCTCTTGGCAATAGGCAGCTGTAATCTTCAGAGGTCAAGGGCATAAGAAAATATAATATAGATACAACAACTATTAGCAAAGGCTCCCAACAACAGAACTCAGTGGCAGCAGACTTGGAAAAGTTCTAACAAAAGTAAAGTCTGAGAAAGTGTTTGCTCACCTTGAGGGAAAAATTGGGAAAAAAAAAGACAGTACGAAAATGATGTAACACAGTAAAGCAAAGCAAAAGAGGTGGCCTAAATGTAGAACTGCATAGAAATAAAATTTTGCAGGAAGCAGTTGCATGAGGAGGCTGAGGAGCAGAGAATGAATGTGTGCTTTGTGGAAAGCAACAAATTTGGAATCTTACACAGGCTTCACTCCTCCTACAAAAATCTCTTGCAGATAGCTGGCTCAAAAACACCCAGTCATATGAATGGTATTTTAGAAAAGGGACTAGAACCTTTTATATACAACATCTATACAAAGATGCGACCAAAAGGGGAAGAAAAGAACAGCAAAGAACACCCAAAGAAGAAGAGAATTCCCCAGAAAATTGTTGTTATGGGGGAGACCAAAATTACAAAAAATAAAATTTTCATTAATTTCGAAGAAATGCCATTTAAAAAGTATACAATGAAGAAGAAGTGGAACTTGGGGAAGAGATGTAAGAAAGCAAGACACTATTAAACACAGCCTGACAGAACTCAGAATAGAAACACCCTGGCTTGTTTCATTTAACATAATGACTTCCAGTTCCATCCATGTTGCTGCAAATGACATGATTTCATACTTTTTAATGACTGAATAGTATTCCATTGTACATATATACCACTTTTTATTATCCATTCATCTGTTGATGGACAGTTAGGTTAATTCCATATATTTGCTATTGTGAATAGTGCTTCAATAAAGATGTGAGTACAGGTGTCTCTTATATACTGATCTCCTTTCCTTTGGATAAATACCCAGTAGCAAGATTACTGAATCATATGGTAATTATATTTTTAGTTTTTTTGAAAAACCTCCATACTGTTTTCCATAGTGGCTGTACTAATTTACATTTCCACCAGTAAGAATTCTCTTTTCTTTACATCACCAGCATTTGCTGTTTCTTGTCATTTTAATAATAGCCATTCTAACTGCGGTAGGAGGACATCTCCTTGTGGTTTTGATTTGCATTTCCCTGATGATTAGTAATGTTGAGCATTTTTTAGATACCTATTGGCAATTTGTATGTCTTTTGAGGAATGTCTATTCATGTCCTTTACCCGCTTTGTAACCAGTTGCATGTAATTAATCTGATTACATTTTTATTACATATTATTACTTTTTTCCTGTTGAGCTTTTTGAGTTCTGTATTAGTCCATTTTCTTACTGCTATGAAGAAACACCCATGACTGGGTAATTTATAAAGCAAAAGAGATTTAATGGACTCACGGTTTCACATGACTGGGGAGGCCTCACAATCTTGGTGGAAGGTGAAGGAGGAGCAAAAGCATGTCTTATATGGCAGCAAGCAAGAGAGCTTGTGCAGGGGAACTGCACTTTATAAAACCATCATGCCTCCTGAGACTTATTCACAGTCATGAGAACAGCATGAGAAAAACTGCCCCCATGATTCAGTTACATCCCACCAGGTCCCTCCCATGACATGTGGGGATTATGAGAGCTACAATTCAAGATGAGATTTGGGTGGGGACACAGCCCAACCACATCAAGTTCCTTGTATATTCTCAATATTGGTTCCTTGTTGGATGAATAGTTTGTGAATTTTCTCCCATTTGGCAGATCATTTCTTCACTCTGTTGATTCTTTCATTTGCTATGAAGAAGCTTTTTAGTTTACTATAGTCTCATTTTTCTATTTTTGTTTTTGTTGACTGTACTTTTAAGGTCATAGTGCTAAAATCTTTGCCTAGACCAATGTCCTGAAGTATTCCCCCTAAGTTTTCTTCTAGTGGTTCTATAGTTTCAGGTCTTGCATTTAAAGTCTTTAATCCATTATAAGTTGATTTGTGTACAATGTGAGAAATAGCAGTCCAATTTCATTCTTCTGCCCATGGCTATCCAATTTTCCCAGCATCATTTATGGAAGAGGGTATCCTTTCCCCAACATATGTTCTTGATACCTTTGTCCAAACTCAGTGGGCTATAAATATGTAGACTTATTTCTAGTTTCTCTATTCTGTTCCATTGGTCTATGTGTTTTTTTTAAATACCAATAGCATGATGTTTTAGTTACATATATATTGCATCTTTGTCTGGTTTTAGTATCAGGGTAATTGTGGTATCACAGAATGAGTAAGGGAGAATTCAGCAAATTCTCACATTGAGAAATCAAGGTATAAATTAAGCAGGAAAACCAAAAAATTATTCAAACAAATAAAAATCAAAATACACCACAACCAATGAGATACAGCAAAAGCAGTTCTAAGAGTTCCATCAGTTTTTTTGGAATAGTTTAAAGAAAATTGGTTTTAGTTCTTCTGTTTATATTTGGTAGAATTTGGCATTAATGCTATACAGTCCTGGACTTTTCTTTTTGGGGATACTTTTTTTAAATTACTGATTTAATTTTCTTACTCATTATTAGTCTGTTTAGGTTTTCTGTTTCTTCTTGATTCAATGGGTAGGTTGTGTGTGTCCAGGAATTTATCTATTTTCTCTAGACTTTCCAGTTTGTTAGTGTATAGTTGTTCATAACAGTCTCTGATGAACTCTTCTATTTCTGTGGTATCAATTCTACTGTCACTTTTTTGTTTCTGATTTTATTTATTTGAGTCTTCTCTCTTTTTTTCTTGGTTAGTGTGGCTTTCAGTTTGTTGATTTTGGTTATTTTTCAGAAAACTAACTTTTTGTTTTGTTGATCCTTTGTATTTTTCACCTAAAAGATATAGATTGGCTGGTGAATAAAAAAGACATGACTCAACTATAGTTTACAAGAAACTCATCTACCCAGGCTGGAGTGCAGTGGCATGATCTCGGCTCACTGCAAGTCCTGCCTCCTGGGTTCACACCATTCTCCTGCCTCAGCCTCCCAAGTAGCTGGGACTACAGGCACCCACGACCATGCCTGGCTAACTTTTTGTATTAACCGTGTTAGCCAGGATGGTCTCGATCTCCTGACCTTGTGATCCACCTGGGTTGGTTCCATGTCTTTGCTATTGTAAATAGTGCTGCAATAAACATAGATGTGCATGTGTCTTTATAGTAGAATAATTTGTATTCCGTTGGGTATATACCCAGTAATGAGATTGCTGGGTCTAATGGAATTTCTAGTTCTAGATCCTTTAGAAATTGCCATACTGACCTTGTGATCCGCCCGCCTCGGCCTCCCAAAGTGCTGGGATTACAGGTGTGAGCCGCCGTGCCCAGCCTCTAACAGGTTTTGTTTTGTTTTGTTTTTTTACTTTTGTGTGTTTTCGTGATGATAGAGTCCATTTGTTTCCAGTACATGTCTCCCTTAAGCATGTACTGTAGGTCCCGTCTAGTGGTAATGAATTTCCTCAGCTTTTGTTTGTCTAGGAAATACATTTATGAAAGAAAACTTTACTGAGTATAGTATATTTGGCTAATAGTTTTCTTTTTCTTTCAGCACTTAGAATATCCCATCTCAATCTCTCCTGGCCTATAAGGTTTCTGCTGAGAAATACTCACCATCCTCCATGAAATTATTATTCTGTTATTCTGATAGAGGTTCCCTGATAAGTGACTAGACATTTTTCTTTTGCTGTTTTTAAAGTTCTCTTTTTGCCATTCACTTTTGAGAGTTTGACTATAATGTGCCATGGAGAATATCTTTTTTGCATAAGGCAATTAGAGAGCAATCCTACATTTTGTTGCCTGATATTTAAGTAAAATCTGAAAATGTCTAAGTGTAAAGATTATCTGGATAATTTCAAAGTTAAACAGGACAAAAAGCTAAGGAACAAAACAGTGCGCATAAGACCAAATTATCCTAGGTCAGCCACGCTTATCAAAATGCAAATCCCAGGTCCGAGAAATTTCCAAAGTTGTCAGATGAAACAACTCTGCAAAGATAGTGGTATGTCACAGGGACATGGGAGGGTGTTAACTGAAAAAACTGCCAATGGTCAAAGCTGGAACAATTCAAACAAGAAAATAAAGTACTATTGGATTTTAACTCAAATTGTAAAATGAATACCCATGAGTCCATGATGATATAACTATTCCTAATAATGTATGCAGATACTTTGTTCTCAAAGAGGTGGAGCATAACTCCTCACTCTTTCTTGTGGGCTGCACAGGGTGGCTTCCTTCTCAATATTACTGCATGAAGAGGGGAAAAAAGCGTAAATTGGTAGTGGAGAAACCTGACAAACACTACTTTGGTTAAGAGCAAGGCTAACATCAGCAGCGGTAAACCATGTTCACCGTATGCATCCTTGATATGATGTGATGAGAAGGACACTTTATCACTATTGTCCTTCTCCCCAGATCCCAAAATGCAACTCTGATTCATTAAGAAAACATTAGCCAAACCCCAACTGACATTCTACAAATACCCCTCAAAGCTGTCAAGATCATCAAAAATGAGAAAAGCCTGAGAAACCGTCGTAGCCAAAAGGAGCCTAGGCAGATGTGATGATTCATCGTAATGTGGTATCCTGGGTAGGATCCTGGAACAGAAAAAAGGACATGAGGAAAAACTAAGGAAATTTGAATGAAACATACACTTCAGTTAATAATAATGTACCCATATTGGGTCATTAATTGTGACAAATGTTCCATAATAACTAATAATTTTAGTAATGGCGACACTCGGTAGGAAATCTCTGTACTATCTTTGCAATTTTCTGCAACTTTCCTATTATTTATAAATTTTATTAAAAAAATTCAAATCCCATATCCTGCCCTGGATTGCTCCCCTCTCCAACAGGGCGGAGGAGCTACACCTTCCTGTCATGTCTGTTCCCCAAACTCTGCCTCCACATGGGACAGACTCAGTTCTTTGTTGCTATTGTGTCTTGCACACACCATTACTCAGCAGGAAATTCAAAGGGCACTAGGATTAGGCTCATTTCGGCATATCTATTGGCATTCCTAGATCCCAAATCCTCTCCCAAATGCCTAGAGGTCGAATTATTTATTCTTAACCTGTTGCCGACTTGCCAGGGCTTCTGCTCCCTCTAACTGTAATCACCCAAGTTCCTGGCCTCTGCTTTGACCTGGCTTTCGCAACTTGATTTATTATTCCTGAAATGGAAAGAAAGCATGTTAGTTTTGGAGGGAAACTTAGACTGTATAGTCAAATCCTTTCACTTTATAAGAAAACCAAGATCCAAAAGTCTCATAGCTAGTCTTGACCCCAGAGGCAAATAGAATTTTATTTTTAAATCTTTTGGAGTAAATGTAAGATAAAATATTTTCCTAGTTTCTTTTCTGTTGGTTTCTAAAGCTCTTATATTCAGAAAAGAGAGCCTGTATTTGATTCGTTAGTTAATGCAGCAGAGTGTAAAAAGTAGAATTAATTTTGACTTTTAAGCCTTGGTCTATATTTGCCTTTAGACACAGAGGCCACATTTTTCTTTATGGAAATGAGATTCAGAATATTAGGCATTTGAATGAATCATTGACCATGTTATCTCCTCTTAGATGATATGGTAGAAATTTGTAGAAGCAATCTCTAAGAAAGCAATCTAAATTTAGAGTTGTGCTTTGCGTAAGATGTTACAGGCTCTGAAAATAATATATTTATTTTGGAGCTGTTGCAAATTGTCCCTTGACAATTCCAACAATCATAATAAAAACGGGGACATCTCTGAAGATATAGAACAGGTCCAGAGGTATGGAAATTTTGCCTCTTCTGACTGGTCATATAAAAATATCCATGCTGACAGGGTGTTATTTTTTTCCTTGCCAATAATCATTTTAGGCCTTTTAGACTGAAAAAAGAAGAAGAAATAAATTAGCCTCTTGCTGAAACATTTCTACTGAATACCAGGATGCATTTAAGAAGTGGAAAAATATGTGGGATTTGAACATATCACACACAAAAAATTAGGATGACTTTAAAAAATACTGATATTTCTCTTTACTTTTCAGTTCTTAAAGTCTATCATGTCTGAAATTTGCTCTAACTCCCACCAAACAGTAAAATGGAATAATGATCACTCAAATTTCGAAGAAAAGCACATTTGCACCTCCCAACTTTCTGTTACTTCTTTTGCTATCTAGCATCAAGAAAAAGTTATTTTGAAAATCGTAACCATTTCCTAGAGTTGACCCAGATCTTTCTTCCAATGAATCCATGGATCAAATACTATACAGCAATGAGAATGAACAAATAATTACTATAAGTGACAGCTTGGATGAATCTCACAAACATAATGTTAAGTTAAATGAGCCAAACACAGCACATACTGTATGATTCCACTTATATAAGGTTTAGACACAGACAGAACTAACCCATGGAGTCAAGATATAGTTATCATTGGGGGATCATTAGTCATCCCCCATATGCAAAGCGAGGGCCTCCTTTTGATCTTATACTGTTCTGTTTCTTAAGCTAGGTGCTGGTTACACAGTATGTTATATTGGCAAAAATGAATTAAGCTGATTATACTTATGATATGGATACTTCTTTCTATTTGAATATAACATACTGCAATAAAACTTTTATTTAAGAAAATCAGTCTGAATCCCAGCAACTCAGGAGGCTGAGGCAGGAGGATCACTTGAGCCCAGAAGTTCAAGGTTGCTTGAGCTATGATTGTGCCATTGCACTCCAGCCTGGGCAACAGAGTGAGTCCCAAACTCTATAAAAAGAAAGAAAAAAAAATCAGTTATCAGTCTGAAAATCTTCGCCTCAAGATAGATGATTTTTAACCTGTGGTTCTTAGTAAAGCCAATCTGCATTCCATCCAAGAAACTTAAATTATGATTACAAATCACAAAAAGGTTTGCCTGGATTTTAAGATTTTTCCTTTAGACCTTAGCTATGGCATAAATGATGATGAGGGTCTTTGCTAAGCAGTGATCTGAGGAAGCTACTTGCTCCAAATTTTAGCAGTTCTAAGAATCTCACTGCATTTTTTTCTAATGTGGGGTGTTAAAAGTATTTTAGATGTATTGAAGTCAGGGTCATTTTGCATAAAACTTGGAGAATTGAATCTTGATTGCGTAGAAATGCTACTGTACTATGGGCATTATTCATTTCTAGTTCAACCACAATGAAATTGCTTTGTAGTTATTTTCTTAAGAGAACAAGCCAAATATATAGAACAAGAGAAGGTCAAAAGCATTCTACCGTGTTTTCACTATGTTGATTTCTTAGAACCTATGCAACACCTGCCATGAAATTCACCTCAGCAAGAAGTTACTATTATCTTGGAGACATTACACTTTTTCATTAATTTGACTCAAGCTTCCTTAAAGCATATAAGTGCTGCACAAAGAATGGAAGTTTTGACTTGACATGGTAGTGAATAAAACTGATATTAGCACAAACGGTTATTTAGAACTAAAAATAGTTCAGATTTTCTATCATTTCAATTTTTAAAAGAAAGGCATTGAAAATTGATCTTGAAACATAGCATTTAGTATAATTACACAGTGTGTATGTTTTAGCACACGTTGAAAATACTGACTGGATATCCTGGGAGCTCTTATCACAGTAGACCACAGCACATTCAAAAATCTGTCTATCATTTGGTTGTTGCTATAGCAACAACCTAGTTCCTGCTGGAGAGAACAGGATCGCTGCGCTGGCTCCCACAGAACTATAAGCTTGCTTTTACCCATTGTCCAGCCATAAGCTTGCTTTTACCCATTGTCCAGCCATAAGCTGCCATTTCGGCAGCGTGGGATGGGGGCACACAATATCCTATGAACAAATACGGTTCTAGTGGATGCGAATAGAGGCAAAGTCTGTTTCAATGCCTCTTGTTTGTTTGCTTACAAATTATGTAATGACACTGACCAGGTAGACGCCTGGTAATTATTTTTGATGTGATGGTGTTTGATCAAGTTTCCATATTAAGAGAAGCAATTTTAGATAATTTAAACATAATTTGCACTCTTTCTCTGCCACTGGAAATGTTAGTACTATCTCCAGACTGTCAGAAGACTCCATTATGCCTGTAGGGGATTTTGATGCTACCAGTGGAAATTCCTGCTAATGCTCTCCAGATGGGACGGGCTGATGGTGGTTTCCAGGCAGGAAACCTCCTCTGAGTGGTTCGGAAGAGGCCCTCTTTGGCATTCCTGATTCTGGCCTGATTCCTCCCATGTTTTCACATGTGGCTTTAATTCTATGACTCAGAGCACCAGAAGTATGGCTGTCTAGCATCCTATTTAAGAGCTCGGGGTCATAGAACTGAATAAACCCAGGATGCATCACAAGTTTCTCTTTAGATCTTTATAGATTCTTGCCTTTTAAGTATTAGTTTAAAAGTAGCCAGGAGAAAACACAGACAGTAGAAATGCATCTCTGTATCATAGATCTATGTGTTGTGATTTTTTTTCTCCTTTTCTATTATCTATAAATATACCAATTTCATAATATAAACTAATTATACCATTTTCTTTAGATTACTTTAACTTTAAACTTTTGATCTTGAAATAATTTTAAATTTACAAAAAGTTGCCAAACTAGAACAAACCTCATCACATGGTAACATTTTATGTACCCACAGTACAATAATTAAAACTACTGTTATTAATTGGAATTCTACAGTAAGAAGATTTTCCTCCCTCTCATTCATCTCTATTTACCTCCCAATCAAGCAATCAATAAATCTATTACTCTCTATCTGTTCATCTATTTATATATGTCTATCTACCTACATATCTTTGTATCCACTTAAGTATCTGTATGTATCTATCTATCTATCTGCTATCATCTTTCTTCATATCAGTATAGACTCATGGACATCTGTTTCATTCTATGGATTATAATTCACTTCTGTAATTATTTTCATGTTTAACTTTTCCCAAATTTGGATGTTGGGAGCCCTTTGAGCTGCCGCCTGTGTCTTTTGCTACATCTGCATCGTTGTTTGTGCATGTCCTTAGTCTCTGGCATCTTAAGATGCTCCAGGCTCATTCTGTACTTTCCCTGCCTTAGACCTGGAATTCAGTAATTACCCTGAAGATCCCTGGTTTCTGTTGTTGGAGAACATATCTCTAAAACAAAATCTATTAAAAAAAATTCTGTTTTTTAAAAATGTATCGGAGAAAACCTTATGTTCTCACCATTTTTCTTGCCATTAACAAAAATTATGCTTTAGAACTGGAAGTTTTATTTAAAAACTATATTTTCAACAGGGGAGTATCACATTTATTTGAGAATATCTTTACTACTTCCTTTCTGATTATAAAAGTAATATATGTACATTGTGGAAATTTTTAAAATGCAGAAAGATGCAAATGAGGAATAAGTTCCCATTACCAGGTGCTAATCACTGTATTTTTAAAAAATTACTTACTTTTTTCTTCAGATTTTAACACATTAAAATAAACCCAAAATTCTATTGTACATAATGTTATATATTTTTAATATTTACCATGTCATTAAATATTTTTCTAAAATGTTCTTCTAATGGGTGAATAATATTACATTGTATAGACCCTATTTCTTAGAAATGTATGATGTTTTCTAGTATTTAATCTTATATGTAATCTGACAACAGATATCTGTATACAGAAATATTTGGGCTCATCTCTTTATATTGGAGACCACATTTTAAGACAAAAATTATTTTATTTTTCCATAAACTGGCTTATAAGCAGTGCTTTTGTTGTTGTTGTTGTTTTTGATTTTTTTTTTTGGTTTGTTTTGTTTTTCAGAGAGTCTCGCTCTGTTGCCCAGCCTGGAGTGCAGTGGCACGATCTCAGCTCACTGCAACCTCTGCCTCCCTGGTTCAAACGATTCTCATGCCTCAGCCTCCCAAGTAGCTGGGACTACAGGCATGCACCACCATGCCTAGCTAATTTTTGTATTTTTAGTAGAAACGGGATTTCACCATGTTAACCAGGCTGGTCTCAAACTCCTGGCCTCAAGTGATCCACCCACCTCAGCCTCCCAAATTGCTGGGATTACACGTGAGAGCCACCGTGCCCAGACATAAGTGGTTTGTTTTAATATGTTTTGAATTTGGGGTAGAAGCTTTCCAGAATGTCTGATATCTCTAGCCTGTGCTTACCAGGACAGTTACTACACACTACAACATTAGTTTTAGTTAAGATGGCGATTCAACTTTGGTAAGTACTATAAGCATTCTCTTCCAGATAAGAATTTCACAATTATTGTTCATGAAATAAATTGATAGCATTGTGGATTTTACTGTCCATTCCTGACAAATTTCTCAATGCTGAGAAATTTTTTCAATCGTCAAAATATCCCTGAAATGAAACTTCCCCAGGGAAGAGACTGAGGTTCAGAGTTGATGGGACTTGCTCAGGGTCACACATTTGGACATTCTACAGCCAGGAGTTCAGCCTTCAGGAAGTACATAAATGGGTTGCGCTGATGCTACCCATACTTGAAACCAAGTTTTATGCAATTTACTATTTAAAGGAGTGTTATGAACTTTAGGTGCTATAGGAATTTTAAAGAGAGAGAGAGTGGTGTATGGATTGCACATTCCTGGATGGCTTCCTGGAGGCAGTTGAATTTATGCCCTTCCTGAAAGACAACTCAACTTTTCTAGGGCAAAATTGCCAGTATTTATATCATCACAGTAAGAATTAAACAGGTAAAAAAGGAGTCTTGGAGAAGATTTCATGAACGGAGAATGGGGGAGTAATGTTGAAGAATTTCTTAGGTGAGGAGGCTGGTAAAAATGATCTATGCTTTATTCTCTAAACAATTTTACTTCAACCTGAAAAACTTTGTCAAAAGATGTGTAAGCCACAACCAAACATCAAATTCTGAGCCCAAGGCAGCATTTTCTTTTCTCCTCTAACAATGAAAAATCAATTAAGATCTGAGTTACTAAGAGATTAGACTTGACGTATTGTTATATGAATGCTTGGAATGTGATTGAATACATATATACTGTGAAGAGTGTATTTATTACCATCAGTTGGTATATGAGTTAATAGTCATTTTGCCCACTTTTTTATTTCTTAAAATGTATATTGTTGGGAGGAAAATACCTCTAAAGATTTTCATAATGACACATTCTATATTCTATGAAAATGGTTTCTGTGAAACTCCATGATTATGCACTTATATATATTTACAGGCCATCACTCTTCCAAATATTGCTGAGGCAAAAATAGATGCAGGCTGAGAGCTGAGTGATGGAAATCGTGTGTCACACTTCAATGCTCTTACTCACTCCACAGAATGTGTCTTGGTGTTAACTTTATGCAGCTGTAACACAAAGTGGATGAACATGCTATCTTCTTGTGTGCTTCTGAGAAAGTCAGGTAGTTCACTTGCCAGGGAGAGGTAAGAGGAGCTACAGGTACCTCCTCTGTCTGGGGGCTTGGAATTCTTTCCTGGACTTCAGAGTGGGTAGGCAGTCTGAAGTTGATGAAGCCCCTAAAGGTCTATGCAAAGTTAGATAAGTTCAGTGGGTGTGGTGGTGCTGAGGAAAATGAATCACATTCACAAAGCTGTGTGTGAGTCCAAACAGAGGAGGAGCCAAAGCTCCTACAAAATCTTCTACAAATGGTGTGTCTGAGGTTCCAACAGTTCTCTTGTCTTCCCTTATCTCAGACTGTCATCCCCCTAACTACTACCCCCACCAGCTCCTAAACTTACACAATTGGAACAGAAATAAGTCTGTGGCTCCTGTCCTCTATGTGCTTATACTCTAGGGTAGAAACAGCCACATGAACTCATCATTTCAAGAAATGGTGCTAGGTGATGAGATAAGGGTTTGTGTTGGGGGCAAATTCCTGAAAAGACAAAAGACAAAAGGCATTTCCTCCTTTACATGTTACGCTAGCTTTCATTTATGTATATTTTTACTTACAGTGATTAATGAGAGGGAGACTTCCTCTTTGAGGGCATGTTGACCCACACACAAATATCCAGATATCTGCCTTAGGCAAGCAGACCAGACAAATTCCAGGGGCTTCTACAGAGGAGTCTGTGACTTCTAGAACAACATGGGGCCCATTCCGATTGGCTCAGAGGCAGACAGTACTACGTTTGCAGGCTGAAGACCTCAGTCCCGTGTCTGGGTAAGCAGGGCTGGTCTGAACTGACAAGTGCTAATTACTGCTCGTTTGTTTGTCATTCTGAACAGACACCAAACAGAAGACAAGACTCTGCACACCCAGAAATCTTCTTGTCAACTATAATTAGCTCCTCCAGAGAAGAGTCATATCAGAGCCAGAAAATCAGTCCCTGGGCCTGATTCACACCGGCTCCTTGGTGAAGATCTGGGGAGGACAACTCCACAGATTATATTTTTATGAGAACAAGTATCACTCCAGTGAAATACAGAGTGATACAGTATGAACTACTGGATCTGTTCACAATGTGCCTTAGAATAATAACATGTCATTTGAATAAACAAACGTTCTTTGTTCAAGTGTTTAGATAACTGTGGTTGGGATTTAAGCACTTAATAGCATGCACTAGAGTCACAGGTGTTCTGATAAGATTAAGTCTCAGCTCCATGGAGATAAGATGCTGTTGTGGATTCTGTGGCATGTCACCCAGGACATGTATGCTGATACCTGGTGTGTTCCTGCTGAGAGCTCACAGCTCAGTCCCTCTCCGAGAACTGACACAGCTGAAGGAATTCAGCTCACCTATAATTACGCTCAGGGAAATGGCATGTGATCTATGGTATGATGGATCAATTGGAGTGGCTGTAAAGGGCTTTTTCCTGTGCCTCTGTTGGGACAACACTGCAGGGCCATCCTGCTCCAGAGCTCCCTGTGGAGCCTCCATTTCAGCTGTATCACAGCCCAATCTTTCCTTCTGGCTGTTCTTGCTTTCCTCACCCGTACAGGAGTCATTCCTGTGCAAACTGCCCGCTCAACCTCCTGCATGCCAATCTTAAAGTCTGTTCCCAGGGAGCCCAACCTGTAACAGATGCTCTGGGATCAAGCTGTTGAAAATGGGAGGCTGCCTCCAATTGTTGATGTTGGCAGGCTCAGTGGCATCACAATTTGAGGATGTTCTTGCCTTCCAAGTATTGTCTAAGGGAGTGATTTTCAACGAGGGGTGATTATGTCCTCCAAGAGGCATTTGGCAAAGGCTGGTGATCATCCTGCTGGTTACAACTGGTAGAGGTGAGGGGGTGCTACTGGCATCTAGCACGGAGGGTCCAGGGATGCTGTTATACATCCCACAAGGCACAGGGCACTCCCCTATAACAAATAATTATCCGGCCCCAAACGTCTATAGTGCCAAGGTTGAGAAACACTGATCTAGGGGATTGCAATGAAACAACCATAGTAAGAGTTTTCTAGAGAGATAATTCCCAATGTGAACTACCTGTGAGGCCAGTGATTCTAGACTCAGTGTGTCAGAATCTCCTGGGCGGGGGGGCTTTTGACTGTTGAGACACCCATTGCTGGGCCCACCCGCAGAGTTTCTGATTCAGTAGATCCAGGGATTATGGTGGGACCTGATAACTTTCATTTTAAACAAGTTCCGGGTAATATTGGCTCTGTTGGTCTGGGGACCTCACTTTGAGAAGCCCTGTGCTATGCTGGGCTGTGGCTGTCTTACACCTGAAGTGTAAGGTGTCATCAAAGGCGCATGCCTCTGGGCTGGGAAGAGGAATGCTTCTCCAGCTGACTTTGCCCAAATGCACCCACATGGCTTTGAGCTTCGTTTTCTTCCATTGGATATTCTGTTTTGATTTGGGTTATTGTTTGCCAACTGCACTCCTGATCTTAGAGGGGATGCCTGGAGGGAAGCCTGCTGCATCCCTGGGCTGCCCAGGCATGGGGCAGGAGCAGCTGTGTGAATCACTATTGGTCACTGGCAAGCAACCATGTGGGGAACTCAGCTAGGGCCTCTGACACCATACCCTGGTCTCAAGAGGCTCAGCAAAGGTAGGAGGATGGAGAGACATGAAGAACAACCACCAGTCATGACAGCATCTGCTGTGATCCCAGCACTGTCAAGGACTGGGGTGAGTGGCAGGCACCAGACAGACAGACTGCACATTCTGCACATGTATTGCAGAACTTAAAGTAAAATTAAAAATAAGTAAATAAAAAATTTTAAAGAAGATTTGTATGATGGTTTACCCATTAATGTATTTTCATGGCAAATAATAAGTATTTAATAAAATTTTGGCTAGTACATTAAAAAAAGAGTTTATAAACTGCATTAGATTGGAACATTATCTTCTTTCCATGGTAGGGATTTCCTTCAGTAATGAAGTAACAAATCGCAGTATGAGGCTGTTTGAGGATGTGAGAAGTTTGTGGCTTAGACATGACAGGAAGATGGATCTTTGAATTCTGACAGATCTGACTATATTGCTGCACTGGGAGCCCAGGGCTTCTCCTCTGGGAAACACTACTGGGAGCTGGATGTGTTTGACTCATGGGACTGGTCTCTGGGAGTCTGAGAGGAATCTTGGATAAGGAAGAATGGAACACTGATTGCATCTGAGGACATATTTCTTCTTTTATGTGTGAAGGAGGATAATTATTGCAGTCTCTTGACCACCTCCCCAGTGTTTCCTCACTATGTAAAAAAACCTCTGGGCTGGATTGGTGTGTTTCTTAATTGTTAAAGTGGAAGTGTGAGTTTTTTAAATGTCACTAAAAGTTCTCTCATATGGAGGTATCCATCTGGCTCTTTCAATTTCCCTGTCACGCCTTTCTTTCTCACTGGCCACAGTTAATCAGGAGGAAGGAAGCTGACTGTGTGTCTGGGAACTCCATGTACAAGGGCACCTGTCTTAGTTGAAGCAAAGGAATCATACTTTTTACCCAAGTTTTTTCTAATCTAATGCAACCTCATTTTATTGCTATTAAATAAACAATATGTGGGGAAAAAAACCCAAAAAATAAACAGACCTGCCTTCAGGGCGCTTACACCCTGCAGGGCAGATGCAAGGAGAGAAAGCGAAGAGTGGTACAAAAAGAGGGGTGGCAGCAGGACAGAGCTTGGTTGCCCACAGAGGAGAGGGCATGTCCCTTTTAGCTGGGACCCCAAACGAGGGCTTGCTGAGGTGGTGACTTGAGTCAAGACCCAAAAGAAGTCAGTCATCTTCCAGACTGAGGGGAGAGTAAGCTCCTGACCCTCGGGTGGGCTGGCACATCTGGCACAGATCCAGGCGGCCACAGTGAGACAGAAGGAGAGGTCAGAGCAGCCCACTGGGGAGCCGTAGGCTCATGGTAAGGACTTTAGCTTTTTTTTTTTTTTTTTTACAGAAAAATCTTTTGGCTGGGTGGTAGCATATACATGTAATCCCAGCACTTTGGAAGGCCAGCTGGGGAGGATCACTTGAGACCAGGAGTTCAAGACAAGCCTGGGCAACAGAGTGAGACCCCCATCTCTAACAGAAAATAATTAGCCAGTGTGGTGGTCCATGCCTGTAGTCCCAGCTACTCAGGAGGCTGAAGCAAGAGGGCTGCTTGAGCCCAGGAGGTTGAGGTTGCAATGAGCTATGATTGTGCTACTGTACTCTAGCATGGGTGACAGAGCAAGACCCCATTTCAAAAAATAAAAATAAAAATAATTTTTAAAAGTACTCACGAAAAACCCCTTTTATTCTTTTTAGCTATGTTGCCCAGGATGGACTCAAACTCCTGGTCTTAGCCTCTGGTACTCTGGTACTTGGATTACAGGTGTAAGCCACCATGCCAGCAGAACTTTCACTTTTACTGCGAGTGAGCTAAGGAGTAACTGTAGGGGTTTGTGACTACGGGTGCCATGAACTGGATTATATTTTAACTAGGTTACTCTGAGAATAAACTGCAGGCACAGCGGCAGAAGAAGAGAGACCCAAGGAGGCTACTGCAGTTGTCCCAGCAAGAGGTGATGATAATGGTTTGGTCGTGGGAGGTGGCAGTGGACGTGGTGAAAAGTGGACAAGGTCTGCTTGTGTCTTAAGAGATCAACCTCCTCTCCTTGTAAGTGTTCTGAGGGTCGATTCTGCTTGTTGAAGTGCTCTGTTGTACTGGTGGATGTGCAGACGGTTAAAGAGGTTTTCTTATTAGGTGGCCAATGTTTTTAAGGATTGTTTTCTTCACTTGGGTTTCCCAGAGGCAGATCCCAAGATGAGGGTTCATGTGAAGGCAACTCACTGGGGAGCGTTCTCAGGAGATGTGGTGGTACAGGATCAGAAAAGCACAAGATGAACAACTGTCCAAGAGTTTTCTAGAATGTGGAATTTTCAGCGCTAAAGCGGGTGTAGTCCCAGGCAACCCAGGGTGGTTGGTCACCCTTGCTGGGAGGAAAAGGGCAGGAGACCAATCAAAATATGCTACCAACAAGGCCCCAGGGAAAGTAACTTTGGCTCAAGCCATCAGGGACAAAGTAGCCGATTATTTATGCCACTGACCCACTCAGTTGTGGATAAAGGGCTACCCCCCAAGTTTCCAGGTACTCCTGGTTTCCCCTACCACAGGCAAAGTGGGTCTGGGAGCCTAAGGACAGTCAACACCAAGCTGGCTGCATCTGCTATGACTCTTTATTAACTCTTCATATTAGTAAATCTGAATTGAAAACATGCACGGCTTCTGAGGATTTTTCTTGGGCTCTTAAGAAGTTCCCTAAATGCTGACAAACTGAAGAATTCTTTTTTTGTCATTGTTATCATTGTTGTTTGTCTGTTCTCTGTTCTAACTGCTTGATAGAGCAGCAATCTCAGAGTTCATAATAAGCAGGTAAGTGCAGATCTCTGGGACATTGCCACTAACCTCCTGCAGTGGCATCTTTTCTGAATGGAGATTCTGCTGGAGGAGGGGAGGAAGAGAGCCGGCAGGATTCTGCCTACTAAAAACACTGAGTCACAAATGACAGAAGTTCCTTGTTACTTTCCAGTTGAAATCCAGTTGGCTCAGTGTCATCGTACTGACTTTGCAACACTGTCAAGAATACTACTGAAATTTTCAGCTATTATAGCAATGTATCGTCAGGTAACAAGTTCTACACAAAGTGCACCAAAACTTGTTTGATCCCTCTAGGAATGGTGAAATGCTGTGTGTGGAGGGTAGATTAATTAATGCAATTTGCTACTGGCGTCACAGTAATTTACAAAGAAATTGCACCTTTTTTTCTGAAGGCAATGGTTAGTTATCTTCTTGAAGAAGTGTAATCTTCTTCCTTAATCAATAAAGGGCCATTATATGAACTTGATTTCATAGAATTAGAATATGAGGATTATTATAGCCATTGTGTATGTTCTCAAGATATTTATAGGAATAAAAAAAAAGAAAGAAAAAATCAAAGAAAAAAGGATCTGGCAGCTGTGGGCATTTTAATGGGGGATAATTTGGGCTTTATTTCCAAAAACAGGAAGACAAGGAAAAATAACCTTATGTCTATATTTCTTTTACCCAAGCTAGTAAAACCCATCAATGTATATTTTTTCCTCCAAAGATACATTTCATTGAGGTAAGTTGCGATTCCATTTCATTAACTTAAAAATGCTATAAGGATGTTATCATAAACCCTGTGTTAATTACCTTTCTTGGCTATTGTTGGTAAATATTCGAGATTCTGTTTTCCAATTTCACCTCTAAAGTTCACAGTTATCTTTACTTCACTTTCTACCATCTGAAAATGTCCCTGACATCTACAAGTTCATTTTCTTATGTAAGGGGAGGGAGGACAGCAGCCAGAATAAAAGGGGGGGATATGGGTTTGTGTGCAAATTTCTTACAGAAAGAAAATGGAATATCGACAAATTATGCATAAACTTATTAATGAAAACATATTTATTGAATTCTGACCATGTGCCAGACAATGCGCACAGGTTTGCCAGGAGGACTGAGAGGCAGGCATTGCTTATTGTTTTATGGGGAAGACAAATCAGCAGACAAATGCAATACCCCAAGTACTTATGAGATGTACATCCATCCAGAGGGCAAGGAGGAGCCTGTGAAATCTTAGGAAGTCTGGGAAAGCTCCCTGAAGGAAGTGATGGCTGAGCTGAGTTTTGAAAGGGTGGGAGAGCTTTCAGGACTTCCAGCAGTGTGTGGAAAGGCCTAGACAGAAGCAGGGTGGGTAGCCTGAGGGAATGAGCACCCAGGGGAGATGTTCTCATGTGACGTGAGCCTGGTTGGTTCAGGTTCAGACTGCTGGTTAACACACATTATTATTAAAGGAAGACACATGTACCTTAAACATTTCATATTACATTAAAACATGTAAGTGTACTTATGTTTGTCCAGTTTTTTATAAAGGGTAACTTTGCTTGATTATATATATACTGTTCTACATTTTTCTCCTTGCATAACATACATCTTTAATGTACCCTCTGAATTATTGTTTCTCTTCCTTTCAAGTGGAGTGAGAAATTGAAGTCATGGGGAAACAAGCTCCTTGAGAACATTTTCTAGAGAGTTATACCCTTTTCTCACTGTTTTATTATTGTTTCATCCAAATTAGAGAGCCAATATAATCAGAAATTCACCTTTGTCAAGCCTTTTTAATACATTCAATTTAGTTTTCATAGAAACAATCTCTTTTTTTAATCTTCCTATTTTACTGATTTATGTAGTTTTAAATTAAATTATACTATGGCAATGACAATAAGTGCTAGCATAAACCATTTTGGGAAGAACTATTTCCAGGTGTGCACTAATACAACTGGGGAATCACAGTTGTGTGGGGATCTTTATGAATAGTCCACCTGCAGCAAGCAGCCAGCATAGTTTACAGAGGGCTGGAGAGTGCCCATTAACCCAGTGCACCAGCTAACACAACTCAGCAGCTAAATGAAGGAGTTCAGGGACTTTAGAGTGAAATTCAATATGGCGGAAGTGCAAAGTTCAAAGATTCTACAAATTGATGTTAGATAACTAGGTAGTGAGCACATGAATGACCTTGTTTCCTGAGATGTCTGAATTTTATCCTGCCAGTAGATGAAAAGTGTCTTAGGTTAGATTACCTTGGAAGTAGAGTTAAAAAAAGGCAGGCATGGGGAAAGTTTATTGGAGATTGCTTTTCCATGTCAACGCCTCCTGAGAATTGGAGAACTTAAACTGTAACAAAAGCTACAGCTGATGCCAGAGGAGCTTCGGAGCCGGATGGCTCTTCAGAGTTGTTCTACCATGAGGCAATTCGCTCCAAGCTCACATCTCCCATCGAGCAGCCACTGGATGCAGGCTGCCCTCAAGGAGGGGCAGTCACCTTGTGTGGTATAAGGAAAGCATCTGGTGTTTTTTCCTAATTCCTGGTACAGAGCTCAGAATGGCTTGGAATTTTCTGAGTGATAAGACTGTCTTTGTTATACTAATGAAGTAACTCAGGGTGAGCCCCTGGATGGCTTCAGACTGGGAGCCATCACATAATTAGAGGGTTGAAATTTTGGGACAGCTCCACCTCCAAGGAGGGGAGATGGACTGGAGATTGAGCTCAATCAGGTGGCCAGTGATTGACTCAATCATGTTTATGTTATGAAACCCACATCCCTGCAGCCATGGCTACTCTGCTCATGCTCCCACTGTACCAGGCCTGAATGGCTAGTGGCAGAGGTTGGCAGTGTTGATTGGCTGACACATGTATCTGCATGGTTGTATAGTACTCCTTCCATGGGGGATACTCTCTGGTAGGTGTTACCATAAGATAAAAACATCTTCATATTTCTTGCCCACTCTTATCAGGCCACCTAAATGCCTTTCCTCAGACTTCCTTGTCTCTATCTTTCAAACTTCCCTCCAGGCCCCAACTAACCAGCTTAGCTATTTGTTACCTCCCATGTGTTACACATTCTTACCTTGGGTAACTTCTCTTTCCACACAGAGCCTGCCCTCAGCTCTGCCCATTGGGAGGATTTATCCTCACTGCTATAGAACTAGAGAGCAATGGCAGTCAATTTCCAGTTTGTTCCCACCTGTGGAGCCGATGCATTTAGGAACTAAAACAAATCCTCTCCCTCTTGGTGGGCTGGTCATAAGGGACATCCCATGTGGCTAAAGATTTGAACTAAAAGATTTGCACCCATGCCATAGTGGTGGATCGCAACGGGTTCTGGACCACTTGTTCATGTAGGTTATCTGTGTCTTCTGGCCCTATTCATGCCTGGTCTCAGATGTAACATTTGCATTTTACAAGTTGTTTTTGCTTTGCTATGATACTGTGATTTGGGGAGTCTTACACAACACAGGTCATAATGGAAAGTTCTGTCTGTATGGTCACTTGGTACCCTGTGATCATGCACCTTTTTTCCTACCCCTGATACCTTTAGGTGTACATTGGCATGCTTCTGGGGTCTTGCATCCCTTCTTGCCTGATTCTCTGCTTGGGGTGGTCTGTCTGCATGCACAGTCGCCTGCTAGCGCTTGGGAGGGAAGCATGCACAGTGTGTTCACTGGAGTTATACACATGCTCACTTGAGGTGTTCTTCCCTTACCGGTCGAATGTCCCTAGGAGGTCATATACCAGTTAAACTCTGCCATTTTGCCTCTTAATGCGCATCCTTGGGCCCACTCCCCAACTTCTGAGATCTTATCACCAGTTTCTGGTATTTCTATTTATTGAGAGACTGCCTTTCCCTGGTGCTGGCTGTGACCAGTTATTATTTTAGAGACAGTGTGACAACCACCTGACCATATGGTCACTTGACATTCGTTGGGGGTGGGAGGGCCCTCTCCTGCCTGACTAGCTACCTACTGTAACAATAGGGCTTCTTGCCTTCAGCTTTGACTTTCTCTTTTGGGCCCCACTGAAAGGTGGCAACCTTTGATGTTACCTGGTATGCTGGTTAATTTTACGTTTAACATGGCTGGCCATGGTATCCAAATATTTGGTCAAACATTATTCTGAATGTGTCTGTGAGAGTGTTTCTTCAGATGAGTTTAACATTTACATTGGTGGACTTGAGTCAGGCATGTTGCCTCTGTAATGTGGGTGGGTCTCGCCCAATTAGATGAGGTCCTGAATAGAACAAACATTGACCTTGCTGGAACAAGAAGGAATTCGGCTAGCAGGTGGCCATCAGACTCGACTGCCATCAAAAAAATTGCAACAGCAGCATTTTTCTTGGTCTCTAATTTTCCTGCCTACCCTGAGATCATGGACTTAGCCTCCGTAATCATGTGAGTTAATTTTTTTGGATAAATGTTTCTCTCTTTCCTCTCTCTCTCTCTATACACACATCCTATTGATTCTGTTTCTCTGGAGAACCCTGACCAATACGCCTAGTAAATGGACTGAAGCCCAGCATAGAAATTCCCAAGGCCTAGAGTGGCTCATAGGCATAATGCTTCCTTGCACCTGATAAGAAGTGTCAGATGCAGCAATTTTTTATTTACAATGAAGGGTCCAGCATGCCCCGACAAATATTTTACTAAAATGGTGGGCCCCTAAATCTTCATAAAATTTATCTCTCATCCTCTGAAATGATGTGATGTAAATTACGAAGGTCTGTAACATATTTGCTACTTTTCCCTCATCTGGTATGATTAGTATCATGTCACCACTGTAGTGGACAGGATACCCAGGTGGTCAGGTCTTCTCAGAGAGAAGAACTGTAAATTATACTTTTGTGTGTTCCAAGTGAATGCAAGCTCTGTCATATCTTCTTCCTCAGTAGGGATGGAAAAGAATGGGTTTATCAGATCAATGGTGGCATAACACACCTGAGGCAGTGTGGCTGTACACTAGCAGAGATGCCCTGTGTGGCACAGACTGCAGTTGGTATTACCACGTGGCTGAGTTTGTGACACTCCACTGCCAATCCTCTGGATTGCTTTCTCTCTGGATTGTTTTCCGTTAAACTGGTGAATTAATGGGGTTATGTTGGGGGCCAGCCCTGCTGAGTTCTATGTTTTTAATGGTAATAATAATCTCTGAAATATTTTCAGTATGCTAAACTGTGCCTGATTTACTATATAGTCATGTGTTGCTTACAGACGGGGGTATGTTCTGAGAAATGTGTCATTAGGTGATTTCATCATTGTGCAAACATCATAGAGCATTCTCACACATATCTAGATGGTACAGCCTACTGCACACTTGGGCTAAATGGTGTAGTCTGTTGCTCCTAGACTACAAACCTGTGCACCGTGGTACTGTGCTGAATACTCCAGGCAACTGTAACATAATGCTGAATATTTTTCTACCTAAATATATACACATATGGAAAAGGTATAGTAAAAATATTACATAAAAGAAAAGACATGTTACACCCATACAGGGCACTGCAGGACTAGGAGCTACTCTGGGTGAGTCAGTGAGTGAGTGGTGAGTGAATGTGAAGGCCTAGGACATTACTGCACACCGCTAGAGACTTTATAAACACTGTGCCTTAGGCTACCCGAAATTTATGAAACAAAAACCTTTTTCCTAGTAATAAGTTAACCTTAGCTTACAGTAACATTTTTACTTTATAAGCTAATTTTTTAAATTTTTGAATTCTTTTCTAACAATATTTAGCTTTAGCTTCAAACACACATTGTACAGCTGTACAAAAGTATTTTCTTGTTTATATTTTTATTCTGTAAGTTTTTTTTCTATTTTTAAATTTTTGATTTTGATGTTTTACTTTTTAAAACTTTTTGTTAAACACTAAGTCGCAAAAGCACACATTAGCCTAGGCCTACACAGAGTCAGGGTCATCAATATCACTGTCTTCCACCTCCACATCCTGTCCCACGGAAGGACTCTAGGGGCAATAACACACACGAAGCTCTTGTCTCCTGTGACGGCAGTGTCTTCTTCTGGAATCTTCCTGAAGGACCCGCCTGAGGTTGTTTTACAGGTAACTTTTTTTTTTTTTTAATTAGGAGTACATGCTAAAATAATGATAAAAAGGATAGTACACTAAATATATAAACCAGGCCCATAGTTGTTTATTGTCATTATCAAGGATTATATACTGTACATAATTGCATGTGCTGGACTTTCATATGACTGGCAGTACAGTAGGGTTGTTTACACGAGTATCACCACAATCACATGAGTAATTCATTGCACTAAGATGGTACGGTGGCTACAATGTCACTAGGTGATAGGAATTTTTCAGGTCCGTTATAATCTTTTGGGACCACTGTCATATTTGAGGTTCATAGTTGACCAAAATGTCATTACATGGTGCACAACTGTATTGATGACGGAAGGGGGAGGGCTTAGAGACTTCCATGTGGCCTTCCCCACTGTGATAGCTCTTACCTCACATGGCAAGGAGTTGGTGTGTGGTTTCTGCCAACTGTCACATGTATCCCTCCCAATTAACATTTAGAAAACAGGGGAAATGACCGCTGGCTGGGTCATGGACCCACTGGACCCACTGTAACCCAGATCTGAGCCAGGGCTTCATTCATTACTCAGTCCTCCTTTAACCCCTCTCTAAAAGGGGGATCATGGGTCTCCCAGTATCTTCTCAGCTTGCACATTGTGTACCAGTCATAAAGTATTTTGGTATTTTCCTTTCCCCACTGTATGGTTACTCATTTAAAGGGCCCTGTGTCCTTTTCGAAAAGGACTGGAGATATCATTAGTGAAGGCACTTGCCTTAGGACTGCAGGTTTCTCCAGGGGACATGGTCTCTACTTCAGTCTGTGAGATCTGGGTCTGAATGCTTAGGTCCAGAAGCTGGAAAAGTGAGTATGACGATTTACTGGGACAGCTTTCCTCAGTCCTCTGATCATCCATTTTTGATTTATGTAGACTGTACAAACTGAACATTAACCTTGTTGCCTACTCATCTATACTGTCTGTGTGACATGTTCTACTACCGCCAGAGCTTTTGGACTGCTACAATGACCTTGTATTTTATTAGAAAACTTGTTCCCTTTTGATTCTAATATTTAAGTGCGCCATCCAACCTCTCTGATTTTGGGATTTTATCATTCTTATTGCTGTCAGGGAGCCCAGTTCTGTAAGATCATTTCCCACTGTTAGCCCTGGCCTATAGAACGCAGCCATTTCTGAGATTCTCAGGGATGCAGTTGTACCTCTAACCATTGCATTTTTTACTGCTTTGGTAAACGCTTTTCCCCATGCTGCCCACAGAACATAGTCAGCAAGTTGGTTTTCTGGCATTGCATAGTACATTCCTTCTACCACATTCCTTTCTCTGAGCTTTTGATCATCTATTTTATTGTCTTCCATGGGCTTTCTTCCATGTTGACCTTATATACATGGACCATTGCTTTCTTCAAGGTTCCAAAATCTATTCAAGCATGACTGGGTCTTTGCCAGGGTGTTAAAGTTTGTAACATGGGAGAGTACTTCTATATCAATAAACTTTCTTTTATATACCACTTTCCCACCTCCCTTGATCCAGTGCCTTCAAGATGTAGTCTCATCTATCAGATCCTGCTGGTACATGTTGGCTAGGTCCTGTGGCTTCTTTAGGGAATAGTTCTTTTCTCTCCTAGCAAGCCTATTACCTTCCTGACAAATTTATGATATGACTTAATCCTAGTTATTTGTGTGTGTCAAGGAGGGGATATGGAGTAGGCATTTAAAGAGGTGTGTATTATCTTGTAAGGGCAAGGACCTTCCCCCTTGCTTTTCATCATCTTCAATCAAGGTGGGGAAGGGGGGCTACCCTGTAACAGTAAAGAGTAGACTGTGTTAGCAGGTGCAGAGATTTCACAGGGATCTGGCATTTAAGATTTCAAGTGCATTAGCTCAGATATTCCCATCCCATGTCTCAGGGTCCTGTGCCTTTCCAAGAGCCCTGACTTTGGCAGCAGAAGACTTGATGAGCTTTAGGATTCAACCTCCTCTGAAGCTCTGTTACTCTCTTATAAGCAGGTCCTGGGTTTTGATCCGAAGCTTTTTCTTCAGCAGATGAGGGGAACTCTATATCATGCCAATGAAGCTCTCCAACTCTTAGATTAAGCTCCCCAACCCTCAGATTGTAACTATTTTCCTTCAGTGTATTGATTGCACCCAAAAATAGATACCTGATTCCATAGTTCTTAGAATTTCTGCTTTCCTGAAATTTTTCAAGCACTGAGATAATTCTCACCCTAGTGCATTCCTTTCCATTGGTATCCAATTGCAATTCACTACTGGGAAAAGCTTTAGCAATTTCACTGCTACAGGATGCCTGTGGCTATGCATGCTCCATTTACCATCCGTGATAGGATTCTCATAACCAGTTGATCAGGGATCATCCACGTCCCCACTTTATACTCTATTTAGAGACCCCCATTTTAGAGTCTGCTTCCTCAGACTACTCCTGGTACAAAGTCTTACACTGAGCTCCCCCAGGAAGCAGACACAGAGGCGGACATTTATTTGCATGCAGGTGTTTATTAGAGAGTGTTCATGGGAACAATATCTGTAGGCAAATGAAGGAAGGAGAGGTGGGCAGGGGAAAGAAGTGACCTGCAGGGCAGATCTTACAGGGAGCTCTAGAGCTGAGATGACCCTTCAGATTTGCCCCAACTGAAGGCAAGGTGGTCAAGCTCTACAGCCCTGCATTGACCAGTCATCAGAGGTTGGCTGTTCCTAGGGAGGGGGTGTGGCCCTGGGTGAAGCTGCTGTCTTCAGCTGAGGGTACCTTCTGGGGAACCACTCAGTTGACAGACATTAGCCCCAACATTCCTGGCAACTGTGGAGAAGGGGTGCTCAGCCCCAAAGGAGGACCTAGGTAGCACAGCACAGCACCCAAAGGAGGACCTAGGTAGCACAGCACAGCACCCAAAGGAGGACCTAGGTAGCACAGCACAGCACCCAAAGGAGGACCTAGGTAGCACAGCACAGCACCCAAAGGAGGACCTAGGTAGCATAGCCCAACATCCACTAAAAGATTTTTAAACTGGGAAATTAACATGATCAAATTCTTTCATTAGAAAGTCATCTTGTCAGAATTTTAAAAAGATTGGAAAAGTTCATGACAAGTTTGAAGTGCTATAATGTTGCTATATTTATATATTTATATTTGTACATGAAGGACAGTGTATTCCTACTGGGAGGAACTCAAAGTTAGGAATTACAAGAGAAATATAGAAAAATGTAGTCTATATGTGACAGTAATTCCACCAGGGCATTTCCACTTCAAGTCCTTATAACTCTTACTATGATTCCATGGTTAGTTAATTTCTCATTCACTAAAGCATTTTCACCAGTGTCACTATACAAGCCAAAGCAACGGGAAAGTGAATCACAAGTTAAACAGATAATAACAGGTTAAACAACTGGAAATTCTTTTGTAATTTGCATGAGCATCAGGGTATGGAAAAAGTTACAGTGGATGCAATAATAATGAGAAATAGATCTAAAGCTATTGGGTCAAATAGGGCAATAGACATTGTGAGCATTAAGTCACTGTTCAACCTCTAGCCTTGGTTGAAAGTAAGGGTAGAGGAGAAGGAAGAGAAGCGAAAATAGAAAAGGAAGCACGCAGTTAAAAAAAAATTGCTATTCTTTCTGCTTTACAGGGGTAATGTCTAAATATATTCTTTGCAAGAAGTTTAGGAAATACAGAGATTTAAAAATAAAAGTTTCTAATCTTATCACCAAAAAAATTGCTAAAATTTCCATTATTTTTATGAGTATTTTAAATATAGTTTGTTACATAATGTATTATAAGTTTGTAGCTTGCTTCACTTAATATTTTACCTTATATCAAAAAAATTTGTCATTAAATCTAATTATTTGAAAACTCCTAGTTTCATTGCACTACTCCATCATATGAATATGCCATATCCCCTTTTTGTTGGACATTGAGGCTGTTTTCCAGGGATTTTTTTTTAACTATTAAAATTGATGCTGAGAAGAATTTTTTTTTATAGAAAATTTTCAATGTAGCCCTTGTTAGTTTCCTAAGAAAAATTTCTAAAATCAGGAATCTTGGGTCAAATTATACAACTTTTAAAAATGCCCTTGATGACATCACCAAATTGTTTCCAGAAATGTGGTTCCACTTTTTGCTGACATGAGCAATGTGTGGTGTGTGTGCTCCTCTCAAAATGCAGTCCTGTCTTAACATTCTGCCAGTATGATCGACATAAATGTGATCTTGTTGCTGTCTTGTTTTGTATTATTTTAGTTACTAGGCTGACTCTTAGGCACTTGAGCATGCTTGGAAGCCCTCTTCCCAGAGCCACACCTGAAAGGCAGGTTGGTGCCCACACACCCCTCATCTGAGTCTCAGTTTCTGATGAGCATTTGGCTTGAACAGTTCTAGATGCAGCAAGACAGGCTGCCACTCTGACATGACAGGCCACCAAACACGGAGTGGCAGGCCACTAAACACTGGACTTCCCAGGGGTCTATGCAAAAAGATCTCATGTTTAGGAACTGTGCTGTTAGGCGGTAAAATGTGTTCCCTCTGCTCCCCAGGTTCATTCATTGGATCCCTAACCCCAGGACCTCAGAAAGTGACTTTATTTGGACCTACTGTATTTGTAGAGGTAATCAAGTTAAAATTAGTTCATTAGATTGGGCCTTAATCCACTATGACAAATAGTTCTTATAAAAAGGGGAAATGTGGACACTGAGACATGCGTGGAGGGAAGAAGATATGAGGGACACAGGGAGGAAATGGCCATCTCCAAGCCAAGGGGAGAGGCCTGGAACAAATGCTTCCTTGCAGCCCTCAGAAGGAACCAACCCTTTCCTACTTCCAGCCTCCAGAACTGTGAGCCAATAAATCTCGGTGGTTTAAGCCCCCGGTCTGCGGTACTTTGTTATGGCAGCCCTAGCAAATGAGTACATACACATTCCAGAATCTGAGGAGGCCCATCAATAGCTGTTTTCTGGAAGGCTGAAGAACACTGTATTGCTGCGTGCAACCCCTTCTCCCTAGCCACACTGTGCATCCCCATTTTGCTGGGCAGCTGACAGCCTGCCCCTGGAAGTGCAGAACAAGGCCTTGGAGCTCCGTGAAGCTCTTGGACTGGGAGATCATGGGTCGTCAGGCCTCAGGGAAGTCATCAGAGCCCCACATGCAGGAAGTTCTTGGGAGACACAGGAAAAAAACAAAAACAAACAAAACCCACATAGCTTAGAGAGTGCAGCTTCTGAGACCTGAAGAAGAAAGTGAGTTTTGAGCTTCTTTTTTCAGTTTAAGCACCTGAGGCTGTTTTTCCTGCTCCTGGGTTCTCTGAGCTACACCTACTACTCCTTTACCTGGGCCAGTTTCAGCAGGTTTCTTTGCCTGGTGAGCAGACAACCCTAGATTAAGACAGCTTCAGATTCTGAGTCTGTGAGGATGGGACTGGGTGTCAGGGGTGGGGTAAAGGGCTGTAGGGTTGGTGCGGGGGCACCATGGACAGATGGTGACTGTGGCATCAGAGTGTGGATGGGCTACACCTTTGGGCTCTGTGTTCAGTGACTTTGGCGAATCTGGAAATTTTCCCAGATTCTTCCAATCACACTGTTAGTCTTAGATCTTGGGAGGTAGTACAAGAGTTAGGCTTTTTCTGTATTCTTCAACATTTTCATGGTAAGAAGGGAGAGGCTATATCTAGAATTGCTTTTGGAAGCCATTTTAAGAGGATGCCTCAGGCTCAGACTTGAAACAGAAAAGCCTGTTCACAAAAAGCACACAATCACCTTTTCCTTTTATTTTGCAATGATTAAGAGAGGATTTGAAAACCCGCCCTGCTTTTCATAGATCTTTATTTTAAAAGTATTGTGAATGGCTAAAAATACTATCCCTAATCATATCATAATCATAACATCGCAGCCACATAAAAGCATGCCACAGATAAGTATATAAAGAATCTGTTCACATGCATGTATACAGATATAATTGCTCATATCCACCCTGATTTCACTGTCACTTAGATTCCTCCCTCTTCTTTATCACTTAATCTCTCTGCCTCCAAACATGATTAAAACATAAAAGAAAGTCATTGTCCTCAAATACATTACAGGCTTGTTGGAATTTTTTTCAGGAGAATAGAGAGAGGAGAAAGATAGGCAAACAAGTAACTGCGATGCAGTGTTTTATGTGTTGTAATAAAAATATATATAAAGACACGTAGAGTCCAGAGCAGCTGTGTCTGCGTCTGGGATTGCTGGGAAGTCTTCCAAGGAAAGTAACCCTTAGCCTGCATCTAGAAGAATGAGAAAATTTTTCAGGCAGAACATGGGAAAAAGTTGTTCCAAACAAAAAGTCTGATGGCAAAGTCACAGAGCCTATCCAGGGTGCTGAGAAGGGAGACTGGGACCCAGGAGCCAGCTGGTGATAATGGGGGTGCGTGGAATGATGTGGGATACATTTCAAGGCTCCTTTGAGATCTGGAATCCTATGAGTCCATGTCCAAGGAACCATAAAGATTGGCTGTCACTGAGTTGTATATAACTAAATTGCCCATTGGCGGAGGGAAAGTAATAATTTGTTCTAGATAAATAAGAATGATCATATAAGCTATTTCATTAAATTGTATCATGTGGCCAAAAAAGACTGACCACACAGAGCTGTGGGCTGGTGAAATATTAATATTTTATTTATTTGCAAGACCTAACTAGAGAGTCTAGCTAGGTGGTTGGAGGGACACTGTTTTCTCTATTTTTTTTTTTTTTTTTGAGATGGAGTCTCACTCTGTTGCCCAGGCTGGAGTGCCACTGCCAGCTCTGCCTCCTGGGTTCACGCCATTCTCCTGCCTCAGCCTCCTGAGTAGCTGGGACTACAGGCGCCCACCACCACGCCCGGCTGATTTTTTGTTTTTGTATTTTTAGTAGAGACGGAGTTTCACCATGTTGGCCAGGATGGTCTCGATCTCCTGACCTCGTGATCCGCCCATCTCGGCCTCCCAAAGTGCTGGGATTACGACACTGTTTTCTCTTAAGTGCACATCCATTTGTGACTAAAAGTACATAAAATCCTATAGACAATGACAGGTCCCCTATAAGCATCACTTGCACCTGCTGGGACTTTGCCCCATCCGCGACTTGGCTCTCGCTCCTAAGTGCAGATCATAAGCAGCCATGGTCATGGGAGCTCCGGTCTCCTCGTTCAGCTGCGGACTTCTCTTTATTACCTGGCGAGGCCTCCGGTTGTGGGAGGACACAGCACTCGTGTTGGTAGAAATGCTAGCTCAGGGTTTTAGTGATGCTTCTTAGATTCCACTCATTTCTGAAGTCTGCATGTGGCAGAGCTGAGTCTTCTGAAGGCATGAACACAATCTCAAGTGCATGTGAGCCAAATTGGTTTTCCCTGCTGTTTCCCAGCGAAAAACGCTGGTGCTGGTGGTGGCATATGGGGAAGTTGACTACTGTAGGGCACTAGACAGGTGGATGAGAATAGGTAGAAATATTCCACTGCAAATCTTCTCTGGCTTGTATTTTATAGAGTAAAAAAGAGCTCAAGAGACAAGACTAGTAGGATTTAGATGCCTTAGTCGACTCCTATTAAAGTACTGAGCCTTACATTATGTTATAAGAGGATATTAAATTGGTCTCTTTCAAAGACTGGAGTTTGAGGTAAAGACAAGAAATGGTCTATCTTGGATTTAAATTATTTAAAAAAATAAGGTATAATTCATTTTATGCGTCCTCATTCATCTTCTTCTCTCACATCCTACGTGAGAGAAAAGCACCAGCTTAAAGAAGAAAATTGCTCCTTAACCTCCCTCCAGCCACCATGCCATCTGCCCCTTTGGGAGTCATTCAATATAGAGGAAAAATGCCAAGTGGAAAGTGAGAGCAAGGCATCGCAATTCTAGTTTTGCCTCTGGGATGGGCATTTAGCTTGTTCGGGGCATCGGTCATCTCAACTCAGCAGTGAGGGAGCTGGGCCTTGGGAGTTGGAAGCATCAGTGACAAAAATTTCTTTTTGATTTACTTTGGAAAATAAGGAAAAACTGGCTAAGGGTGAGTAAATGACAGAAAATGGGACTGTGATCACGTTACCTTAGAAACTATAGAAGCAAAGAGAGGAGGGGCAGAATCAACTACAAACTCATAACTTAAAGAAAATAAAGGTTTCCAAATGTTCAGAGAAAAGCTAAAAGGCACTGCACTGTGAAGGAAAGAGGGCTCAAGAGGGATGGTGGCTCTCAAGAACAGGGCTCTTACCGTGCAATTACATAGCAGCCCAGTGAGAAATAGAGGAGGAACAGGCAGAGAAGTGACATCTCAAAAAAATGAGTATGGTTCAAGGGACCTCAAAATATAGCCCCAAGATAGGCAGAGGTGCCATCATCAAGGATGAAAACATGAATGAATTACCTTTTAAAATGAAGGCTTGATGATTTTACCCCTTCTTAAAATCCCATGCTCTATAGAAAATATTAACACCAAACGTATAAATTAAGATGCTACTGAACATTTTTCTTCAGCCTCCAACTCCAAGACCAGGCCTTAGATGTATCAGGAGACATGGTGTCCCCTAGGTGTGACACCTATGGAAACTGTTCCTAGGCTACAACACCTTTCGCTTCTTTGATGATGCAGCGCCTACTCATCTTGATTATTTTTTCATTCTCAACAAAGCTTACGTTAAGAAGTTGAATATCAGAGGAATAAAAAGAATATAAAAGTACCCATTATCTTTCCCCACACAGACAATGGTTAATAACTTATTTTGTATTTTTCTAGATTTCTATGTATAACAACAAATCTATTGTTATATTTAAATAAAATGATATTGTTTATATGGTTATGCATGAATATATGTTATGCATGCATATATGTTATGCATGCATATAAGGTTATGCATGCATATATGCATATATCTTTGCAATTTTCTATTTTCATTTATTCTACCTAATATGATATTTTGGGTGTCTTTGCAAATCAATACTTACAGCTTTTTTTCATTTATTTTAACAACTGTTATAATTACATGGTATGTGTCATTTAACCAAACTCTTTTCTTTTACCTTTTTCTTGTTTTTCTTTTATTTTAGAGACAGAGTCTCACTATGTCGCCCAAGCTGGTCTTGAAGTCCTGGGCTGTAGTGATCCTCCCAACTCAGCCTCCGGAAGTGCTGGGATTACAGATCCTTCCTAATGTCACTTAGTTTGAATTACTTTCTATTATAAACGAAAACATACTTGCACATATATCTTGTACAAATATGAGCTTACTTTTCTTATTTATTTTCTCATTAATCATATATTCAACAACTGTTAATTAAGCAGTTGTTGTTTATTACAATCTGCTTAAAGCTTAGCTGCACTGGGAAGCCTAAAACTCCCAAATCTCCTGGCTAAGGCAAAATTACTCTTGTCCCTCACCTCCCTGTTTGTACATTTCTGTGTCTCTCCATCCTTTTGGACTGTGAATATTTGTAAAGGAAGTTATCATTGTTCTAATTTTCAAAAAATACAATAAGGGTACATTTTTAAATTAGAGATAAGAAAACTGAGTACTGTTCTTGAAACAAACTCTATAACATTTTTAGAGCATTTCAAAGAAAGAGATAAATCTCAATGAGTCAGAATGGATTATGTAAAACAAGGCCATGCCAGATTAACCACATTTTTTAAGAAGGTTTTTTATATGGCAAATATAGATCAGGGAATGTTATAAATGGAGACTATCCTGGTTTCAATAAAACACTTTTTAAAAACTGACATGCTTATAGCTATAGAGGAAAAAATGTATTCAACAATACTGTCAATAGGTAAATTTATAATTGGTTGAGCAATTGTGTCTGGATAGTAGAGATTAATAAGTCAACATCAACCTAGGGGAACCTAGAAATATGCCATAGAATTCTGGCTCTGTCCTACAGAGAGTTAAATAGAAAATTTCTTCCTAAAGGCTCATACAACAAGCCAACAACAGAATTATACAAATGCTATGTTCTTGGCTTCTTGTAGAGCTTCCATTTGCTGAGCCTGTGGTCCCTGGGATATACTGACATGACATAGCAGAAGGGGATGGATTACATAGCTGCTGCATTTTAGGGCACTTTTAATTATTTTTCTTTTCCTCTGAATTAGTTAGATAAAACTAGATGGTGAAAATGCAGATATTTCAATCCTGAAAAAAAAAATCGCCTGTTATAGCCTGGTGTTTTCTTCTACATTGATTACATTTTTTTTTGCAACTTTTAATGTTGAGATCATTTAAAATTCACATGCAGTTGTAAGAAATAATACACTGAGAACCTGTATATTTTTCACACAATTTTTCCCAGTGGTAACATGTTATATAACTGTAGTACAATATCAAATCAGAAAATTGGTATTGATAGGATCAATATCCTTCTTCAGATTTCACTAGTTCTATATGCACTCATTTGTGTATATGTGTATTTAGTTCTATACAATTTTATCCTATCCATAGATTCATGTGACACCAACATAGTCAACATATGAAACCGTTCCATTGTGAGAATCTCTCACACTACCTTTTGTAGCTATACACACCTGTCCTGCCTCCCCTTCCCCCTCCCTCTCCTAACCCTTGCCAACCAATAGTCTGTTTTGATTTCTATAATGTTGTCATTTCAAGAACGCTATATAAATAGAATCATATAGTAGTATGTTTCCTTTTGAGAATTTTTTTTTCACTCAGCATAATTTCCTTGAGATCCGTCTAGGTTATATGTATCAATAGCTCATTCCTTCCTACTGCTTAATAATCATCATGGTATGGATGTATTAGAATTGTTTAACCATTCACCCAGTGAAAGATATTTGAGTTGTTTCCAGTTTTTGGCAATTACTAATAAAGCTGCTATGTGTATGTTTTTTTTTTTTCTGTTAACCTAAGTTAATATTTCTTTGGGTTAAATGCCTGAGAGAATAATCACTGGGTCTTATGACAAGTACATATTTATCTTATAAGAAATTGCCTTCTTCTTTTCCAGAGTGGCTTTATGATTTTATATTTTTGCCAGCAATGTATGGAAGATTCCACTCCTCCATACTCTCATTAGCATTTGGTGTTTCATTAGTATTATTTTTTAGTTACAGTAGTTGTGAAATTTTGGTTTTAATCTGCATTTTCTTAATAGCTATTGACATTGGAGCATGTTTCCATGTGCTTATTTGCTATTGTATATCCTCTTTGACATGTTTGTTCATGTCTTTTGCCCATTTTCTAGTTGCATTGTTTGTTTTTTCATTGTTGAGTTTTGAGGGTTCTTTACATGTTGTAGATATGAGTTCTTTGTCATCTATGTGGTTTGCAAATATTTTCCCCAGTTTGTTGTATATCTTTTCATCTTGTACAGGGTCTTTCACAGAGCAAAAATTTTAACTTTTGATAAGGTCGAGTTTATTAATTTTCCCTTTTTACCTTTTATGCTTTCAACAGGTATGGCTTATATTTTCTTAAATAAAATTTTAATTTTAGAATAGTTTTAGGTTTACAGAAAAGTTTCAAAAACAATACAGAAAGTTCCCATATAGCCCTCATTCAGTTTCTCCCATTTTAACATCTTACATTACTATGGTAGATTCATCACAACTAAAAAGCCAATATTGGTACATTACTAGGAATTAAACTCCACACCTATTTGGTTTCAGTAGGTTTTTCGTAATTTTCTTTTTCTGTTGCAGGACCTAAATCAGGATTCCACATTGGGTTTAGTCACATCAGGTCTTCTTAGCCTTGCCTGGTATGTGGCAGTTTCTCAGACTTTCCTGGTTTCTGATGACCTCGACGGTTTTGAGGAGTTGGTCAGATATTTTGTAGACTCTCCTGCAATTTGCATTCATTTCATGTTTTTCCTCTGATTAGACTGGGGTTGTGGGTGTTTAAGAAAATGACCACAGAGATTAAGTGCCATTCTCATCACCCTGTAACTAAGGTACATGCTGTCAATATCCCTTACCACCAATGATGCTAATCGTGACCATCTGGCCAAAATAGTGTTTGCCAGTTTTCTGCATTGTAAAGACCCCATCCTCCTTTTTCCATACTTTACTTTTTGAAAGCAAGTAACTAAACACACCTCTTTGAGGGGGGTGGTATCTACATGAATTATTTGGAATTCTCTCGTATAGGAGATTTGTCTCCCCCCACCTCCACCATTTATTTATTTATATCAGTAGATATTCATGGATATCTTCAATCTTGCATTATACTCTAGTATTATGTTGTTTTGTTGCTCAAATTGTTCCAGCATTGGCCATTAGGAGTTCTTTCAGGGTGACTATTGTGACCTTCTGACATTCTTGTGTCATTGTTGAGCACATCTTGACTTTGACACTTGAAGTTGCTGTAGGCTCATCTTGCATGCTCCATGCTACAGTCTTAGAATCAGCCATTTCTCCTGGGAGACCTGGTTCCTTTTATCGCAGGATGATATTAGTAATCAGTCTATGTGTTGGTAATGCTTTACTTTTTAAATAATAATTACAATGGTTTTCAGCCTAATAGACTATGTGGTGTTCTGTGAAATATGAGCAAAATAAGGTGAAGCCCTTTCCCATAAATACCTTCTTAGGTTCTAAAGACTTGTGCACGAAAACTTGCCATTTGTCTTGAGTTTGCTGTAAAGTGCCTAACCTTCCTGTTTTGCTGGGACTGAGAGGGTTCTATTACAAGGGACTTGCAGCATAAAGCCGAGGGTGATGTCACATCTGATAGTGATGGCTGGAACTGGGCAGCCCTCTTGAGACCATGAAGACTGCCAATCTAATGGGAAAAGTAATGTGCTGCAAAGAGCAGAGCAGAAAAATGGAAAGAACTTGGGACTTTGATGACTTCAGTGAGCCGATTCTTGAGTTGTTCTTCTTTGGAACATTTGTTCGTGTGAGATAACTGTTTATTATTAAGTCACTTTGTTTTTATTGCTTACAATAAAATATAAGGCATTCTGTCAGGACAGATGTATGTGTAGAATTAAGACTCAATGTAAGTATGCCCTTTGGGATTCAGAGCTCAGGCATTATTGATATTAAAATTACAGATATTGATACTTGTGGTTTCAACATCTTTTTGTGACACAGCTTTTCTTTCAAAAGGAGGTCTTTGGATCAGTGTTTGTAAAAATTAACTCATTGAGTAGTTCAGTCTTCTACCTCTTCATTCATTTTCAACAACTACTGTTCACTGACAATGGGCCAACACTTACGTTAGGCTCTGAGAATACGAGGATAATTATGGGATATCTCCTGCCTCTGAGGCTCAGGGCAGTTCAACGGAGGAGACAGAGATGCAAACAACTAAAGTGACACCGGTGATAGAACAAGCAAAATGACATGGGCTTTCAGAGAAGAAACCAAATAATTTCCAAGTGTTGGACAGGGGAAATGTGAAGGGGTTGGAATTAGAAAAAAAAATAGAGAGAGAGAAAGGAAAAAGAAAAGAAGGGCATAGCAGGAAATGTGGGAGCAATGTGTGGAAGATGAAGACACAGTCTTTTCTGGAGAGAGCAAGCAGTGGTATGTAGCTGGAAAATGGTGAGGGATGTGCTACAATGAGAGATGATGAGGTTGGCAACATTAGGTCTAAGCAGACTGTGAAGAGCTTTGAATGCCAGGCTAGGGGTTTTGGATTTTAATTATGTTATAAGCCTCTTAACAAATAAAAATTATGTGACTTTCATAAGAGTTTATCTTGCTCTTCAAAAAAGATTGTATTCAGCTCTGTAAACAGGAAGTAATAATCACATTTTATTGATTCAGAAAAAATAGTTATAAATTATTTTGGAAGTGAGATACTCTTTTCTTTTTCTCCTCCTCCTCTTCTTCTTCCTTTTAAGCAAATCTGGGTTTTATATGTTGATTTTATTTAGAGTTTTTTTTTTTGCTTTATTTCAAAACTAGATATGCAATCTATTCTCACATGAGTTCAAATACAATCGAAAAATATTTTCTCTCTATAGGACAATAATTTGGCATTCAAAAACCACAGCTGGTTTTATGTAGCCATTGATCCTTTAGAGTTAAGATACAACTTTCCTGTCTAAAAAGTATTTAGTGATGGTATCATTACCTTTAAAATATTATATATGAGATTACATTCATGGTAGTGGTCTTCAAATAGAATATCAGGGGATACTGGGAAACCAGCGGGAGAACAGTTCCTTCATAGTAGTTATGTTACCTAGGGCAAAACTTTGAAAGCTTCTTAGAATTTGTTTTGTTCTAGGAATCTTAATGCTATTTTAATACCATTGTTGGTTTAACTTGTTTATTGAATAATAAAAACCAGGAGAAATGGTTCAGTTGAACTTAAAAAAATCTATGCTTTGACTAACAATATAAGCAATTTATGACATCTATTTCTGAGATGGAGTCTTGCTCTGTTGCCCAGTCTGGAGTGCAGTGGCACAATCTCAGCTCACTGCAACTCCCACCTCCCAGGTTCAAGCAATTCTCCTGCTCCAGCCTCTAGAGTAGCTGGGACTACAGGTGCCCACCACCATACCTGGCTAATTTTTATATTTTCAGTAGAGATAGGGTTTCGCCATATTGGCCAGGCTGGTCTCGAACTCCTGACATCAAGGTGATCCACCTGCCTCAGCCTCCCAAGTTCTGGGATTACAGATGTGAGCCATTGCACCTGGCCACAATTTATGACATCTTTTTTATATTTTGGGGGGTTAGGGATATACAAACTATCATAAATTTAGTGTAAGGAAATGCTCTTGCAGCAGGTAGGAAGGTAGGAGTCAAATGTCTATAGTACACAGTACAGTGTTATGCATGGTGTGGTCCTAATTTCTCCTTCTTCATAACTCCTGTGGAAGTACTTGCTGTTTATCAGTGAAATCCCAGTCACTTTCCGCACAATTCTCTGGTGTCCGAAGTCTCTGGCAAACACATGAACTTGAGCTGCTGAGTTGGTGTAAACTCCTCGTGGAAGGCAATGCTCCTGAGTGCTTGCACATAATTACAAAATGATGTGGTTTTGAGAATTTTTGAAACAGTCTATTTTAAATTTGGCTTCTCCAGAGCAATTCTTTACTCTCTGGCAGTTAGATTTAACCTATCAAATTCACATTAGACAATAAATGTTAGAAATAGGAATCCCAAGAGCATCTTGGCCCTCATGTCTAAGTCTGGTAACCACTCCTATGGTGGATCTATAGATCAAGCCTTGAAGTTACACAGGGAATAAAACTATATCACTTGGAGATCAGAGTCAATGCTTGTAATTGGGCTCAGATGCCTGTTAGAAACCACATTCAGCTGCAGAATTAAAAGGGACTGACAAGCTCTGGGCAGTACAGGTAAAACCCAGGGCAAGAGAGGAAAGTCAATATCATAGAACTAGGGGGAAATTATGAAAAACACGAAATTCAGTAGAAAATGTAAGTTCAGGGAGATAATGACAAAAGAAGGGCTCAAACATTCTTCTTTTTTTATGCAGACTTTAAGATCAAGGCAGAATACAAGGCAATGATAGTTTTTTCCCCTTGAATAAGATATTTAGTACTAATCCAGCCACCTCATTTGGCAGATGAGATAACTCAAGGGGGCTGTGGCCTATCTTTTTTTCATAACTGGAGCAGAATCTTAAACATTTCTCTTATTTAGTACTTTCCTTCTATGAGAGCACTTTTGGAGGGCACCGTGGGAGTGTGAGAGAGGGAAGTGATGGAGTTTGAAGACAGATTGGGTTTGAATACCGGTTCTGTCATCTTAGCCACAATCCCCTCTTCTGCAAAATGAGAATAATAGTAGTGTTAAATCAAGTTTAGCCTGAAGCTGCCTCCTTATACATTTTTAGTTTGGCCTAAAGATTTTTCTGTACATCATGAATTATAACCTAAGCGACCCTGTAAAAAGACTGTAGCCTCTTGTGCCAATCATCAAGTTTTGGCCATTCAAAGGTGGCCATTGTTGAAACCCTGTTCAAATAAGGCAAATGCCTAGCTATAACTGATCCTGCTGTTTGCGTACCTCACTTACATTTTCTGTACGAAACTTTCCTTTTATTATCCATAAATCTTCTTCCACCATGTGGCTGCGCCGGAGTCTCTGAGCCTACTCTGGCTCAGGAGGCTCCCTGATTGGTGAATCATTCTTTGCTCAGCTAAACTCTTTTAAATTTATTTTGGCTAAAACTTTTCTTTTAACAATAGCTTTAACAAATTTTTTGGTAAAGTTCTGTGAAAATTAAATGAGCTGATAGTTGTAGAATGCCTGGTACAGGACATGACATAGTAAAATGACAACTAACACTATTAATAAGGGGCAAGAGTTTATAACTTTGTAATTCAATATGGGGGTGGAGATAGCAGCAGAGATGTCAGGGGAGACAGGGCAAAAGACTATTGGTCTAGAGTTTGGAGAAACCTGCAGGATATTTGAGGGCATCTTACAAGGAACACAAAGAATGCCCTTTCTCAAAATTTCTGCCTGGGATTGCAAATTATGGACATTTCTTTACATAAAGTATTAAGCCTCCAGAATTGGGAAGGGTAATCAATAAACAATCAAATTTGGTCTGGGGAAGAGGGAGATGAAAGAACAATCTGGAACACAGCAAACCCTGGGGTACTGGGCAGAGAATCAGGGAAATGTATGGGAAAGCAGGGGGCTCATTCTGGAGCTCAGATGAGCAGAGATGGGAACCTCTCTCTACTTTAAATCCTATTTCCAGAAGAGGTGAAGATTGACTGCAATTATTTATTCCCACTAAAGGAAACAGGAAAGCAAGTAAAGTAATCTATCTATTGTTTACTCCATCTCAGATCATTGGGAGTAGGTGGTTCTATCTACAAGGATTTATCTGGAAGTGCTGTTGATCCATGAGTTCCATGAATATTCAAAAGTGTCAGAGGCATGAAGCCTTGGCCAGTCTCTGTTGAGATTTCATGGTGTCTGCTAATGCAAAAGGAAAATTCTATTTGCATTTCTAAAGGATTGCAAAAGCAGTTTTATGATTTGGGCTTGATCTCCCATCATTCTCATGTTTTGTTTGTTTTTCATCACCTTTATTTTAATTACGGGATACTTGCTGAGAAAGATCTGCATAAGGAAGTGTGCTTTCACTGTCTCCTCCACCAAAGGGAATTGTAATTAAGAGCAGATTGACGAGACAGGAAGGTGATTAAATCCTAGGCTCAAAGCCTTGCTCCCCTGACACTCTTGATAGGAGCTCTTCCTCCAACTTTAACTTTTCTCTATGTGTTGGCGTGTTAACCTCTCTGATCAGCACTATCTTTATAATAATCAAGAGTAGGATAATTGCAGTATTTATTTTCAGTTGAACTATACTATTGCTGTAGGTTTTCAATTTACCTGTTGGGGAACTGAAGACAAAATTGATTTAAAGTATTCATTTTCCATTTGAATTTAGATTTTGCCATAGTTTTGCAAGGTGACAATATCATAGTCCAAAATACTTGAATTTTTGCATATATGTTTGAGAAATTCAGAGAAAGCATTGCATGGTTTGTATTTTGGAGGACTCAGTGGATTCACATTGCAGGAAGGATGAACATCAACTTTTTTTTTCTTCATTTACCAGAAAGTAGTAGGAGCTGGTTAACTCCCACCTTAGTGTTCAAAAACTAAAGACCAGTGTAACAAAGCCATTTTCTATTTTTCAAAGGGATTGGGAATTTATTATAAGTATTTTTAAAAGACTGAAAAATCACTTAAAAGGAAGCATTCAGCTAAAAAGATTCCTTTCTTACTATAAATTAATACATAGATCTCAGAAACTGTCACAAGTACCAGTAGCATTTTTTATTTGAGTTTATAATAATTGCAAATTATAACGATGTTCATTTTCTTTAAACTGACATGATTTGACACTTGTGCAACTGCTGACTTTAGCAAATTGGTAACTATTTGCAATATTAAAAATAGACATTTAAAATCACCGTTTGAAATAAGGCGTTGAAGGGTATATTAAGCAAAACTTTTTGAGTGTTCTTCTGAAATCATTTAAAAATTAACTTTTTATAGAGACATAACTTTTAATACTTGACTAAAGCAATTTTAAAAATTTTAAATAAAATTCTTTTTAAATCTGGAGCCATTGAAGAAGATTGGTTCTGAGTGTCATAAACTGACTGAAGCATAAATCCTCACAAAGTGGTGTTTGAAATAAACACTAATAAACACTGTGGTAACTCAGTTTGGACAGCCCAGTCCAATCATAAACAGGATCCTTCTTTGTATAATGGGCTCTAGTGTTTCACAATTCTATTAGTAAATCTTGGTAGAAGCTTTTGAACATTCTGGTAGATGCATTTCCCTGTACCTAACTTCGGCATTCAGTTTACAACTTTTGTGTTAAACAGGTGGCCCTGCACTGGGAAGAAGTTAACCATATCCTTAGTTACAGCAATGTTCTCTGAAATTTATGTTGGGGCCATGTAAGTGGCCACTCTTCTTGGTACTTACTGCATACATGTGTTAGTTATCTTGTTCTAGACATTCCAGGCTAAAATGCACCATTTCCATTATGTCCTTTGAAGTTATTGACTGAGAAATAGTTTCTACTTCTCAGATATATAGTGTAATGTTAGGCCAATTAATACTTAAGGAAGTTGTACCCATTCTCCTAGCCTCTGCAGTTGCCTATTATACTCTTATTTTGTGACAGTATTAGAGTGAAAACCAATCCAGACACTGCTCATGTCTGCCAAATGGATGGTGAGACAGGAGGTCAGACTGAATTAAATTGCACGGTTTCCCATCTGGCGTCTGATTCATTCTGTGAGGCTGCTGGAAACAGAGGAGGTCTACAGATGACTGCTACTAAAACATGACCACAAGTATGTGTTTTCCACCAAAGGATGTCAATGTGAACAGTGACACTGCCCATGGCTCTACCCCACGTTTGTGAAGAGACCTGATATAAATGCCTGTGGTCTAATATTTCCTGACAGCAAAGATTGACAAACACTGACACATGTTGGTAAAGGAGATGGTAGCTTGCTTTAATAATAGACACACATATTTATGGGTGAGATTATGAACTATTCCAATTGGAGATAGAGATTCTAGAATAAGCTAGAAGGCTCTCTAGGGATCTTTAAACCATACTGTCAAAATTTAGAGTTACTAAGTATTCTTCCCACTGAAACACCCACTATTCATGGTAAATCCATGAATGCAGTGACTCTAATCCTGAATTGTATTGTCTGCAGTCCAGATATGCTTTGAAGTGACTGTATATTTTAGGACTCTGTTTCTTCTGATTGAAACCCACTCCTCATCCTTCAAGAGAATCCTCTGTTGTCTGACCCATTGAAAGTTAGTCATGCTTATTTTATTGAGTGAACAAACTAATTAATTTTTAAAAATCAAAGTTTCCATGACAGCATCAATGGACTTAACTGGATAAGTCTGTTAAAAGTGGCTTTAATATTAATAAAGGCAAGGAAAAAATGCTCAATATTACTAATCATTTGGGAAATGCTAATCTAAACTGTAATGAGATCCCATCCACTAGGATGGCTGTTATCTAAACAAAACAAAATAAGACAAAAAAAAATTAGAAAATAACAAGAATTGGCAAGGATGTCAACAAATTGAAACTCTTGTGTACTGTTGGTGGGAATGTATAAAGGTACAGCTGCAATGGAAAACAATACTGTGGTTCCTCAAAAAATTAAATAGAATGATTGTATGATTCAGAAATTTCACTTCTGGATATTTATTGAAAGGATTGAAAGCAGGAATTGGAAGAGGTATTTGTACACCCATGTTCATAGCAGCATTATTATAGTAGCCAAAAAGTGGAAGCAGCCCAAATGCCTACTGATGAATAAACCAAATGTTCAAACATATACAAGGGGATATTATTCAGCCTTAAAAAAAGAAATTATGATACATGATACAACATGGATGAACGTTGAAAACATATAAGTGAAATAAGCCGGATATAAAAGAACAAATATTGTGGCCAGGTGCGGTGGCTCACGTCTGTCATCCCAGCACTTTGGGAGGCCGAGGCAGGTGGATCACGAGTTCAGGAGTTTGAGACCAGCCTGGCCAACATAGTGAAACCTTGTCTCTACTAAAAATACAAAAATTAGTCGGGCATGGTGGCGCACGCCTGTAGTCCCAGCTACTCAGTAGGCAGAGGCAGGAGAACCGCTTGAAACTGGGAGGTGGAAGTTGTGTGTGGTGAGCCAAGAAACACACCACTGCACTCCAGCCTGAGCAACAGAGTGAGACTTCATCTCAAAATATATATATAACAAATATTGTATGATTCCACTTTCCAACAGTCAAATTTATATGTTATCTGGGGTGGAAGGCAGTGGAGAATCAGGAGCTATTGTTTAATGGGTGTAGACTTTCAGTTTACGAGATGAAAGCTTTTGAGACTGATGTCAGTGGTGGTTGCTCAACAATATGAGCTTACTCAATGCCACTGAACAGTACTTTAAAAAATTGCTAAAAAGGTAAATTTTTAAAAAGTAGCTTTGAGGATTATTCAGAGTTTTAGAAAAAGAATGGGCTTTTCAGTTAGTGGATCTAGATTTGACCTTGATTCTCATCGACTTTGACTTTGACTGGGGCCCCTTCTTGCATAGGCCACTTCCAAGGTATTGAGAGAAGCTCTAGCAACATGTTAACTGAGATACATATTTTTCAAATTTTGCAAAAACAAGCTGTTTCATCTCAGTTAATAAGGCCATTTTATCTTTCCACTTGACTTTCCCTGTCTTATACGTTTTCTCACTTCAAATGCCATTGAAAGGGCAGCCAGCAATTTTGGGATATAGCTAAGAAGTTGAGTGAGGGATGTATTTAATTTAGTTTTAGAAGGGTAGGTTTATGTGGTTTTGTATATTGGTCAGCTATTGCTAGCCCAGTATAGGATTGACTTTGAGGAATGTTCCCTGGGCTAACTCATCTCACCAGGTATAGTAACAAAGGGATTTGGGGCTAGACGTCCTGTGGCAAAAAAATCCTATGGTGCCTGGCATGGAACATATCTGAGTGGAGCCAGAAGCACCAACCATTTACAATTCAAAGAGAATCTAAGATGAGTCACTGAGTAAGACTTGAAAAGCTCTGAAATCTTGCAGATCATATTAAAAAGAAACTTGATGAAAATCTTCCCAAATTTGACAATAATCGTAAAAACTTACATGACATTACAAAATAGAGTTGTGAAGGTAAAAGAAACTTTCTTTCTTTTCTGATCAATTTTGGGATGTAGCTAAAAGAAGTTGAGTGAGGAATGTATTTAATTTAGTTTTAGAGGGGTATGTTTATGTGCTTTTATATATTGCTTTTTATTTTTATTTATATGCTTTTATATATTGCTAGCCCAGTATGGGATTGACTTCAAGGAATGTTCCCTGGGGTAACTCACCTCATCAAGTATAAGCTGAGAAAAATATGTAGAATTATATTTCTATTCTTTTCATAGAAAATATTATAAAACCATGGTGATAGAAAAGATCAAGGAATATACACGTAAACATTTTGGGGAAATGTATTACAAAAGTTGATAGTTAACTCATGAAAACATGTTATTTTACTGGGTTTTAGGATCTATTGGTTTGCTTTTAAAAGTTGTAATTTCAGAGAGGAATAATAGACATTAGAGACTCAAAAAGCAGGGAGGCTGGATGAGGCTTGAGGATTGAAAAACTTACCTATTGGGTACAATGTTTGCTGTTCCGGTGATGGGTACCCTGAAAGCACAGACTTCACCAGTAGGCAATATGTGCATATAACAAAACTGCATTTGTATCTTTGAATCTATAAAAATAAAAAAATGAAGTGGTAGTTTTTTTCTCATTTTAAGTATATGTGCAGTTTCATATCTACTTTTATATTTATGATTTTGTACTCCAAGAAGTGCCAAAAATTGTAAAAAATACTTCAGACTTCATGAAACCTGAATTGAATCTAGTTTGGGACTTAGGGTAATTTTGCTCTGAATTTATTTTCTGCGGGTTTGAAAATGGGTAATTATACTATTAAAAAGAGCTATTATGAGCATAAAATTAGGTGGTATGTGTGAGTTTCTGGTACATAGCAGGGTTTCCATAAATGCTTATTTTCTTTTCTCTCACATGAACTCTGAGGGTATAAATTTATGATCTTCACATTGGCTTTGATATTTTTTCTACCTGATTATACATGTTTTATCTCCCTGAATCCATCCTGAGTTCATTACCTTACCACCTGGCTCCTGCCTGTGGCCTCTTCCTCCTCGAATCCATCTTTGTCTGTTGCCATGGTGATTTTTTAGAAAGTCAGACCAGATCTGAGTTAAAAATCTGACCTGCTTAAAAAACTTTAATGACTCCCTCTGACCAGAGATAAAGTTGAAATGCCTCACTGTAGAATTTAAGGTTTGCAATTTAAGGTTTTGACTCAGCTGGGGAGCAGAGGAGGCTTCCCAGGGTACAGGGTTCTGGGAGTTGTCCAGGCTGGCGGTGGGCTGGGCCAGGGAAGAGGGTGCCCCCCGCTGCTACAAGTGCACAGAGCCCCTTCAGCAGCTACAAGTAGTTGGCTCTGGCTGGTGTATGAATCTAACATGGAGAAGTGGCAAATGTGTGGCTGGAAGACACTGCCAAGGGGCCTTCCGTGATTGGCCTTGACTAGCTTGCTAAGGAATGTGGTGTTCATCTTGAAGACCAGGAAGGGCGGTGAAAAAACTTAAAAGTCTGTCTTTCCTTTTCCTGACCTTCCAAGTCTTGCCTCTATCTGTGATGGTTGAACTTGTATGTCAGCTTTGTTGGATCATAGTACCTAGATAGTTGGTCAAACAGTATTCTAGATGTTTCTGTGAAGGTGATTATGGGAGCAGTGGGGAGGATTACCACTTAAATTAGTAGACTTTGAGTACAGCAGATGACCCTCCCTGAAGTAGTGGGCCTCAACCAATTAGTTGAAGGTCTTAAGTTGAAGGTCTTAGACTGAGGTCTCCTGAGCAAGAAGGATTTCTGCCAGAACACTGCATTTGGACAGGAACTGATGGTTTTCCCTGAGTCTCCAGCCTACCCTGCAGATTTTGGACTTGCCCGTCCCCATGATAGAGTAAGCCAGTTCCTTACAATACATCGCTCTCTTTCTCTCTCAGTGCACACACATATGCACATACACACATTCAATTGGTTCTGTTTCTCCGCAGAACCCTGACTAATATATTATCCTCTGGTCCAATTCAAGTATCGTACTGTTTGTAGAATCCTCTAGCTCCAAGTTAGTCATTCTCTACCAAGCTACCCCTGCAACATTTTCTGCGTAATATCGTTCAAGACTCAGCACATGATTCATGTTTATTTACATCTGTATCTCCCTCAACATTGTGAGCAACCTGGGGACTAGGTCTCATCCATCAGCGAAGATCCTGTGACTAACCATAGCTGGTACAGAAAAGGATGCTTGATAAATATTAATTGAATGAATAAAAAATAGAATCAGTGAAGGACAGTGTGTAGCTGTACTTTCCACAGAGTTTGTGATGAAGGGCACTAATAGGCGATCAATGAATATCCATGATACCCATGTTGATACCATAGGCAACTATGAGCCACGTTACTATGAGCCAGACAGGATTCCAGGCTCTAAAAATACCATAGAACCTGAAAGAGCTCACACACATTTATTTTTATTAACTTAAGGGGCTCTGCTGAAGATTTCTGGAACCAACCTGTCTCAAGTTAATTCCTCCACCATATAACCACCACAGCTAACCTCTAGTTCTTTTAAGAACCAAGACAATGCAGGGCTTGTCCCCCGGCAGGAGAAGGAGAGCACTGGTCAAGGAGTCAGTGGTACAGGGCTGTTCTGGGTGCCTGGAAGGCCACTGTGGCAGCTTCAGGCTCTCACACCCCTCCCGAGCTCCCTGCAACACTTCAACTCCCATCCAAGAAACGCCGAGTTTCCTGGGAACTGTATTCAATGTGATGTGTGTTGAAATGGCCATGTAGGCTAATGGAAACCCTAGCAGTCCTTGGGGAAAGGCTTAGGGAAATATAATAGGCTGTGAGAAAACAGGGTCATAAATCACACATTTTTCACACTGTACGGCTGAGAGAGATGACTAAAGCGTGTTTGTAATTTATTTTCCCCTTTTGAAAAAAAGGTATTTCTGGCAGGGTGAACACAAGATCTCTAAAAATAAGTTACTCGCTGATTTGTCACTGCAGATATGGGCACATCAACATCCACAGGAAATTCGAGTCTCCTGGGGTGATGGCTTTACATGGAATACAACAGAAGTCAGAACAAAGACAAATCGCTCTGCATTGGGCTTTCCAGCTGAGCAGATCCAGAAAGAGACAATGTCAGAAGAAAGTAATTTCAGGTTTCCAGTTCTTATGCCTTCTTAAAGGTGTTCTGTGTGTCCAGGGCCGACTGTGGCCCCTGTGTCTGTGGGTGGGAGCCTCCCCTCCAGCCTTCCACATCATTTCTCTCCTTGACTTCCTTCACCTGTCCTTTATCACATTGCTTCCTACCCAGGGCGATCTTTTGATGCCATTAGCTGATTGGAGATTAATAGGAGAGAGGAGGATCCCACAGGACAAACAAACAAACCAATCCTGCCTTTTTGAAAGCCTGGTTGTCAGAAGCTTCCTCCGGCAGGTGGCTGCAGGTCATAAAACCGACTGGAAGCATTTCCACTTTGTAAAGCCGACCACAAAAGGCAAACGTGGAATCAGGATTCACGTTACATGGCGATCCTGCACATGCCCCTCCACTCCTGATGAATTGCTCAGGAAGTAGGTGAGAACTGGAAACACACAGAAAATGGAGCTATTAAGCTATTTGGGCCACTGATGAGATGCTGCTGGCTGGCTTAACCTCTTCAGTGCCTGCCTAGTTCTGCTGCAGCTGTTGGCACAGTTACCAGCCCTGAGAAATATAGGGCACTTATTTTTGGAAACATGCTCTATATCCGAAAGCACTCATGATGATGAGATTCAGCCAGACGGCAGAAACACAGTCACCTGCTCCTGCAAAACATCAGTGTGCACAGCCGTGGTTCTGGGCGCCATTAATTATTATTCAACCAGGCTGCATTTCCCTTGCCTCCCCCAAGCCTCAAAAAGAATCTAGATTTGGCTCAAGGAATTTTGAAAAATGCTTAAGATGAAATTTTTACTTATTTTAATGGAAGGAAAACATAACCAAGATGAAGCAGCTTTATGGATAGCACTGCCTTCTCCTTGGATCAGGTGTTCCCCAACATGCACTCCTCTGCCCCCAATCTGGGCTTCTGAGACCTGTCTTGCCACTGGAAGGTCCTTCCTTTGGCCACATCAAGGGAGCCAGCCTGCTGGCCTTGTTTTCCTCTTCTGTGGTTCTAAACAGAGGAGAGCCATCACCCTGCTCTGATGTCCATAGTCTATAGGGCATTTTTAGTTTGGGTTCTTCCTATGCTCTAAGAGGAAGAGACTGAGACTCTCTTAAAGTCCATACTTTTGCCATGTGTTAAAGGGTCACCACAATACTGACCCTGAAGAATTTTTTCGTGATTGAGACAATGTCTTAAAAGTGGCCTATACATATGGGTGCCTCACTGAAGAACAGAGGAGGGGAATTAATCCAGCTTGGAGCTGAGAAGTTAATATATTCCATTACCTCAAAAGCTTATGGCTTGAAATACAGATACCCCGGGAAGCTAGGTTTTGTTGCACTGTAGCGTCAATAAACAAAACAAATATTCACTGAGTCATACTGTACATAGGCATTGTACCTGCCAAGCCACTCTCGCCTTCACAGAGCTCACAGTTTAGCAGGGGAGATGGGACTCAGGAACAGAGGGAGATCAGAGCTGTGATGGTACTGGTCTCATGGTAGGTGTGGGGACCTGGGAAGGACAGCTTTCCACTGTGGGGACTGCACCATGGAAAGCTGTGGGAGGGAGGAGAGCTTTGGAACTCTGCAGAGAGGTGATGAGGTCTTTTAAAGAGGGAGGTGACATCGCCCCTTTTGTGGAATGTTTTACAAGGGTGACTGTGCCTGCTGTGCAGGAAGCAGTTGGAGAGAAGATGGTAAGACTCGAGATGGAGAAGGCTGTTGAAATCACTGAACACCTGAAGCACTGTCCACGGGCCAGAGGAGATGGGCACATATGTGGAAGGACCCCACTGAGCTCGGCCACCTGGGTGAGGAAGCGGAGGATTCTAAGTTGGCCCCAGGTGCCAGATTTGGCCTTGAGGAGGGTGAAAGCACATTTGCTGAGAAGGGGACAGATTTAGCTGTGGAGTTTGAGATGCTCATGGGCTGCAGGACTGCATACTGCAAGTCCGTAGTTAAGAATGCAGAGTTAGAGTCTGAAAATGGAAGGGATCTAGATATTGCAGTGTGGGGACAGTAATTATACAAATGATACCTAGATTCAGTTGTGAGAAAGGGTGAGGACCAGGGTGGAATTGTTTAGAGTATGGATTCTCGGGAGGTGGAGGGCAGAAGGAGCATCAGTGAGGTGCTAGTCTGAGTCGGGGTGGAGGATGATAAAAAAGCACTTCAGATGTGACAAAAGGACACGTGTGGCAGCTGGATACTGAAGCAAATTCAACTCTGCCTTTGCCTAGAGCCAATCCCAATCAAGAATATCAAATAGACAGTGCACCCTTCCCCCCTTAGTTTTTAATCCATTCCCAGTGAAATCTAATCCAATTGTATACAAATTCTAATCCAGACTCCAAGGATGGCCAAGCTCTTCTGTACTGTCACAAAGTTTTTGTCCTACTCTAACTCTGAGCACCAGGGACTTGTTACTGGACCCCTCAGCCTGGGGCTCAAGCCATTTGTTTCCACAAAGCAACTCTCTTAATCTTCTCAACGATGCTCTGAGCTGGGCACTAAAGTTCCCTTCTTTTATAGATGAGGAAAGTGAGGAGCAGAGGAATTCAGCAATTTGTCCAAAGTTAGACAACCAGTAAATATGGAGAGGGGAATCCTAGTTTTGCTATTTTCCTTAGCAGCTATGTGATCTGGAGTAAGTCTCAGATTTACATCTTTTTATCTTAAAAAAAAAAAAGTGGTGAGAAGAATTATCTGCCCCAACCGATTCCCTTTCTCAGGATCATCTGAGATACAGTTTTGTACGATGCAACTTGTTCTGCATTTGCCAAACTGTAAAGTCCAAAACCTGCCACTACTGTGTTACCACCCTCCTTTTTCTGGAATGGCCTCCTTCATTAGGACTGAGTGGGAGAAAACATGTTTCCTACAAGGCTAGATTGTCAACCCTGGCTGCACAGCATACTCATCTGAGGAGTCTTAGAGTGCCAGGCAGCATCACAGACCAACATATCACTGTCTCTGGTCTTTGGGTTTAGCTCAGCATTTTTGAAAGCTCCCGGATGATTCTAGTACAGGTAGCATTTAGAACCACTCATCCTATCTGAAGATAGAACTTGTCCCTGTCTGTTACCAGTGCTGTCTTTACTTACTCACAGCTAAAGAGCTCAAAGCCTTTAGGAAGTGTTGAACTCCATGGTAGAGTCAAGTCCTCCATGGCTCCCAAGATCCCCACTCTCCAACCTCCAACAGTGTGTACCTCCAGTATTTTCCCCTCCCCTGAGTATGGGGGCAGCCGCTGAATATCACAGGTGTCCCTCCTTCGATTAGATTACTTATATGGCAAAAGTGACAGGATTCTGCAGATGTGATTAAGGTCCCCAATCAATTGATTCTGAGTTAATTAAAAGAGAGATGATCCTGAGTAGACCTGTCCTAATCAGGTTCTTTAAAATACTGTCTCTCCTCCTGGCCTTGAAGCTGATATGCATTCTGTGGAAGTGAGAAACAAATTTGACGAACAATGCCTTTGGGAGCAAACCCTAAACATCAGATGAGACCTCAGCTCTAGCTGTCACCTTGATTGTAGCCTTACAAGACCCTGATCGGAGGGCCTTGCTAAGCTGTTCCTAGACTGTTAACACCTGGTGATAGAGACAGGAGGCAGGGAGATTTTAGGCAGACAGGGGCAGGTCCACAGCGAAACCCCACCTTCAAGCCAAAGTAGTCTGAAACCTGCAGCCAGAAGTGAGAACTTCTATTCCTGTTTGCATGCTCTCTCCCGATTGGTTCTTTCCGAATAATGTCTTTTTATCAATCGAATGTTGCCGTTTCCAAAACTAACTACAGCCTGCCCCACCCCCATCCTATGCCTATAAAGACCCCAGACTCAGTTGGTAGGGGAGAGAGTTGGCCAGACTTTGGAGAAGAGAGACGGCTCGATGTCAGGGAAGAGACAGCTGGACTTCGGGGAGAAGATGACCTGACTTCTGGGAAGACCACTTGCCCTTCCTGTCCCCTCTTCACCTCCCCTTTCCACTGACAGCCATTTCCATCACTCAATAAAATTCTCTGCTTTCACCATCCTTCAAATATCTGCACAATCTCATTCTTCTTGGATGCTGGACAAGAGCTCAGGACCCACCGACTGCGGACACCCTAAAAGGCTGTCACACCAGCCCTTTGCCCTGGCTGGTGGAGGGCAGCCACCCTATGTGAAGAGGCATTGGGCCAATTAAGCCATAAACAAACAGCCGTCTACAGATGGTGGAGGCTAAAACAGCAATGTAACACTCCCACTGAGGATTCGGGGTCACAGGCACCCCCATCTGGTCACTGCTGCAGGCCTGTGTGGAGCTTGCACTCAGAGTGGTGGCCAGATCCCACACTCACTCACTCATACCTGGTCTGGCCGTGGGCCCCGCACAGAGCTTGCTCCTGCTGGTGCCCAGAGTGGTTGGCTGGGTCCTGCACTCCCTCATTCATGTGCTCCCTCCCACAAGGGGTTGAGTATGGCGGTCGGAGTAAATGTTCACCCCTGTCGTGAGTCCAATGGAGGGGCCAAGAAAAATCCTGCATCACTGGCGTGTAAGATAAATGTATGTTGTCTTCAACTGCTCAATTTGTGATATTTTATTATGTAGCATAGAAAATCAATACAGCCAGTCCTTTATTGACCTGAGGCCCTGGACAACTTCTCATGACCTTAGAGAGGGAGGATGGGAGGAGGCCACTCTCTTTGTGGTAGGGACAGCATGAGTGGCAGCTCCACAAGGAGCAGGGGGCCAGGGAGGGACAGCACCCACTGGCTTTGTGTCACTGAGAAATGACAAGTGTATAACCAGCATAATTTTATAATATAATGTTAACATACCATCTAAATTCACTCAGAATTCCAGAATTTCAGAACACAGTATTCAAAAATTGTACTTTTTACAAAATTTATGGACATAACAGTGTATATTGCTGATTTGGGATCTGAAGCAGGTGGGCCTTTTCGTTGATAGAGTCCAAGAATACAGAGGATGAGAAACACATTCAGATGAGATATCACTGGGCCATTATCATTAACAGTTCCACCCTTGAAAATGTTGACACAATGTTCACCTTTTTCTTTCTGTATAGGATACAAATGTTGAAAATTTCCTGGATTCTGCTATTGCTATACATTACCTGAGCAAAGGAAAAATGAGCATTGTATGATTTTGCAATGACCATGGGCTCCTCAAAGGTCTCTTGGATCCAGAAGTTCAGATTAACATTGGTTTGGCAGCTGTGATTTCCTGCTTCTAGGATGGAGGATTTTGTCGTCTGAGCCAAACCATCTGGGACATCTAATCGCTCCTAAAGAGAAATCCTACACTTTGCTATTTTAAAGAGCAAGTGAAACTGAAGCATGTGTATCAAATTTTGCTCAAGGTTTGTGAAACTCTAAGTACTGGAGAGAAAAAAATAATTTGATAAAATAATTTATTTTTGGAATCAGGAAATTTACCAACTTGATGGAGCACCAGCACTACATTTTAATTTTTAGTATAGAATTTTTCAAACACAGAACAGAGTAGGGAGAATAATACAATGAACTTGATGAGCACATCTGCCAGCTTCAACAGTCAACTCATAGTCAATGCCGCTTTATCCTTCTCCCTCTCATTTTTCCTACCCTGTTCCTAGATAAAAGAATCGAGTTTTGCAGTGAAAAGAGATAGCAAAGACAAGGCATCTGGTTTTTCTACCTATTCTGCAGATCTGAATGATGACCTTGAATCACCCACACGTGCATTTGACCCCCAGACCAGGCAGGTGAGCCGGCCGGTGTGTATGTGCACACCCTTGAGAAGAGCAAACCCCTCTGGATTCAGAAAAATTACTTCCCCTATTTCAGCTTCTCCTTTTCTTCTGAGCCATCACAGACACCAGTTCCAAAAGAGCAGGATAATGTTGTCAGCCAGGATTAAATATACCCAGCAGGGATATTATAAGGAAAACAGACGAACAACCTCACTTTTTTTTTCCCCCAAAGAGCAGCCTCCCAGGCTTTTTACTGTCTCTTCTCTCCACTTATCCTGGGGAAAGGGTCGGAATCCTGCCTGGGACCAGCCAAAAGGAAAGAACCAACCTCTTTCCTTATCATAGGGGTCATAGTTCAGGATGTGTAGGGAAGGAGCATCTATTCCTTCTCTCTGTCTCCAGTGAAGCCCTCAAGACAAGAAACCGTTCTCCCATTGAAAGACTCCAGTAGGGAATCTCCAGGACTTATTTGAACATTTAGTCACTCTCAGGAAATCTTGTCCCTTAGAGCAAGTCTCCACACTCTTGCCTGTTTCATTGATTTCATTTTGATCTGGTCCTTATGTTTTCAGAGACAAGTCATATACTTTAGTCGCAAAAGAGCTTGTTCATACACTTGCTAAACATCACATCCTGCTTAGGCTTTTGCATTATCACTCTCAATCTGTATGCATGTAGGGATTGTTGACTTTATGAATCAACTACCCAGTCATTCTTATATTATCTCTTTCAATATTCTCTAAGCTCCCACATCCCTCTTAAAGTGTCAAGCTCTAGACTGCAACAGATGTTCCTGAAGAAATTGAGACTAGAAACATAACAAAGTTTATGCTCTTCCATGGATGACTCATAAGGGTTATCTGTCCATGATCGGCCTGTTATTAAAATTTAGATGATGTAAATGTCATGGAAAGGAGGACAAAGGTGGTATCTGTCAGTGTGTAGAGTGTTTTTTCTTGGTTGCCTTGGACAGCATTTCAAAGGTTAAGTCTGCAGAGCATCCTCACAAGTTCCCAATATTTAGTCACATGAACAGGTGGCATGAGCTCCTCTGTGCACAACCCTCTTCTTGAGAGCTCAGGTTATAAGCATGGGGTGGGCACCCTTTTCTGTTAAGGGCCAGGTAATAAATCTCTTAGGCTTTGTGGGCTACATGGTCTCTGTGGCCACTTCTCTACTATGCTGCGTCCAGGATGTGGCCACTGAGGATATTGTAAATGAATGTACCTGGCTGTGCTCCAATGTAACTTTATTAACACTGACATTTGAAGTTTTCATGCTTTATGTGTCATGAAATTCTTGTTTAGGCATTTTTAAGCATTTGCAAATGTAAAAGCTTTTTATCTTACAGGCCATACAGAAACAGGTGGCTGGTGTGGACCTGGCGGCGGGCTGTCATTTGCCCATTTGTGATCCAGCATTTTTCCATGAGAGCAAGTGAAAAGGAAGGGTGGGACAGTTAGAGAGATAAGCTGTTCCATTTTAATTAATTTTTTTTTTTTTTTACTACGACAACATTTTAAAAACAGAAATGGCAAGTTGTTATCCTTGCTCTGAGCAGCTCACGCTCTAAATGTTACATAGGGATTTTAACAGGGTGGAGCCAGGCTGGTCCTCTCTGCAGCGTCTCTAGTTGATCAGGGATCCCATCCCACGAGGTCCAGGGACCTTTTATAAGAATGTTGACCATCTTTTTAGGAATCCAAATTGAGACTCATAGTTTGGTAAAAATTTTTCAGATTTGTAAATTTCTTTACATGAAATGTCACAAAATTCTAAACGTTAGATGGCATTTCATTACATAATTAGTGACATTAATGAAAAGTGTGCTCTAGAAACTTTAGGAGTTATTATATTTATGAAGAGATTCATTAAAGTGTCACTTAGGAAGAGATCTTTCCCTGAGTATGTGTGAGTGAGGACCCACCTGGTATTGCTGCCCTGAGTCTGGCCTCTTTTGTCTGACACAGAAACTTGTACATTTCTTTTGTGGACCACAAGTTAGGAATCTGGTTGGCAGTTGCATGTATTATTTCGTGCATAGCTCACTGAAGCTTTACTGGGGACATTTTAAGCCTTTAAAACATGACTGAGAAAATAGTATATACATAACCTGCTTTAAATACGCTTGTATCATTTAATCTTTCAATTTTGTAGTTCAGAACAAACCATGAAGTCATTTTGTTCTTGGAAAAGTATTCAACTTTTCCAGAGTGAAGCAGGCTGACACTGCACACTAATTTTGCAAATATTGAGGGTGAATAGTGAACTCCTTGATAGGTCTTTGAAAATAAATTGAATTGCAGTAGGGGCTTTTCTTAAAATTCATAGTAGTCTCAGAACAATAAGTTTATGTTAGGCAAAATCCACACAGACATTAGTGATGGCGTAGTTGGGTTGGAATGAGCAATCTTTCAATTATGATGTAGATCTTCACCATCTTCTGGCTGGAAAGTCAACTGTTTGGCTCTGATGTAATACTTCCAGGTTCAAAAGTTGAACTTATTAAGGCTTCTTGTTTTTCTTGCTATATCTTCACTGCTCATTAGTACCTGGAAAGGAAAGAAAAGAAACGCCAACATCTCAAGTTTGGGAAAGAAATTGTTTGCTAAAATTAGACTTCTAGGAGTCTATTTATCCATGAGGATCGTTAACTAAACCTAATCCTGTCTTTTTACACCACAGGTAATTGAAAACTGGCTCCCTCCCTTCACTTCCTCACTCCCTTCCTCCTGTCCTCCCTCTGTTGATTCCTTCCCTAACAATGCACATGCTCCTCTTTAACGGTTCAGTACTCACAGGTCCTTATGTGCTAGAATAGTAACAAGCCTCCAGATTCTGTCAGGGAATTCTGATAACTGCGAGGTAACTTTGAACCCACAGTTTGGATTGGTCTTTCTCTCTGGCCTGTTTCTTATGCTGTTCCTATTTATTTGTAGTGGCTACAAATATTTTGAGTAGGTTGCTCAAAATATCTTCTGAAGTGTAAATGACACATTTTTTAAATGACAAATATTTAAAAAAATAATAGCAGTAGTACTGTAGTAGATATGTACAGCTAAGGTTTGGTGAGCCCAGAAGAGGCAGCCCTGAATTATGCCGGCGGACTTAGCAAAGACTCCACAGACAAGGGGCATCTGAACCTAACCTAGAAGGAAGAATTGAACTTAGGCCAATGGTAGTTGTGGCTGAGAAGTGGAAGCCAGGGAGGGGCTGAAGGATGGGCTGAGGGAGGGGCTGAGGGAGGGGCTGAGGGAGGGGATGAGGGAGGGGATGAGGAATGGGATGAGGGAGGGGATGATCTTCTAGGTCAGTGAATTTCAAATTTTTTGGTCCCAGGTGACTTTTACAATCTTAACAATTTTGTTTATAGAACAGTGTGTTCTATATACTGATATTTACTAATCAGAAATTAAAACTGAGAAATGTTTATATTTTAAAATATTTCTTTATTCATTTAAAACATAATAAAGTGTTATTACATGTTGTCATAAATACTATATTTTATGAAAAATAAATACGTTTTCCAAAACAAAAATTCACGAGAGGAGTGGCCAATGTCTTTGATGTCTAACTTCAGAGCAAACAGCCAGATACTCACATCTGCCTCTGCAGTCAACCTTTTTCAAAACCACATGCTGCGAAACCTCTGGAAATGACCATTGTACAGTTATGAAAGAATGAAGGTGAAAGAGGCAAATGACACCGTAGCATTGTGATAAAACTGCTTTGACCCCTTTAAGCCTTCTGAAAGTTTCCTGGGGATGGACACTTTGTCCCCAAATCACACAGCCCTCTCTCCTGAGCCCTCACCTGTGTGGCCACTTCCACTGGGACCATCCCATGTGTGCTTTGACATGTCCAAGGCCGACTCCCTTCATGTGCATCTCATTTTCCTTAGTCCATGTCCTGCCTCATGCAGAAAACTAATGTCCCACTGCTGCTTCCCCCTCCTTCCCTCCTTAGCTTCAGTCTCCGGTCTGGAGCATTCTAGCTCCTTAGCAACAACTCCGCTCCTTTAATGCAAGTTCTCAGGCTGTGCTCTAGCACTAAATAGCCTTCGATCTGACTTCCAGACCCTAGATACGGCTCCCCTTACTTCCTTCTCTCAACGTTCCCACAAGGATATTCATAAAACGTAAGCCTTGTATGTCTCCCACCCAGCTTAGAATCCTTGAATAATTCTCTAGTGCCCTAAGATGAAATGAAAACTTTTTAGCATATCTTAGAGTCATGTTTGTCAAAATGCTATAAGCAACGGTGATGTGGGTCATAAAATTCATTTAGTGAGTCAGGACTATTATCTTATAAAAACCATGACAAACTGGAATAGGAAATATTAAAATGCATTGCAAATCAGTCTAAGCACACATCCTAGCTCATCACACTTACGCTGTGTTTTATGGACGTGTCTGTGTGTGTGTGTGTGTGTGTACAGGGTCTTGGGGCAAAATGCATTTCTGACAATGGGTCATGGTCAAACACGTTTGGAAAACACTCTTTCAGAAGGCTCCTGACTACTTCTTTATTTTCAAAGACAGCTTCTTCCTTCTGGACCTCCAGCCAATACAGATTACTTCAGAAGCTTTAGGACGTTTTGCTTCCCTTTGAGCCTGTGCTCATGCTTTCCACTCTAGGATGAACTGCCTTTTCTCTCCTTTACTCAGGTAATTAGGACTCATCTTTTAAGATTTAGCTTGTAGCTTGCCTCTGGGACATCTCTCTGCCCATCACCTCCCTTCCTCTCCTTCAGCCTCCCCAGGACTGCTTCAACACCCTGACAGAGTCTGGTGCAGGGTTCAAAAAATTAGATAATTAACTGTTCACCTGTTTGCTCCCCTCCTTGGCTGTTGGCTCCCTGACGACCTCTTTCCCTGTGGCTCTAGTGCAGTCTGGATGGAATAAAAGCTCAGTCTCATCAGTTCTGCCCTCGAAAACCCTGGAAGGCATTCTTGAGGCCTCCTTGTTTCTCAGTCCCCATATTGAATCAAACAATGCTACCCCAGGGATGGAAGGGAGGACTTGAGCACATTCTTAAATGTGGCTCCTGTAATTTTTAACACATTGACACATGCTACATTGACGTGACATCTTGAAGACATGGATGGTGCTGTGAAAAGTTATACTGTGAGACTCAGTTCAGCATGCTTGCACATCTTTCCTCTCCCCATCAAGCACCTCTCCCTTGGGGATACTTCCCCTCACTTCCCAGGCTGGGTCAAACTTCTGCATCATTGCCTTTTAGCACTTTGTACTTCCAGTTGATAACAGCTATGGCCCTTGAAATTTTGCCTTCATTTTTATGTTTATGTGATTAATGGTTCTCTAGACGCATTAGAAGTTCCTTGCCAGAATATATGTTCCAAGAAGCCAGGAATTGAATTTATTTTTGCTCTGTAGTATCCACAATAAATGTTGAAGAAATGAATGGTGATAAGAAGTCCTAGCATGACCAAGACAAGGTAGTTCGAGCAGGTGGGAGGAGGACACAGTCTGAGAGGCACAAACACTAGAGTGGTAATGATTAATTTTACCCATCAGCTTGGCTGGGTCATGCATCCAGAGAACTGGCCAAACATCATTCTGGATATTTCTGTGAAGACTCTGTGTATATGTGTGGATAAGATTATTTTAAATTGGTGGAATTTGAGGAAAGCAAATTGCCCCCCATAATGTGGGTGGGACTTGTCCAATCAGCTGAAGGCTCAAATAGAACAAAAGACTCATCTCTGGGCAAGATGAAACTCTGCTTGCAGAAAACCCTTGGACGTGAACAGCACCAGTAACTCTTTTGGGTTCCCAGCTTGACAGCCTACCCTGAGGATTTTTTACTTACTAGACTTCATAATTCCATGAGTCAACTCTTTAAAATAAATCTCTCTTGGCTGGGTGTGGTGGCTCACATCTGTAATCCCAGCACTTTGGGAAGCTGAGGCAGGCAGATCATTTGAGGTCAGGAGTTTGAGACCAGCCTGACCAACACCGTGAAACCCCTTCTCTCCTAAAATACAAAAATTAGCCAGGCGTGGTAGTAGATGTCTGTAATCTCAGCTACTCGGGAGGCTGAGGCAGGAGAATCACTTGAACCCACAAGGCGGAGGTTGCAGTGAGCCGAGATCGCGCCACTGCACTCCAGCGAAGGTGGAATGCAAACAAACAAACAAATAAATAAATAAATAAATCTCTCTTTCACAGTTGAGAGGTGTGCCATGAAATAAAAAATAAAAAATAAAATAAAACTTTCTTTATGTATACCTTCCTTTCGATTCTGATTCTCTGGACAATTCTGCCTTATAAAACTGTGAGGACTGCATGTTGTCCTGAGGTGCTGGGTTTCATCCCATGGCCCAGGGCATTCTCTTAGAGGGGGTTGGTGCCCATTCGCAGGGCTGGGGGAAGCAATCATGTCAGCGTGACTCACTTGCTTGGAGATTCAAGTTCCTTAAATGCTTTGGGGGAAAACAAACAAACAAACAAACAAAAAACATAGAAACTACTTATATACTGAAATAAGCATGGGCATCATATAAACTACAATTCAAAATTTATCTATGTTGGATACACAAAGCAGGGGACTTCAGAGACACATTGTAGATGCAGCCAGCACATTGGCCCTCAGCCAGTAGACACCCTTGGGGGTGTGGCTCCCCCATCTTTAGTCTCAGGATTCTTTTTTTTTTTTAAAGTTTTTTTTTTTTATTATTATACTTTAAGTTTTAGGGTACACGTGCACAACGTGCAGGTTAGTTACATATGCATACATGTGCCATGTTGGTGTGTTGCACCCAGTAACTCATCATTTAACATTAGGTATATGTCCTAATGCTATCCCTCCCCCCTCCCCCCACCCCACAACAGGCCCCGGTGTGTGATGTGTGATGTTCCCCTTCCTGTGTCCATGTGTTCTCATTGTTCAATTCCCACCTATGAGTTAGAATATAATATAATGTGCTGAGAAACAGTCCTGAGCAACAGTAGGAGAAGAGGAGATTTCAAAGCAGGTTTCAATAACATTACTCTGGAAGGGGTGTTGAGGCTCCACTGGTGGAGTCTGGTTGGGAGAATAAGAGAGGTGATGGCAACAGCCCAGGAAAGACAAGATGGGGCCTACAAGGAGGTGGAGAAAATTCCGACCCATCACTGAAGGTCTGGCTCAGGGTCCTCTTCTCCCCTTTCCTGACTCTCCTAAGCAGCTTTGTCCACCTTAATCTGTGCTCTGCAAATATCTGTTATCTCAATCACAGTGCCTCCTACACACATTGTGGTTATTTGTTGAACTGTCACGCTAGACTGGGAGCTCTCTGAGCACACATCCTGGGTCTTATTCATCTTTCATTTCCCTGCCTAGCACCAGGCACAACCTTGGTGTGTACTGGTTGCATGGAAGACCAACTGACTGGCATTGCTGGTTGGCACTGCCATTAACTGAGGCAGATAATGCAAGGCATGCAACGAGTCTAAAGGAAAAGCTACCAAATTCACAAATGTCTCCTGTCATCTTATCATTGTCATTTATTATTTACTGTTACTTTGGTCAAAAGGTTTCAAAGATATCAAAACTGCCGAGGAAGCCCAATGACACACAGTCTAAATTACCAGTAATTTTAAGTTAGCAAATTCTTAATTAATGAGAATTTACTTTAAATGTAATTGGTTCTCATATGTTGGTTATGTTTTTTATGTTTTCACAAATATTTCCTTAGAATATGATGACGTAATATGGTAGAGTCATAGCATGTCTTTTAGCATAGTCTGCTTAAAATGTTGTGACCACTTAATAGCGATGTTCAAATGATCAAAAGTTGCATCATTTTTAATCTAGAGACAGCTCAAAAAAACTCAAGCCTTTGGTCATGTCAAAAGGAAGTCTCACATTCCAGGTTCAAAGGGAAAGGACATATCATCTCTAGAGTATAGCTAATTGCCATAGTGTGTATATTTTCAGAGTTATCATAGGCTAAGTGTTTTGGTGGGAGCATTTCTTCTCCTGTATCTTTTATTGTTTCAGTCTTGGACATTTAATCCATCTAGATTATTAAATATGAATGAGAAAAGTTGTGCTCATCAAGTTTCAGATATTCCCAAAGTTACAAAGGCCATTGTCCAAGGGCATTTTTAGAACAATCCTGGATGGTTCAGGTGTCTCCTCTGTGACTCAGTCATTCCAGAGTCTTGTTTCCTTGCCTGGCACTTTCTTAAAGACATGTAGTGGGGTGTGGTAGACAGAAAATAAATGCATGACACTTTTTAAAGAATTTTTCTTTATATTATTATTGAGATTTAAAAATATCTTTAAATAACTATTAAACAATAGAAATATTGAATGGTATTCCCTCCTTTTCTATCACTATCAGGATGGCTCCTTTAAAATGTAATGTAATCATGTTGTGTTTGTTTTTCTCTGCCTATTTTGATATAGTAAAATACTGTCTGGATTCAATTGTAAAATGTATATTTAGCATACTAACAACAACACAAAAGGCTTTGATTTTAAAAGGAAAAAAATTTCACAATCTTGCACATCAGCTGTTTCCACTTAGTGTTTGCATGTTCATGCTCATACAATTCCTGACACCATCATATTCATGATAAATAGTTTTTTGATTTGATTTCGGAAATCTACAAAAACACCCAGGAAATATGAAAGAGAGGGAAATTAAGAGCACTTACGGGTGGGGTGGGGTTGAGGCACCCAGGGCAGAAGAACCCAAAGAGAGTCTGAGGTGTGGAGGGAGCCTTGGAGGGCTTCAGATGACATCTTTCAAAATTGAAGAAAGCCTCCTCCGATAGACAAGTGTTGCCTCTGGGGCGTTTTCCTGGGTATTATCTGAACACTTCAACCTCAGAGCAGCTGGAGGGGAGTCTGCTTCAAGAATTTTAGCCCTACCTTGTGCCAGGGAAACTCCAGAGACCGGCTCACGGGCAACTTATGGCTTCCAACGCCAGGACTCCTGGCTGGAGCAGGGCTGGGCAGGCCTTCTTTGAGGCCACTGCCAGGCCCCCTCCATAACAATTGTGCCTGACATTTACAGAGCCTTCCTGGGTTCTAGGCAGGATTCAACTCCCTCAACAGCCAGTTTTCCATTATTAATACCTATCGGTATGCATCACTTTTAAAAAGGAAGATGAAAAATAACAAGAAGGGCATAAATACCCCCTCAAATCTTTGATAACTGAGGTGTGCAATATTATAGGGAAAAGAAATATGGCTTTTCAGTTGTTTCACTGTATTTGAGGTCTTCATTTGGGTTCTAGACAACTCCCACCAACAAACACTCACACACGTACACACACACCACACACACCCCACAGATACACAGTGGTCTTGCTTCATAAGACAAAGGAGACTTTCCATATCCCTTTCCTGATCTAACCAGGTCAAGTCTCTCTATTATCCTCACTTTGAACACCATGTATCTCTAATTAAACAGCACTTTGTGATGTTGTAATATTATAAGTATAGATTTTTAAAATTAATATGTTTTTCTCAATTTTTCATTCTGTGTTACAAAAACCATCACTTCCCTCCTTCCTTCCTTCCTGCCTCCTTCCCTTCTACCCTCCGCCCTTCCTCACATTATCCTGCAGCACTGGGCATGTTACATGTAAGCTGAATGATGCACACAATGATGATGGAACACTGGCAGAGGTGACTCTGCATCCTCATTCCCTTGCAAAGGGGAAACTGTAGACCCATCTGTATACATGTTGAGCTTTTCTACATGAGGGAGAGGTGCTGGAATGTTTAAAGTCATTATTTCTTCTCTCTGGACTGTTAACATGCCCTCAGCTTCTCTCATCCACAGGCAACTGAATCATTGGCTCATTGTAAGCCAGCTAGCAGAGGTCTCTGGTTGTGGTGGTGATATGGTTTGGATTTGTGTACCCACCTGAATCTCATGTTGAATTGTAATCCCCAGTGTTGGAGGTGGGGCCTGGTGGGAGGTGATTGGATCATGGTGGCAGATCTCCCTTTTGCTGTTTTTGTGATAGTGAGTGAGTTCTCATGAGATCTGGTTGTTTGATAAATGTCTGGCATTCCCCTCTGCTCGCCCTCTTTCTCTCCTGCTCCAAGGTAAGATGTGCCTGCTTCCCTTTCACCTTCTGCCATGATTGTAGGTTTCCTGAGGCCTCCCCAGTCATGTTTCCTGTATATATATATATATATAAATATAAATCCAGTCTCATGTAGTTCTTCATAGCAATGTGCGAATGGACTAATACAAGTGGGTCCCAGGCATCATGCACACAGATATGTGTATGGTCATAGTATGGTATATGTGCAGATTTGATGTAGAACTACACGATGTTCTAGGGTCTTGCAGACATGCATATTCAATGAATAGTACATAAGAATTATCCACCCCCATTGTTATGGTTGTTATTGACTCAGTTTGCCACACTTTCGTGCTTAGCTTTCATTTAGCAAAAACCAGCCCTCATAAATCAAGCTGCATATGACACGATAGAAGGGAAAGTGAGAAGATTTGCATTATCTTCTGGGAAGGATTATAGAAAGGAGCTTCATTAGAAATTGGGAGTGACAGGAAGAGAACACTTTTTTTTTTTTTGTTAAGTCTAACTCCCATCTGTGGAAGCACAGAGGCAAGATGCCTTCCCATTGCATGGAGCCCCTATAATTGATGCATGTGTGGTGGCTGGGAGAGGAAGACTGGGCCAAGGACATCATTTGCTGTCTGTTTGGCAAATAACTGCAGGGTGGTCTTATATAAATCATATTTATGGGTGTCATCCAGAGCTAGAAAGGGTGATGAGGCCACAGAATGTCATGCTAACTGGGCAAGGCAGTCATGGGTATGTTTGAAAATACAAAGCAGAACTTTGTTGAATGTTGACCCCTTCCCCTGGCCCCCTGATTAAGACAAGAATAGAAAAATACATGGATCTCATGTAAAATGGAATTTTGTTTAATAAGATGAGAAGGAGGAATAGCAAATTTTCATTGTGGAAATAACCGCCAAAAGTCTAGATTGTTGTAAATATGGTTTCCCAATAGTACCATCAAGGAAAACAACACAAATATTTGTATGTGATGGCTTAAAGTGAATGAAGACTGGGTGAATTTATAGGCTTTGGAGGATTTGTTCTCAAGACAGCTGTTGGGCTGTACCTCAAGCAGTGTCAGGTCAGTGAAATCAGCACACACATAGGACAAGGCATAACAGAGCACCTTGTAATTTGCAATATTTCATTAAAGACTCACACAAAAATCAACGTAATGTGATACTTGCAACTTCAAAAGCAAATCTCAGTTGATAATAAATCGTCACATGCTGACAATCTTGGTGAAGGAAATGGCACTGTTTAGGGTGAAGAAAACCTGCCTCAACGTGTAGTTCTATTTTGAGAGTCAGGGTTGGTTCACCCTGGGGAACTATTGGTCCAGTTGAGGGGACCTTCAATTACTACAAGGATAGCCAGTCCTCCTCATTGCCTTGATGGTTTTGAATTTCCAGGCTTTAAAACCTGATCCTTTAAAGGCAAAGCAGGGGGCAACAAGATGCAGAGATAACAGCAAGGCAGTGGATGTGACGGTTTGCCACCTTTGTGTTTTTGTTGTTTGCTTGGAGTGAAATAGCCACAACTTGCAATTTGAAACTAAAGGTGGATCATTCTAAGGTCCCAGTGGAATCATGTTGATGAGTAGGGTGGATCTAATCCAGAAAAGCATAAACACCAGCCTCAGCTAATTCAGAAAGGGCGTGCCCAGTGAGGTTGGGAGATTGGTGGTCTCCTTTGTCAGCAGATGAGAATAGCTGAAATTTACATTCTTTCCACAGGCTGCCAAATACACAGACACACGCATTCACCTATTATGTGGGTTTATATGTGCAAATAGGCAGGCCAAAAGTAGGATTAGATGAACCTGAATCAGAGGAATGATCAAAACTGGATAAGTGATTCTTTTAAAACATTAAAGTGTGTGTGTGTGTGTGTGTGTTTTATTTTGCCATGTATAGTGAAGTGGAGCAGACACTGGATTTTTCATCTTAGAAAACCTAGATTTTAATCTTACCTTGACCATTTCTAGGTGTGCTTTCAGTGGCACATTATTTAAGCGCTCTCATTTCATTTCTTTTTTTGTAAATTGGCTTTAGTATTAATACCCAGTTCACACACATCTTTTTAAAAGGATTAAACATACCTGGTGGAATGCCTGCCTCTTAAAGGGCATGCAGTCAAGTTCAGCTACTGTGTTTAGTAATGTATCTGATGATAGGCACATATTTTAATATTCTATTACTTAACTTCACAAAATTACTTATTCACACAAAAGAAAGCAGAGGGTGCAAAGGTTTATTTGACTTTACGTCAAAAACACAACACACTCCTCTCTGCGTTATTTTCCTTTTCTTTCTCAAATCTTAATGCTGTGACTACTTTTCTTCCATTTAGTTAAGAAAAGTCAACATTGCTGAAGGCTGTTTATACTGCTTGGGGATGATGAACCTCTATCCCATAATCCAGCCCTTGGTTTAATTCCATCTAGCCCACATAGATAAAGGAAAAACAAAAGAGTTTATACTTCTCTTTCAACATTTTAAAGAAGTAAACTTTTCTAAATTGTTTCATTTTTAAGTTATTTTTTTCAAAGTCGTAGCCAAATATATACATAACAAAACCTTTCCCATTTTAACCATTTTTAATTATACAATTTGGTGGCATTAAATACACTCACAGTGTTTGGCAACCATCATCACATCCATCTCCAGAACTTTATTATCATCCTGAACATAGTACCTATGAAACCTGTGATGGTTAATGTTGAGTGTCAACTTGATTGGATTGAAGGATACAAACTATTGATCCTGGTTGTATCTGTGAGTGTGTTGCCAAAGGAGATTAACGTTTGAGTCAGTGGGCTGGGAAGGGAAGACCCACCCTTTATCTGCGTGGGCACCATCTAATCAGCTGCCAGTGCAGCTAGAATATAAAGCCGGAAGAAAAATGTGAAAAGAGAGAGACTGGACTAGCCTCCCAGCCTACATCTTTCTCCTGTGCTGGATGCTTCCTGCCCTCGAACATTGGACAGGTTCTTCAGTTTTGAAAGTAGACTGGCTCTCCTTGCTCCTCCGCCTACAGATGGCCTAGTTTGGGACCTTGTGATTGCGTGAGTTAATACTTTATATATATATATACACACACACACACACACACACACACACACACACATACACATTATATATGTATATATATATATTCTGTCCCTCCGGAGATCCCTGACTAATACAAGACCATAACTTTCCATTTTACCATCCCCTCAGCCTCTGGAACCTTTATTCTACTTTCTGCCTCTATGAAGTTGAAAGTTTTGGATATCTCGTGGAAGTGCAATCATAGAGTATTTGCCCATTTATGTTTGGCTTATTTCACATAGCCTGTCCTCAAGTTTCATTCGTGTTGTAGCATGCATCGAAATTTCATTTCTTTTAAAGGTCAAGTAATATACCATTGTACATATACACAGTCAACCCTCAGTACTTGGGGGTTGGACTCAGGACCCATTGCAGATAACAAAATTTGAAGGTGCTCCAGTCCCTGATATAAAATGATGTAGTAATCACATATATCTTACACATATGTCATGTATACTTTAAATAATCTCCAGATTACTTATAATATGTAATACAATGTAAATGCTATGTAAATAGTTGTTATACTGTATTTTTATATGTATTATTTTTTGTTGGTTTTTAAATTGTTTTTTCCAAACATTTTTGATCTGAGATTGGTTGAATTTGTGGGTGCTGAACTACAGATACAAGGGGCTGATTGTACCACATTTTGTTTATTTAGTCATCCAATTATAGACATTTGGTTGTTTCTACATTTTCACCATTGTAAATAATGTGCTATGAATGCTGGTGTACAAATATATGTTTCTGAGTCCCTGCTTTCAATTTCTTTGGGTATATTCCAAGAAGTGAAATTACTGAATCACATGGTAATTCTATGTTTAATCAAGGCAGGCAGATCATGAGGTCAGGAGTTCGAGACCAGCCTGACCAACATGCTGAAACCCTGTCTCTACTAAAAAAAAAAAAAAAAAAAAAAAAACTAATCGGCATGGTGGCACATGCTTGTAATCCCAGCTACTCAGGAGGCTGAAGCAGGAGAATTGCTTGAACCTCGGAGGCAGAGGTTGCAGTGAGCAGAGATCGAGCCACTGCACTCCAGCCTGGGTGACAGAGGGAGACCTTATCTCAAAATAAATAAATAAATAAATAAACCATTGACCTGTTTTTCACAGATGCTGCATGATTTTTCACTTCCACCAGGAAGGCACGAGGGTTCTGATTTCTCCATATTCTTCAACACTTGTTATTTTCTTATTTTGACATAGTTATCCTAATGAGTGTGAAATGGTATCTCATTGTGGTTTTGATTTGTAGTTCCCCAAAGGCTAATAACATTGAATATCTTTAATGTGCTTATTGAGCATTCATATCTCCCTTGAAGAAATGTCTATTCAAGATTTTGGCAAATTTTGATTTGGGTTATTATTTGTGGGTTTTTTTTTTTTGGTCACTGAGTTATGGAAGTTTTTTTAAAAAAATATATTCTGGATGTTATTTCTTCATTGGATATATGCTTGGCAAATATTTTCTCTTATTCTGTATGTTGTCTTTTCACTCTCTTGTTAGTATACTTTAATGCATAAATGTTATAAGTTTTTGTAAAGTCAGTTTGTTTTTCGTTTGTTAATTGTGTTGTTTGAGTGATTTTTTAAAAACAAGCATTTATTAAATGCCTCTGAGTACCCTTGTCCCCAGTGTGGTTGATCTCAGAGAATCAACTGTGCAGGGTGATCTTGCGGACCCTGCTTCCCTGGGTGCCTATATTTCTTTGTGTACCTCAGCTGACATAAATGACACTGGTGTTTCTTGACACCTTCATTTAGATGCCCATCACCAAGGGGAGAGTTTAGCTGAACAATAGTGATCACTCCTATCATGCTGGCATTTGTGTTTTTGGAAACCGAAACATCCTGGAAAAATTCTCCCAGTGATTTAGTAATTTAATTTCACAGTGTGCTTCATTTCACTGTACGTAAGTATAATTGCATAAATAGCAACATTTAGAAATACATGGTATATTAGTCTGTCCTCACATTGGTATAAAGAAATTCCCGAGACTGGGTAATTTATTTTTTATTTTATTTTATTTTTTTTTGAGACGGAGTCTTGCTCTGTCGGCCAGGCTGGAGTGCAGTGGCGTGATCTCAGCTCACTGCAAGCTCCGCCTCCCGGGTTCACGCCATTCTCCTGCCTCAGCCTCCCGAGTAGCTGGGACTACAGGCGCCCACCACCGCCCCCAGCTAATTTTTTTTTATATTTTTAGTAGAGACAGGGTTTCACTGTGTTAGCTAGGATGGTCTCGATCTCTTGACCTTGTGATCCACCCGCCTCGGCCTCCCAAAGTGCTGGGATTACAGGCGTGAGCCACCGCACCCGGCCGAGACTGGGTAATTTATAAAGAAAAGAGGTTTAATTGGCTCATGGTTCCACAGGCCCTATAGGAAGGATGGCTGGGGAGGCCTCAGGGAACTTAACAATCATGGCAGAAGGTGAAGGGGAAGCAGGCAAGAGAGAAAGCGGGGAGATGTCACACAATTTTAAACAACCAGATCTCATGGTAACTCACTATCAGGGAAACAGCACTAAGGGGGAAATCCTCCCTCACGATCCACTCGCCCCCCCACCAGCCCCTACCTCCAAAATTGCAGATTATAATTTGACATGAGATTTGGGCGTGGACACAGACCCAAACCATATCATACGGACACATATTGATTATTATAAAGTTGTTTTCTCATTCAGTCAGTTGTTTAAACCCACAGAATTCTATTTTTTAAGATCTAAAATTTGTTAGATATTCCGTAAGGAAAAAAATAATCAAATCTTGATTTATACTGGCTGCCATGACTTATAATGCTCATGTACTTTCCTGAGACAGGCAGCATTCAATTTGCTTTCCCCTAAAGTAAGTCATAAATTTTTCATACTTTAAAGTAACTAGGATTGGATTACCTAACTCCTACCATATACATTCTTCAACTTTTCCTCCCTTCCTCTTTGAGCTCCCGGAATCTTAAAAAGAAATTATTAGTTGCCTTAGCTGACAACATAAGTACTTGGGCTGAAGGTTTACCCTCAGCAGGACCAATGGAAATTTTAATATCACCAATTCGATTACTCCATAAAGTGTAAGCTCTACAATACCAAACTTCTTATATGTTTGAAAGTCTTCTAAAAGTATACAAGTAGTCATTTCTCAACTGCATCTCCACACTGAAGAATGGAGAGGCTAACAGAAGGTTAAGGAGACAGCTTTACTAAGTTGTGCTAAGTTTCTTAATATCAGGGGACACGTATGCAGATACACATATAAACATGTCACTGATGAACACAAATTAGAATCTCTACTGAATGAAGAACAATTCATAAGTCAAATTCTTGGTCAAATTTTAATTTAGAAAATTGTGGCCAAATATCTGTCTTTCTGACAACCATTAGCAAATAAGCTTTTAAAAAGCTGTTCTGCAAATGTGGTTGGATGTCAAAAGTCCTGTTTTATACTGCTGAGCTAGGTTCAGCAAGTCTATAGTTTAATAATTGTTTTTAATAGTATATGTCTTTACAATAATAAGAGCCCAGGCTAAGAAATTAAGCCCCATATTTCAAAAATATATTTATTTGACCTATTATGCGTAAGAAACAATAGAGTGCAGAGTGGCTTAGTGCGAAGCCTGTGTAATACTCCTGCATGGGTTGGTGGAAGTTTTGAGTGTTCAGCGAGATAATGCACATAAGGCTCTTGGCACCTGGCCCAGTGCAGAGGACAGGGGAGGACCTTGAGGCGACCCTGGGGAGGAGACTGAGTCCAGGTCATACAGGACTATGTAGGAGACTTTGGTTTTTGCCAGAGCAATGTGAAACCATTGCAGGATTTTGGGTGGAGATGTGACATGATCTGATAAGACTGGTTTCTTTGCAGAGTTGAGACAAGTGTGGAGGCTACAGGAATTGGAGAAGCAGCCAGGGCATGAGGTAGACCTGGTGATGGGTTGGCTATATCAGATCAGAGTCCATTTCTGGTTTCCTTAACATGGTGGGTCTGGGTACCCACAGCAAAGAAAGCCATAATTAAAATAGCATCATGTCAGGAGGAGCTGCAGTGAATCATACGTTCAGGTTTATCACATAGAGCTTGAAGAGCTGCAGGAGGCAAATGGGGCCACTGACCTTGCAAGGGTTCAACTACCAGGCTCCAGGCACACAGTGCGGCTGGAATGTAAACCTGGTTCCAATTCCAAAGCTTGGGTCTTTTGTGAATGAGACTTTACCCGTGGCCCACAGTGATAGCACAACATCTTAGATTGGGCTGCTATAACAAAGCACCATGGAGTGGGTGGCTGATAAAAAACAGGAATCTATTTTCTTCCAGTTCTGGAAGCTCGGGATCAGGGTGCCACCAGGGTCAGCTTCTGGTGAGGGCTGTCTTCAGGGTTGCAGATGATCGTCTATTCCCTGTATCCTCACACGTTGCAGAGAGCAAAGGAGCTCTCTGAATTCTCTTATTTAAGGGAATGAATCCTGTTCTTGAAGGCTCCTCCCTCATAATCTAATTACCTCCTAAAGGTACCACCTCCTACTACCATCATATTGGGGGTGAAAATTTGAACAAATACATTTTGTGGGTACACAAACATTTGATTCATAATATGCTACCAGGGAGAGACAACTGAACTTGACCTCAAGACTCCTTGAGTTGAACCTTGTTATTTTCACTTACAAATTAATTAGGGATTCACAGGCAAGTCATTTCACTTTGAGACCCTCAGTTTCCTCAATTGTAATTTGGGACTACACTATCTGCCCTACTTGCCTCAGCGCCCTGTAAATGCTACTTGCTTTAGAATGTAAGTTATGGAAGAGGAAGCTTAATGGAAAACATCACTGGGTTTCAGTTCTATGACCTGGGTTCAAAAACTGTGTGGCCTCTGGGAAGCAATTTAAACTCTCAGAGTTGTTTTTTCTCCTCTGTCAAATATAAATATAATAGTTGCAAAGAACTAACATCTGTATTGGTGAGGTCAAATTACATAATGGATATGAAAATGATTTAAAAACTTTTAACATGAAATATAAATAGTTACTGTTCTCATGTTTATAAATCAGAGTTATTTTTGCATGGCCAAAGGAATTGATAAGTGATACAGAATCTTTTATTCAGTCCCTCCTGTGTACCGTGACCTAAATTTGTAAGTCAGATGGTCTGGACTGGAGATGTCTTCAATCTATTTAGTAAAGTTTTATTTGAATAATGCAAGGGGAGACTCATAGGACCAAACCCATGAAGACACAGCTTTTTCTTTATCCATATCATTCTCATATTAGGCATTGCATTGTATTTAGAATGCATAAATACAACCTAATTTATAAGTAGCATGGCATTTATAAGAGGCCGAGTTTCTAGATTAAATTTTGCTGGTTTGAGGTAGTTTATCCTATTTGCTTTTTAAGTTGAAATATATATATTTGAAATCTTGGTGAAGCTAATTGACATGGAATTGTTGTGATATGTGTACATACACATTCATTTAAATGTATTATTCCTGAGAAGTACTTTTTGGTTTGATTCTCCTTTGATTTCCAGAAGTTTTGCTGCTTGTCTATTAGCTTATTTCTTGCATTTTTCTTCCCAGTCTTCAATTACGTGGGGGGGTTTCATCTTGTGTAAGACATTTGGAATGAAATGTTGGAGGCCTTGCTCTATGTCTCCTGATGAGCGCGGTCTGCCTGACAATTAATCAGAATGCAGTGATCTGTTTACAGCCAACAGCAGTTAATCATGTGTGCTACAGTGTTCAGAAGAAGAGGCATTACCGTTCCATCCATTTGTCTCTGGTTTTCTGCCTCTTCTGCTCTGCATAGCTCATCCAAAACCGCTTCCTAGCCTCCTCATTAGTTTGCTGAAATTTACATGGGAAATTGTTGTTGTTGTTGTTGTTTTCGGTTTCCATTACTTCTGTCACTGCCTAAAGTTGTAATAATGTTCTTATTGCCACACCAGTGGTATTGGAGATGCAGTACAAGGTAATGGTTAAGACATAGGTTCTGACATTACACAGCCCTGGGTATACCACTTACTAACTAAATGACCTGAGCAAGTGATCCAATTTGGATATTTGTCCCAAGGCGAATCTCATGCTGAATTGTAATCCCCCAAGCTGGAGTTGGGGCCTGGTGGTAGGTATTTGGACCATGGGGGCAGATCCTTCATAGCTTGGAGCTGCCATTGTGATAGTGAGTTCTCATGAGAGCTTGTCATTCAAAAGTGTGTGGTACCTTCCCTGCAATTCTTTCTCTCTTGCTCCTGCTTTCACCATGTGATGTGCCTGCTCCTGCTTCACCTTCTCTCATGAGTAAAAGCTGCCTGAGGCCTCCCTACAAGCCAAGCAGATATCAGAGCCATGCTTCCTGTATGACCAATTAAACCTCTTTTTAAAATGAATTACCCAGTTTCAGGTATTTCTTTATAGCAATGCCAAAACAGCCTAATACAGCAAGTGACTTTACCTGCCTAGCTAAAATAGCCATTATGTTCACAGGTTCTAACAGCCTTTTCACAAGTTCTACCAGCCTCCAAATAAAAGTTTTGTAAGCCTGTCTTAGGCACAAGATACTAGTTAAAGTAAGTGCTAGTTGCTGCAACAGATACATCCCCAAATTTTAGTGGATTAACTTAGGAGAATGTATTTCTCACTGATGATGAGTCCAATTGCTGCCTTAGACGCTGCTCCATACAATCATTCAGGGACCCAGGGTGACAAGAAAATCTGCCATCCTCACCAAGTGTCTTCCTGGACATCAGCATTGGGCCAGAAGACAGAAAAAGAGAAAGAAGGTGACCATTTGGCAGAGTCTCGTGGGGCAGGCCTGTAAATGTTGTACTTGACTTCCACCCACTTTTCCTTGCAAGGAAGGAGACTGCAAGGAAGCCTGGAACTGACTGTGTGTCCAAGGGGAAAAAGAAATAGATTTGGTGAATACTTCCTCAGTCTTTGCCTTGGTCTACTTTCTCAGTCTGTGGGTGATATGAAAAATCTAGATATATGGCACACCTGCCTGCAGGTTATAATTCAGTGGAACAGGAGGTAAATGAAGCCATTAGAGAATAATGATGTGCTGAGTGATACAGTACTGACTGGAAGCACTAGGGGAGATGTGAACAAAGAGATCAAAGTAGGAAAGATCTTTCTGGGGAAGGTAATACCGGACATCTTATGTGACACTTGAATTTATCCTTAAAGACTTGCAAGTATCAGATACACATAAAGGAGGGGAAGGGTATTTGTATTCACTTCCCAGGATAACACAAAATTTATTCTGATGATTTCATTAATTTTGTTCCATGTATACTGCATGTAGATAAAAAGAGGAAAACCAATCAAACACTGGTGGCCTGCCAATTTTTTTCTAAGCTGATTTAAGTCTTTAGCCTCTATTTGATATACAGCCCCATGGCAAACATTGCTTTATGGGCTCAGATCAATGTATCCACAAAATGCAGACACTAAAACACTATGTTCACATCTGAAGATGCTGCGAATGTGGCTCTGCTCCATGAGTACAACCTACCACTGATCTGACATCTCCATTTGGATGTCTGAAAGGCATCACAATCTTAACACGTTCAATAATAGAGCTCTTGATTTTCCTCGACACCCTGACCTGTTCCCCATCTCAGTAAATTATACTGCTAGGCAATCAGTTGCTCAGGCCAAAAACCTGGGAGTCACCCTGGATTGCTCTCTTTCTCTCACTTTCCCACACAATCCATCTTTCAGTTCTTCTGCTGTGTCTTAAAGATATATTCTGGATCCAAAATACATCTCACTTTCTTCACAGCTAAAACTCCAGTCCAAGGCACCATCAAAGAGTTCTTTCTCCTTTTCCGCTTGTCCCCTAAAGATTTTTTTTTATATATACAGCGGCTGGAGTGAGCTTTTTAACACTAAAATTAGATCATTTTATTCTTCTTCTCAAAACTCTTTAAGGATTTTCTATAACAATCAAAGTCAAATCCAGTGGCCACGTGCAATGGCTCATGCCTGTAATTTCAGCACTTTGGGAGGCTGAGGTGGGAGGATTGTTTGACCTCAGGAGTTCGAGACCAGCCTGGGCAACATGGCAACGCCCCATCTCTACAAAAATACAAAACTATCCAGGCGTGGTGGTGTTTGCCTGTGGTGCCAGCTATTTGGGAGACTGAGGTGGGAGAATTGCTTGAGCCCGGGAGGTGGAGGTTGCAGTGAGCTGAGATTGTGCCACTGCACTCCAACCTGGGTGACAGAGTGAGACCCCACCTTAAAAAAATAGTCAAATCCAAGAGTCTCACCTGAAAAGAGCTAATCTGTCATTCTCCCTTGTGATCAATTTAGACATTGCACATAAGAAGCTCTTTGAGGGGTTTGCATTTGTGATTCTTTCTGAACAGAACTGTCTTATTCCAGAAATCCATGGTCCCCACTCCCTTACTTCACCAAAATTCCTATTCAAATGTCAGTTCCTAAAATAGGCCTTCCTGGACCTTTTATCTAAAAACTCCACCTAGAATACCTTCTATACCCTCACCATTTTTATTTTTCTTAGTGAACATGATCTCCATATGAAATATATAGTTGGTTTTTTGTTTTCTTTTGTTTTGTTTTTAAGACAGAGTCTCCCTCTGTCGCCCAGGCTGGAGTGCAGTGGCTCACTGCAAGCTCCGCCTCCCGGGTTCACACCATTCTCCTGCCTCAGCCTCCTGAGTAGCTGGGACCACAGGTGCCTGCCACTACGTCCTGCTAATTTTTTTTGGTTTTCTTTTGTATTTTTAGTAGAGACAGGGTTTCACCGTGTTAGCCAGGATGGTCTCAATCTCCTGACCTCATGATCCACCCACCTCGGCCTCCCAGAGTGCTGGGATTCAGGCGTAAGCCACCGCGACCTGCCTATGAAATATATAGTTTTTACTTGTGTAGTTTCATCTTCCCCAAGAATCCATGAGGCCAGGAACCTTGTCCAGAGTGTCCATCTCTGTGTTCCTCACAGGTAGGACAATATCTGCACATGCCAGATGGTTAATAAACTTTTCTTCAGGGAATAAGTGAGTAATGTATTTTAGGAGATACTGAATGTTTCTCGTCCACACTTTGAAGACTACACTGTGTCACTAATTGCCCTCTAGAATTGGGTACAATACTTGTGAACACCGATGGTCTCAGAAGTGCTTAAATGCATGTAAAGAGGCAAAGTGACTTTAAGTCACGTTAGAATATGTTCTACTGAACTCTGAATTTCCTTATGTCAAGGCATCTGTGGTAGAGCGCACAGGGATGGAGTCAGAAATCTTGCCTTCTAGCCCTGCTTTGGCTCCAGATGTAATTTACAAACTTGATCTTCAGTTTCTTCATACTTAACATGAAGGGGTTTATGTTCATGACCTCTTCCTAAGATTCCTACCAGTCTAATATATGTCAAATGTTTTAAAAAGGGACAGATAAGGTAACATTTCCTTTAAAAGTTATTTAAAGAAGTGTGTATCTGTCAGCATTCAATAAGAAAAGCAGAATCATTAGGAGGCATATGCGCATGTAAAAAGGAACTTGTTACAGGAACTTGAACTTCATAGATTATGGGAATTGGTTGAGCAGGCTCTGTAAGCCTTTAGCCTTTGTAGCTGGTGCCAGACCTTGAAGTCTACAGCACAGGCAGATGGGATGGAAGGTGGTGTGAAGCGGAGGACAGCAGGGAGAAACTGAAATCCATGAGAATGTGCTGAAGTCCATCAGATTGCTTCTGACCTTGATGGTTGGGGTCCTACAGGACAAGTTAAACCCTTTATCATAGAGCCAAATACACATCGGGCCAGGGAGTGAGAGAAACTGAGGGAGGATTCAGGGAGAGGTGTCACAGTTTCAGTTCCATCTGTTGCCCCAGGCCAATGAGGTAGCCATCAGATAAGGTAATACGCATCATGTACCAAATGGCTGCTGTCTCACTTCTGCCACCAGATCTTGCAAGGAAGGTCTCTCGTGACCCAACAGAACCAGAAACACACAAAGAAGGGAGTTCTGCAAACAGTAGTCCAGCCTAGTCAAGTGACAAAGCCTCCACAAAATAGATTTGTGATTTTATGAAACGATAGTTCTCAAACACATATAGGAAGAAAAAACCTCCCTTTTGTAAGTCTTTGAAACTATCAGTGTTTTAATAACAATGAAACCCTATTACAAATGATTAGTGTTGTAATAATGAATGCCTGGGCATAGAGAAGCAGATGCAATTCCACTTTCTCTTCATTCCTTGGAAAGAAGCTAGAGGATCATAGCATATGAATCTAAGGCACTAGGGGTCACTTAGTCTGTATTCTGTGTTTTATTGATGAAAAACCTCAGGCCTGGCAACATTTCATATTTTGTCCAAGGTTACACTCCTACATGTTTGTACCTCTCAGGATAGAGCTCAAAAGTCCTGAATACCAATCCTGAGTTCTTTCTATTTATTATCTCATTCCTATGCTCCAGAAACACAGGGCGGGTTTTGTCTTTTGTGGAAGAGGCTGGGCCTGCCTTACGTAACTAAGGACTCGTATTCACAAAAAGGCTGCTGCAAAGGGAAACGTGGCTTTGGGAAGCAGTTAATGGCCATTATCTTCCAAGTCTTTCCCTGAGCCAGGGGCTTGCTGTGTTGCAGTCCTGGTGTTCCTGGAGCCTTCGAGAGAGATGGGATGGTCCAGGGAAGAGGAGACAGAATCACTCTTTTAGAGGTACAGAAGGCTCAGCCTGCCTGCATCCACAGGCCCAGAATTTTGGCCCCAAGTCCTAAGTTAAATCAGGGCTGTGGGCTTGCTGTGGACTGACACAGATGGGTAGGAAGTGGGAGCACAGTAGCGACCACTGGCAAAACATACTATCCTGTGTAGACTGCAACAGGTGGAGACCCCTTGAATAAATGTATTACAAACCAGTAATGTGGAAAAGTTTTTTATTTCAATTCACAAAGAGAATCTCCACAGAGTACATGTTGATTCATTTTTCCCAGTGTGATATTTTGGTTTTATTGGTATTTACCATGACTATTGACTTGACTTGTACAACTATGGACTTTTGCAACTCCCTTAGTACATACGCACATAGGCTAAAACATTAACTTAAATCAACAGATATAAAATGCACAGGATGGCAGAAACTACCTGAGTTTAGTCGACTTCAGAGGCGAGGCCACCCACCCACCCACCCTGAAGCTTGTAAAGTCTTTCTGGCTGCAGGAAGTCAAGATGTCTGGGGTGTGTGTTGGAGGAGTCACTGTATCATCCCTTGAGTCATTGTATCACCCCTGAGTCATTGTGTCCACTGTCTCACATCTCGGACTTGGGAGCCTTGAGCTGAATATATTTACCATCTTAACTGTCATGAAGAATCGTAAAAGTGGAGGATCTTAGTCTAGAAAGTATGCGGTCAGCCAGGAATCTCAGCTAACGTAAACAAGGGGCCCTGTTTCTCAAGCGAACATTCTTCATTGTAAGGAAATTATTGCCCACAAACTAACCTGTAAAGTGAATTAATGCAGAAGTAACCACTTCAGGTTGATAAGGAGAAGGCCTAATTATAAATTGTCTGTTCTGTACAAAGTAGTTTTCTGGAGTCTTACTGACAAAAAATCCAAACTCCCATAAACGTGTCCATAGCTCCTTATTGATTTGTGCTGCGTTCCCAGGTGGGATGCTGAGACACCTTTTGAAATATCCACATTCATTCAACTGAGCATCAATTACAACTAAGAATATACCTAGCAAGGTGCTTGTTAAGTTTTAGGCTATATTTGGGGGCCATGGATTATACATTTCATTCAGGCAAAGTGAAGGAGCCTGAAAGGAATATCTACAGAGGATTCAACATGCTAACAAAGGAGCAGCTGGAGAAATGGGAGATTTAACCAAATTTGGGCAGAGTGAACATTGAACCAGTCTTTAAAAATTTAGAGATCTATTACATGGAAAAGGAGTCAATTTCATTGATAGCCTCAGGAAACAGAGTTAGAGCCATGGGTTAGGAGTCTTTGGAAGACAAATGTCAGCTCAGTATGATGGAGCAGTACTTTATATGCAGAATTGTTCAAAGAACAAGGTTCATGGAGAATGGGTGAGTTCCCATCATAGGACAGGCACTGCATCAGGCATGGTTCTTAGATTGCCATTAATAGAAACAGTCTCTGAAAATATATATAGGTTGGATTTCAAGTACCCCAGAATACCAAAAAAAAAAAAAAAAAAAAAAAAAGCTAAAGAACTAGGTCTCAACAGAAACCAGGGCAGCTTCTGGGACCTAGCTAGAAAAAAAACGAATGGGGTATCTTTTCAGAATGTCACCTTTGGGTTGAATGTCTTTCTCAACTCAGTTTCTGATTCCAAGTTAAGCACAGGCATCTGATTGGTACAGTTTGCATCATATAGTTCACTTTGTCTTATGCAAGGTCAGTGAGAGCCATGTGTGCAGTTGTGCACTGCACAGCTCCAGGGATTGCTATTCCCATGTGTGGAAAGGGCTGGTTCCCAATACCAAAATGAATGCTGGGAGGTAAGAACCACAAATAAAAAGAGGGAGAGTCATCATTTGTCAGGAAGATTGCAGAAGGCATCCAACAAGGAGTGGTTTATTTAGGAGGCCTTTCCACCCTGAAAGAGGATTCCAGGCATTAGGTTCTTTAACCATTTACTAACGTTGAGTAAGACATGAATTAATGTCTTACCCAGAATCATGTTTTGTTGTTTTGTTTTCATATTAAGTTGAAGGTAGAATCATATATTTTTGTGTGTTGAAACCCATTCCAGTCATCAGCAATTCTTTTGTCCAATTTTGTCATTTCAATAGTCTTTCTAAATTCCCACCCTTCTGTCATTCACCTTTGCCTCCTTTGGGAATATTGTTTAGTTGCACAGTTAACAGGCTAACTGTCCAGCCAACACTCAGTTACTGTTTTGATATTTTTTTGCCCAAATATACACAAATCTCCACACATATAAAATACCTAAAATTATTTTTCTATGCTCTGAGCTGCATTGTCAAGTAGTTTTAACTGCAGTTTAGTCATTTTCTATCTTTGAGTTGATACTCCATGTCAGCACCTTGTGAATTATTGCTGAGTAGGACTTCAAAGAAGTAAGGAATTGTGCTGAACTGGCAAAAACTGACAAGTAATCTGCAGTCCCACAGAGTAGTTGAACAGTAAATTCCCCAAGCAACACTTATCCCCACACTGCTGGCTAAGTGCTAGAATCAAGCTCAGTTTTCACTGTGAACTTTGCCAACAAATATACTGTTTTACTAAAAGTTTTTTAAGTTGTCTCTTGTGCATTTAAATTTTATTGGTGAGAGATTGAAAACTTTGCCAAGTATGTAATTGTGGCATTGTATGTTGTGAAATATAACAATTTTTTCCTCTAAGAGCTTTATTGAGATATAGTTTATGTACCATAAATTCATAAATTTCAATATACCATCAATTTTATGTAAGTTTTCAAAGTTGAACAGTCACTGTCACAATCCCCCCACCAAAAACAAAAACAAAAACAAAAAACTAAATCAAATTAAATATAACAAAACAACAACCAAAAAAACCTGTTTGTTTTTTAAATTTCCTCCAGTTGAATTGATCCTTGCTAATCAAAGAATTGGAGTATGTTCCTTTTGCCATATGAAAGCAGATACATATTAAAATATATTAAATTACATAAACTCTCCTCTTCAATTAAATTCAACAATCAAATAATTTTATTATATAGTATTCTGCAAGACTTGGCTTCCAGACCACTGACAGATTGTTCAGTAATTATCTGGATTTTTCTCTAATTCTTGTAAGTATGCTTATTTTTTTTAACTTCAGTTTGGTCTGCCTCTGAAAGGAACATCTGTGGTGACTTTTAAATATCTTAGAACAGTATTCTTTCCATGCTGACACATGTGGAGCTCATATAGTGTCTATACAACATCCTAGGGTTCATTTTTAAGACCTTTGCCAGGGTACACAGATAAAAGAATTGGCAGGGAGCCATAGTTTTGCCTCTCGACACAAGCAAGATTGGAACCAATTCACAGATCAAAGAGAGAGAGAAGAAAGAAAACTGGCTAAGATTCCATTTTGAACTACCCACCTCTGAATAATAAATAGCAACTTCCTCCATTCTAGATCATTGACTATCTATGAAAATATTTAAAAGAGATAATTAAAATGAAATAGGCATGCTTTACCACGGAATAATATGGTTTCCCCTTGGTCTTATGTATTTTCTTCCCTTGGGATCCTCAAAGACCTTCATCCATGTTGAACTGGGTCCTATAAAAATAGACAAGAAAATCTAAAAACCCTGAAGGGTTTGTTTATTGTTTATATTGAGACGTTAAGTAATTGTGTGTGTGTGTGTGTGTGCGCGCGTGTGTGTTTGTGTGTGCATGAGACTATCAACAAACAAAGAAAGGAGTGACAATTACAGAATTCAGAACAGTTGGGGAATCAGGAAGATGATAGGAGATGATAGCAATGGTATTTGTTAGTTCTTCTTATGTAGGATTTTTATTATTAATTTAATTTAATTTAATTTTTTTGAAATGGAGTTTTGCTCTGTCTCCCAGGCTGGAGTGCAGTGCCAGATCTCGGCTCACTGCAACCTCTGCCTCCCAGGCTCTAGTGATTCTCCTACCTCAGCCTCCCGAGTAGCTGGGATTACAGGCACATGCCACCATGTCCAGCTAGTTTTTGTATTTCCAGTAGAGACAGGGTTTTCCCTTGCTGGCCAGGATGGTCTTGAACTCCTGACCTCAGGTGATCCTCCCACCTTGGCCTCCCAAAGTGCTAGGATTATAGGTGTGAGCCAGCACACCCAGCCTATTGATTTTATTACAATGCTTCATAATGTAACTGTAATCTGTACATACACATGCATCAACTATACAAAAAAAATTTAAAAAAAGAATAATACTTCAGAATAATACCTTATAATTGTATTAGTCTGTTCTCACACTGCTATAAAGACATTCCTGAGACTGGGTAATTTATGAAAAAAGAGGTTTAATTGACTCACAGTTCTGCAGGCTGTATAGAAAGTATGGCTGGGGAGGACTCAAGAAACTTGCAATCGTGGTAGAAGATGAAGGGGAAGCAGTCACATATTCACTTGGCTGGTAGGAGAAAGAGAGAGAATGGGGAGGTGCTACATGCTGTCAAGCAACCAGATCTTGTGAGAACTCAATCATGAGAATAGCAAAGGGTAAGTCCGCCCCCTTGATTCAATCACTTCCCACCAGGCTCCTCCTCCAATACTGGGAATTACAATTCAACATGATATTGGAGTAGGGACACAGAGCCAAACTATATCAATGACCAACTAGCATTTATCCAAGGAATACATAAATGGTTTAACATTAGGACACTGATTTATGAGAATTAATTATTTATTGAAAAATAAAGCTAAAACGTGATTATCTTAACTGACGCCAAAAAAACAATTAATCGAACTCTAGCATTTCTGATAAAATACTTACTAAATCTTATAAAAGGTAATTTCCTTAACTTCATGAAGATTGTCTACTAGAAAGCTATGGGAAACATCATATTTACAGTAGAACATCAGTCATTCCTGTTTGAGCCTGGAATAAGAAAAGCTGCCCACTGTCACTATTTTAATGGAAGGTGCAAAAAAGGAAGGAATAATAATGCTGGAAAAAAGAAAAATTGGCATTGTTTGCAGAAAATCTATGGTCTATCAAGAAATTGGAAAAGGAAATACTGAAAATTTTCAGCAAGATGGCTGAATCAAAGGTCAATATTCAGAAACCAATAGCTTTTCTATACTAATAACCAATTTAAAATATGATAGAAAACGCATCCTTTTCACATAGAAGCATGGAAACCTACATAACAACTTTAAAAACTTAGTTGAAAGACCAAAATTAAGGTGACAAAATTAAGAGACATAGTATGTTTCTGAATATAAATACTCAATATTTGTTTATTCAACAAATATTTATTAAGCTCATACTATAAACTAGACATTTTAGTACATACTGAAGACAACACAAGAAAAAGTAATTCCTGCAATAAGGGACTGACAGACATTAAACACAGAAGTAAAAATACATAGTATGTCACATGATGATGAGTATTTTGGAAGAAAAATAATGCTGTAAAAATGGATTGGGGGTTCTGGATGCGTAGGGTGGGAATGCCATTTAAATATTAATAGAATGTTCATCAAGGTACTCATGAGGGAGGACGTATTTTAGATCATTAGCTTTCAAGAGGAAGAGTGTGCAGGGCAGGCAAGTGTCTGGTGAGTTGTGCATCAGAGAACAATGAGCTTGTGAATGGGCAGGGGAGGAAGGTGACCTGTGGGGCTGTAGAGCCCTGGAAAGACTCTGGGCCCTTGGCTTCTCTGCCTGAGGAATGGGAAGTCACTCACTGATGGACTGCCAGTAGAGGAGGCAGTCCACTTGCATTTTAAGAGGGCCATGCTGGTAACTAAACTGAGGAATGACTCAAAGAAGGAATTTATTTTTATTTATTTATTTATTTAACATTCTTTTTTTTAAATTATACTTTAAGTTTTAGGGTACATGTGCACAACGTGCAGGTTAGTTACATATGTATACATGTGCCCTGTTGGTGTGCTGCACCCATTAACTCGTCATTTAACGTTAGGTATATCTCCTAATGCTATCCATCCCCGCTACCTCCACCCTACAACAGGCCCCGGTGTGTGATGTTCCCCTTCCTGTGTCCAAGTGTTCTCATCGTTCAGTTCCCACCTATGAGTGAGAACATGCGGTGTTTGGTTTTTTAATAGTGAAAGCAGCAAGGTTCTTCAGGATGCAGGGTGGGAGGGAACTTTCTGAGAAATGGTCAGACTTTGGATGGATTTTAAAAGAGGGCTAAGAGAAGTTACTGATGGTTTGGATATGGTGTAGGCAAAACAAGGACTAATCAGGGATGAACATGATGATATTTATCCTCAGCAAATAGAAGGCAAAGTTGTCATTTACAAAGGGCCAAACTATGGTAGGGGTGGGAATGAGGACGATATATGGTGTAAGGATGGCAATTCTCCCTAAAATAATCATTAAATGCAATGCAATACCAACCCTAATCCCAACAGAGTCTTTTCATGGAATGTAAAAAGCTGACACTGAAATTTATCTGGGAAAAAACGGAATTAGACTATTATCTCACACCATACACATATGAAACATCTGTATAAACTAGAGACAATTGCAAAATCAAAAGTAGAATCAAATATAAGAAAATATTTTTATAATCTTGCCCTAGGGGCAACATTATTAAATGAGATTAAGAAGATGAAGAAAATTATTAAAAATGAAATTTCAGTTTAAGGTTAAAGACATAAAAGTGAGTGGAAGAAATTATTTGCAATGGGTATAAGAGGTAATGGATTAATATCCATACATACAAATAATGTCTATGCATCAATATAAATAACACAGCAACATCATATAAAAATGGTCTAAGACTATAAAAAGTAATTCACCAATACAGAAATTCTAGTAACAAAGAAACTTATGAAAAGCCAGTTTTACTTTTAATGGGATTTCTCTTTTAATGGAGAAATGCAAATAAAAGGCAGTTTCATTTTTAATGGGGAAATGCAAATCGAGTGGTATATGGGTGTTATTGTTTTTTTTCTTTTTTGGATGATAGTGGTAGCAGAGGGAAGAGAGCTACTTGACAAAGTAAAGAATAGATATTCAATGTCAGCAAGATCATGGGAAAAACAGATCCTTTTCTAGTTTTTTGCTGATTAATTCTTTAAGTTGGAACAGCATTTTTTATTTTGTGAAAGAATGTTTATTTAAATTATACTGATCCCTTGACCTAGAGACTCAAGAGAACACATTCCTGAGAAATATTCAGGCATATTCACTAATATTGCTGTGTAAAGATATCCTCTGCTACAAATACTTAGATAAAAGTCTATAAACATCAAAGTGATAGTGGCAGTTACCTCCCGGAGGCACGGACCTGTCCAGGAGTGGCAGGTCTCTGAAGGGAGTTTGAAGGTTCTTGTCTCTTTTGCTTTTTACTCCATGTCCCACTGTGTTTGGTTGTTGTTGGTGGTGGTGATAAGGGGAATACTATAATTATAATAAAAAGTACTAGTAGATAAGGAGATATGTATGAGAATATTAATTGTGATATTAAAATGAAACATTTAAATGAAGCAACAGTAAATGGTCTAGATGCCCAACAACAGTGGAATAATCAGATACATTATGCTTTATTACTATCATGCAATGTTTGGCAACTATCTTTCTAAAGTAACATAAGGATACCTAGAAAGTTATTTATAACATATTGTTCATATATTAAATATAAATTAAAGAGTTTATATGTTGTATATAAAAGTCTACATGAGTAATTTGTAAAATCAATTTAATGACTTAAACCTACATAGTTTTGTTTCCTTAAATCTTGATTTATATTGCTTAAACCATTAATTTGACTGTCACTTTATTTAGTAGATATTAATATTTTAATAATGACATTTTATCTTATTTTACGGGAATTCTATGTTATGCAAACTGTGCCAATTATTCACCCCTGAGGAAATCCTGAGACATGCATGTGACATTGTCAGAAGCATTGTGATTTGGCTAATGGAAACTTCCTAAATTAGAAAGATAGTTCTAAGAATAAAATAGAGTTTATATAAGATTGGCCCTGCAAACCCAAGGTCATGAGCAATCAGTTAAATAAAGCAAGGATGTATGTTGCAAATATCATAATGGCCTCAGCAGAATGGCTGAAAGTTTAAAAAGAGCTTTTGTAATGCTAGAGATAAGCTCTAGTCACCTGATAATTTACCCCTTCTCTGACAATAGCAACTCAATGCTATTGTTTTATATGGACTACTTTTCCTTTGTGGAGAAAGAACTGTATCAGGAAACAAACAAACAAACAAACAAAAACTATTGTATTGATCTTAGCAGAGGAAGAACAAAATTTTTAAATTTAGAAAATATACCTGGCTATATAATTTTATAATAATTGATTCAACCAAGTAATGCTCACTAACATCATGTTTTTATTTGCAGTGTTGGACACACATATGAGTGAGGAACAAAGGAAAATTAAAAAAATGTAAAAGCTGAAATTCTCATTATAATTTAAATTTTTCTGAAAAAAGTTGCTCTCAAATATTATACATATTTGAAAGTTATAATTACTTAATATTGTGACTCCTTAAAACACAGTAGTAATTTTAAGATGTGGTGACAGATTTTTAAAGCAATGTCTTTAGTTAGGTCCACAAAATAAATATTTGTTGAAAATCTGCCATGCGTAAATAAGTTTTCTGAATTCAACTTTATGCATTCAGAGGGAAAACTTTTAAAAAATGTTACATTGTTTTCAAAAAGTTTGTAAACACAGTGCAGAGATGTGGATCTGTTGTTACCTCAGTCTACATTTTGAAGTGCTTTTCTGAGTTAGTGACTCTTTGCTGCGAATTTGATTCTGCTGTTTAAACTTCCAATTTTGGGTTATAACAAGGTCCCTGGAAGTAAACCAATATCAATCACTCCAATATTGGTAGATATCCTGGAAATATTTGACATATTTAGACCCACAAGATGTTAGTCCCTAAAAATTGTACTTTCTTTTATTTTTATTTTTATTTTATTTTATAATTATTATATTTTAAGTTTTAGGGTACATGTGCACAACGTGCAGGTTTGTTACATAGGTATACATGTGCCATGTTAGTGTGCTGCACCCATTAACTCGTCATTTTGCATTAGGTATATCTCCTAATGCTATCCCTCCCCCCTACCCCACCCCACAACAGTCCCCGGTGTGTGATGTTCCCCTTCTTGTGTCCATGTGTTCTTATTGTTCAATTCCCACCTACGAGTGAGAACATGCAGTGTTTGGTTTTTTGTCCTTGCGATAGTTTGCTGAGAATGATGGTTTCCAGCTTCTTCCATGTCCCTACTTTCTTAAGAAATTTTCATACCAAATTTTTACTCTTTGCGTTTTTCACCTTATATATTCATATTAGAGCCTAACCCTTCCCCCAACATGAATCTCATTTGCAAGGACTGATTTATAAGACTACACTGAAATTTTCCCTCTAGGACATAAAAAGCAACACCTTGTCATTACTAACAAAAACAGTGACATCTTGTCTTTGTGGATTGAAAAAAATAATATTGCTAAAACAGCAATACTACCTAAAGCGATCTACAGATTTAATGCAATCCCTATCAATAAACCAAAGACATTTTTCACAGAAATAGAAAAAAAATTTAAAATTAATATGGAACCACAAAAGACCTTGAATAGCAAAAGCAATGCTAAGCAAAAAAAAACAAAGCTGGAGGCATCACAATACCTGACTTCAACATATATTCCAAAGGTATAGTAACCAAAACAGTATGGTATTTGCATTAAACACAAACACATAAATAAATGGAATAGAATAGAGAGCCCCCAAACAAATTCATACACCCATAGCCACTTGATTTTCAACAAAGGTGCCAAAAACACACATTGGGGAGAAGACAGTCTCTTTAATAATGATGCTGGGAGAATTGGATATACACACACAGAAGACTGATACTAGATGCCTACCTCCCACCATATAAGAAAATCAACTCAAAATAGATTAAAGACTTAAATGTAAGACCTGAAACTGCGAAGCTACTAGAAGAAAACATAAGAGAATTGCTTCATGACATTGGTCTGGGCAAGGGTTTTTAAAATAAGACCTAAGACCTCAAAGGCACAGGCAACACATGCAAAAATAGACACATGGGATTATATCGGACTAAACAACTTTTGCCTAGCAAAGGAAACAATTAACAACTGAAGAGACAATCGGCAGAAGGAAAAATATGTGCAAACTATACACCTGACAAGGAGTTAGTATCCAGAATATATAAGGCACTTAAATAACAGCAAAAAAAAAAAAAAAAAAAAACAAAAAAAAACCAAAAACCCAATTTAAAAGTGGGCAAGAAGAGTGGCCAAAGTGGCTGACTAGAAGCAGCCAGTGTGAGTGGCTTGCACAGACAGGAATGGAAGAGGTGAATAAATACAACACATTCAACTGAAACGTCCAGGTACTTGCATTGAGACTAATCAAAAAACAACTTGACCCACGAAGAATGAAGAAAAGCAAGACAGAACAACAGCCTACCAAGGAGCAACACGGAGCCAGGGGAACCTCCCTTGCCCAAGGAAGCAGTGAGTGAATGAGTGAGTGACCCTTATCTCGTGACGTGCCCTGGAAGTGGAGCCTGCAGGCTGTTGCTGCTCAGCCCCCTGGATTAAACTGCTTTCTTGAAAGCTTTCATGAAACCTTTCATGAAACCATGCATTCTCCATAGATCCTTGCACCCTCAGGTCGGGAGACCTTGTGAACCCACTTCACCAGGGCCTTCATTCTGACAGAAAGAGCTATGTGGAATCTTGGCAGAGCAGCTGCTCAGTCATGCGGGGAGACCATGGAGCCTTAGATACTCAGGCTTTCTGGCAAAAGTGGCTGCAGTTCCAGCAAAGTGGGTTGTTAGACTTCTATATATACCCCTAAGAAAGAGGCTGAATCCAAGCGGCTGAGCAGCAACAGCCTGCAGGCTCCACTTCCAGGGCACATCATGAGATAAGACCCACTGGCTTGGGATTCCAGCCAGCCACCAGTAGCGACATTGTACCTCCCAAATAAGGAGCTCCCAGGAGGAGCGGCAGGCCATCATCTTTGCTGTTTGGGTTCCTTAGCTGTTCCAGTCTGCAGCTTTTGGAGAGTCTGAGCTGACCGGGGGTGGAAGGAATTCCTCAGCACAGCACAGCTCTTCTACCAAAATGTAGCCAGACTGCTTCTTTAAGCAGGTCCTCACTGGGTGGGACCCCCCAACTGGGGACTCCAGTCATCCCTGTCAGTGTTCTCCAGCCAACAGAGATTTGCAACCTCCCTGGGATGGAGACCCCAGAGGGATGGGTGGGCCAACATCTTTGCTATTTTGGTGACATAGCCATTCCAGCCTTTGGGCTTTGGAGTGTCTGAGGCAACTGGGGGCTGAAGTGGACCTCCAGCACAGCATAGCTACTGTACCAAAATGTCTCTGGACTTCTTTTTTAAGCAGGTCCCTGACCCCATTCCTCCTCACTGGGTAGTACCTCCCAACTGGGGTCTCCGGCCACCTCCTACAGGTGCCTTTGAGCCAGCAACAGGCCTGTATCTTTCTGGGTCGAAGCTCCCAGAAGGAGGGACAAGCTGCCATTTTTGCTGTTTTCAGCCTTCACTGTTGATACTTCTAGGTACTGGAAAATCTGAGGCAACTAGGGACTGGAGTGGTCCTCAAGCATACCACGGGAGCCCTATGGAAAGTGGCCAGACTGTGACCTGAGTCCCCTTTCCCATATCCCCTCACTGGGCAAGTCCTCCAGGTCTGGGCTTCAAGCCACCCCACTGCTAAAGTTATCAAGCCATACCAACTCAGAAACAGCCTCGACAGAGTCTCTAGGGGCAATTGAAAGCCTCTCTGCTACTGCATCTGCTGTGGAACTGCCCCTGCCACCCTTGGACTAACAAAGGAGTGAAAGATAAGTGCCTTATTCACACCTCCAACAAAGTGCAGTTAACTCAAGGAGAAGAGGCAAGTCCATCTCTCACGGGCCCCACACACTTCCCACTGCTTGTCACAGGACAGGGAACCCCTGGTTTGGACCCACACCACAGACCTTTCATTCTGGGCTGATTGCATTGAGCGATTGCTGACCTGCATCCCTCTGGGGTGGAGTTCCCAGGAGACCAGCAAGCAACCCTTGGCCACAACCACTACCAAGAGCTGTTACCCTGCTGTCTCCATGTTGGGGAAGGAACATAAACACTGAGATCACCTTAGAGTTGTAGTGGGCAGCCCAGTAGTGCCAAGTCATAATCTACAGCCAACACTCGACAGGGAGAGGAACCCACAGCTTCAGAGCATTGAGAGGAAACATGGCTGCAACTGTGAGAAAACATAGGCAAGCCACACAACCGAGGAAGAGTCTACCAATAAGCCAAGTGCCACCTGCTGGATCACACTCCAAAGCGTCAACACCAAAAATACCGTACTAACATACCTCCCCTCTGAAACTAGAGACAAGAGGTAAGCTTCAAATAACGACCCTTTGCAAAGCCTCAGCCCAGTAAAAATATCCAGAAAAGAAGTCTACTGACTGTACTCAACATACACTGCTCTTAAAGGAACACCCCCATACAGAGATGAGAAAAAAACAATGCAAGAACTCTGGTAACTCAAATAGCCAAAGTTATTTTATCCTCCAAAAACAACTGGACCAATTCTCCAACAAGAGTTCTTAATCAGGCTGAACTGGCTTGAATTACATAAATAGAATTCAGAATATAGATAGGAACAAAGATCAAGATTCAGGAGAATGGCCAAACTCAATCCAAGGAAAATAACAATCACAATAAAGCAGTAAAGGAGCTGAAGGACTAAATAGCCAGCATAAAAAAAGAAGCTAATGGGCCTGACAGTGGTGAGTAACACAATACAAGAATTTCACAATGCATTCATGAGTGTTAATAGCAGAATAAACCAATCTGAGGAAAAAAATCTCAGAACTTGAAGACTGGTTCTCTGAGATAAGACAGTCAAACAAAAATAAAGAAAAAAGAATGAAGAGGAATGAACAAACTTTTGAGAAGTATGAGATTATGTAAAGAGGCCAAATCTATGTATCATTGACATTCTTGAAAGGCTGAGGGGGAGAAGCAACCAATCTGGAAAACATATTTCAGAATATTGTTTATGAAAACATCCCCAACCTTGCTAGAGAGGCCAGGAAATACAGAGAACTCCTGCAAGATTCTACAAAAGAAAATCATCCCAAGACACATAATCAACAGATTTTTCAAGGTAGAAATGAAAGAAAGAATGTTAAAGGCATCTAGAGAAAAAGGGCAGGTCATCTGCAAAGGGAACCCCATCAGGCTAACTGTGGACCTCTCAGCTGAAACCCTACAAGACAGAAGAGACTGGGGGCCTATTTTCAACATTCCTGAAGAAAAAAATCTTCAAAGTCTTCAACCAATAATTTCTTATCCAGCCAAACTAAGCTTTTCAAGTGAAGGAGAAATAAGATCCTTGTCAGATAAGCAAATGTTGAGGCAATTCATTACCACCAGATCTGCCTTACAAGGGATATTGAAAGGAGCACTAAATATAGAAAGAAAAGACCCCTACCAGCTAATACAAAAACACACTTAAACACCCAGACCACTGTCACTGTAAGGAAACCACACAAACAAGCCAACGTAATAACCAGCTAATATAAAATGATGGGATCAAAATCCACACAAAACAATACTAACCTTGAATGTAAATGGGGTAAATACCCCAGTGTGGCAAGCTGAATAAAAAAGAACAATCTAATGGTATGCTGTCTTCAAGAGACCCGTCTCACAGGTAATGACACTCATAAGCTCAAAGTAAAGGGGTGAAGGAAAAATCTACCAAGCAAATGGAAAATAGAAAAAAGCAGGGGTTGTAATTCTCATTTCAGACAAAACAGATTTCCAACGAACAAAGATCAAAAAAGACAAAGAAGAGCATTAATAATGGTAATGGGTTCAATTCGACAAGAAGACCTAACTATCCTAAATATACGTGTACCCAACACAGGAGCACCAATTTCATAAAGCAAGTTCTTAAGGAACCACAAAGCGACACAGACTCCCACACAGTAACAGTGGGAGACCTCAACAATCCACTGACAGTATTAGACGGATCATTGAGGTAGAAAATTAAGAATGATTCAGAACCTGAACTCAGCACTGGATCAAATTGACCTGATAGATATCTACATAATTCTCCATCCCAAAACAACAAAATATATATTTTTCTCACTACCAAATGGCACATACTCTAAAATTGACCACATAATTGGACATAAAACAATCCTCAACAAATGTAAAAGAACCAAAACCATACAAAACACACTATCAGACCACAACACAATACAAATAGAAGTCATGAGTATGAAAATCACTCAAAACCATGCAATTATATGGAAATTAAACAACATGCTCCTGGATGACTTTGTGGTAAACAATGAAATTAAGGCAGAAATCAAGAAGTTCTTTGAAAATAATGAGAACAATTATACAACATACCAGAAACTCTGGGATATACCTAAGGCAGTATTAAGAGGGAAATTTATAGCACTAAACACCCATATCAAAAAGTTAGAAAGATCTCAAATTAAAAGCTGAACTTCACAACTGAAAAAATTAAAGAGTCAACAACAAATCAACCCCAAAGCTAATAGAAGATGAGAAATAACAAAAATTAGAGCTGAACTGAAGGGAATTGAGAAATGAAAAACCATTCAAAAGATCAACATATTCATGAGTTGGTTTTTTAAAAAAATTAATAAAATAGGCCACTAGCTAGACTAATAAAGAAGAAAAGAGAAGATCCAAATAAACACAATTAGAAATGATGAAGGGAATGTTACTGCTAATCCCACAGAAATAAAAACAACCATCAGAAACTACTATGAATACCTCTAGGCACACAAATTAGAAACCCTAGAAGAGATGAATAAGTTCATGGACACATACATGCTTCCAGGACTGAGCCAGGAAGAAAATGATTCCCTGAACAGAACAATAACAAGCTCCAAAATCGAATCTGTAATAAATGGCCTACCAACCAAAAAAAGCCTTGTATCTGATGGATTCACAACCAAATTCTACCTGATGTACAAATAAGAGATGGTACAAATAAGAGATGGTACAATTCCTACAGAAAGTATTCCAAAAAATTGAGGAGGAGGGACTCCTTCCCAACTCATTCTATGAGGCTAAAAGACATAACAAAAAAAGAAAACTGCAGGCCAATATCCTTGAAGAACATCAATGCAAAAATTCTCAACAAAGTACTTGCAAGCCAAATTCAGTAGCACATCAAAATGCGAATCCACTATGATCAAGTAGGCTTCATCCCTGGGATGCAAGGTTGGTTCAACATATGCAAAGCAATAAATGTGATTCACCATTTTAACAGAACTAAAGACCAAAACCATATGATTATCTCAATAGATGCCAAAATTTTTGATAAAATTTAACACTCCTTCATGTTAAAAAGTCCCAATAAAGAGGTATTGAAGAAACATACTTCAAAACAGTAAGAGTCATCTATGACAAACCCACAGCCAACATTATACTGAATAAGCAAAAGCTGGAAGCATTTCTCTTGAAAACTGGCACAAGACAAGGATGCCCTCTCTCACCACATTTATCCAATATAGTACTGGAAGTCCTGGCCAGAGCAATTAGGCAACAGAAAGAAATAAAAGTCATCCAATAGGAAGAGAGGAAGTCAAACTGTTTTCAGATGGCATGATTCTATATCTAGAAAATCTCATAGTCCCAGCACAAAAGCTCCTCCAGCTGATATACAACTTAAGCAAAATTGCAGGCTACCAAATCAGTGTACAAAAATGACTAGCATTCCTATACACCAATAAAAGCCAAACCAAGAGACAAATTAGAAAGACATTCACAATTGCCATAAAAAGAATGAAATACCTAGGAATACAGCTAACCAGGGAAGTGAAGGATCTCTACAATAACAATTACAAAACGCGCTCAAAGAAATCAGAGAAGACACAAACAAATGGAAAAACATCCCAAGCTCATAAGTACGAAGAACCAATATCATTACAATGGCTATACTGACCAAAGCAATTTACAGATTCAATGCTATTCCTATCAAACTACCAACATTTTTCACAGAATTAGAAAAAAACTAATTTAAATTTCATATGGAACCAAAAAAAGAGCCCAAACAGCCAAGGCAATCCTAGGCAAAAAGAATAAAACTGAAGGCATCACATTACCTGACTTCAAACTATACTACAAGGCTACAGTAACTAAAACAGCATGGTACTGGTACAAAAACAGGCATATAGACCAAAGGAACAGAATGGAGATCCCCAGAAATAAGGCTACACATCTATGACCATCTGATTTTTGACAAAGCTTGCAAAAATAAGCAATGAGGAAAATACTCCATGTTCAATAAATGGTGCTGGGATAACTGGGTCACCATACGCAAAAGATTAAAGCTGAACCCTTTCCTTACGCCACATCCAAAAATCAACTCAAGATGAATTCAAGACTTAAATGTAAAACCTAAAACTAGTAAAAACTCTGGAAGACAACTTAGGCATTACTATCCTGGACGTATAAATGAAAAAAGATATCATGACAAAGACATCAAAACCAACCACAACAAAAGCAAAAATTGACAAGTGGGATCTAATTAAACTAAAGAGCTTCTGCACAGCAAAAGAAATTATCAACACACAGACAACCTACAGAATGGGAGAAAATTTTTGCAAACTATGCATCTGACAAAGATCTAATATCCAACATTTATAAGGAACTTAAATTTACAAGAGAAAAATCAAACAATCCCATGAAAAAGTGGGCAAGGGACATGAACAGACACTTGTCAAAAGAAGACATACATGCAGCCAACAAGCATTTGAGAAAAAGCTCAATATTACAGAACACTAGAGAAATGCAAATCAAAACCACAATGAGGTACTTACCATCTCACACTAGTCAGAATGGCTATTATTAAAAAGTCAAAAAAATAACAGATGCTGGTGAGGTTACAGAGAAATAGGAACAGTTATACACTGCTGGTATGAGTGTAAATTGGTTCAACCATTGTGGAAAGCAGTATGGTGATTCCTTAAAGAGCTAAAAGCAGAACTAGCATTTCAACCAGCAATCCCATTACTGAGTATATACCCAGACCAATATAAATCATTCTACCATAAAGACACATGTATGTGAATATTCACTGCAGTACTATTCACAATAGCAAAGACATGGAATCAACCTAAATGCCCATCAATGACAGGTTGAATAAAGAAAGTGTAGTACGTATACACCATGGAATACTATGCAGCCATAAGAAAGAACAAGATCATTTCTTTTGCAGGGGCATGGATGGAGCTGGAGGTTATTATTCTTAGCAAACTAATGCAGAAACAGAAAGCCAAATACGACATGTTCTCACTTATAAGTTGGAGCTAAATTATGAGGACTTATGAACACAAAGAAGGAAACAACAGACACTGGGGTCTACGTGAGGGGGAGGGTGGGAGGAGGGAGAGGAGCAGAAAAGGTAACTATTGGGTACTGGGTTTATTACCTGGGTGATGAATTAACACGTACAACAAACCCTGTGAGATGTGTTTACCTACGCAACAAACCTTTACATGTACTCCCAAACCTAAAATAAATGTTAAAAAAAATAAAATTAAATTAAAGTGTCCCCAAATGAAAATAGAAATAAATACAAAAATGGGCAAAAGATCTGAACAGACATTTTATAAAGAAATGGCACATATCTACTTCTATATCTATAATATATAAATGCTAAATATCACTAATCATCAGGGAAATGCAAATAAAACCCACAAAGAAATGCTACCTCACTCCAGTTGAATGGCTATTAGCAAAAAGACAAAAGAAAACAAGTGTTGGTGAGAACATAGTAAAAAGTGAACACTTACACATTGTTGGTGGAATTGTAAATTAGTACAGCAACTATGGAAGACAATATGGAGGTTCCTCAAAAAATTAAAACTAGAACTACCATATGATCCAGCAATCCCACTACTGGGTATGTATCCCAAGGAAATGAAATCAGTATGTGGAAGAGCTGCCCTCCCATGTTTATTGCAGCACTGCAATAGCCAAGATATGGAATCAACCTATGTACTCAGCAATGGATGAATGGATAAAGCAAATGTGGTGTATAATACACACACACACACACACACACAATAGAATACTATAAAGAATTAAATCCTGTCATTTGTGACCATGTGGATGACTCTGAAGAATATCATGTTAAGTGAAATATGTCGAACCAGACACAGAAAGACAAATACCATATGATCTCACTCATATGTGGAATCTAGAACAAAATGAAACAAAACAAAATCCAAAGTTGACACAGAAGCAGAGAGTAGAACAGTGGTTACCAGAGACTTTGAAAGGGAGAGGAAGGGGAGGATGAGGAGAGGTTGGTCAAGGGGTAAAACACTATAATTAGATAAGAGCAATAAATTCTGGTGTTCTATGGTGTAATGTGACCATGGTTAACAGTAAAGCATTGTTTATTACAAAATAGCTAGATGAGAGGCTTTTTAATGTTTTACCACAAAGAAATAATGAATGCATAGGTGATGGATACACTGACTGCCCTAATTTGATCATTATAATATATATGTATTGAAACATCAAAGTATACACCATAAACATACACAATTGCAGTGTAGCAATAAAAATGTTATGTGAATATTAAAAAATAGCTAATAACCATTGAAAATTTACTGTGAGGCAGACACTGCTCTAAGATACGTGTCTTAGTTTGTTCCATCCTCTCACATTATCAAAACAATTCTTTCTGACATAAAATTGTTGAGACAATGGGTAATATATAAAGCCCACAGATGGTTGAAAGGAAAAACTGTAAAACACCAATTAAAAAATATTCTAAAGTTGTAAATAGAAAATTCAGAGAAGAAAAGCAATGTGAAAATTGTTAGTAAACACAAACATAGTTTCCTTCATCAATAATAAATGGCATGCAAATTAAAATAATCACCAGGCACCATTTTTTCCATTTCAAAACAAGCAAAATTTAAAAATCATGTCCTCCTGTAATCCCAGCACTTTCGGAGGCCGAGGCGGGCAGATCACGAGGTCAGGAGATCGAGACCATTCTGGCTAACACGATGAAACCCTGTCTCTACTAAAAATACAAAAAATTTAGCTGGGCATGGTGGCGGGCCCCTGTAGTCCCAGCTACTTGGGAGGCTGAGACAGGAGAATGGCATGAACCCGGGAGGTGGAGTTTGCAGTGAGCTGAGGTCACGCCACTGCACTCCAGCCTGGGTGACAGAGCAAGACTCCATATAAAAAAAAAAACAAAAAAACATGTCAGTACTGGTAAAGGTACAGTTGACTCTCAAACACTAGTGATGGAAATATAACTTTGTTTAATTTTTCTCCAAATGGCTATATAATACTTGTATTGAAATAAATAAAACATGTTCCAATCTATTAATCCAGTGATTTTGCCCTAAAAATTTATCCTAAAGAAATAATCCAATATATGGTAAAGTAAAAGGTTGGAAACAAATTAAAAGACAAAAATAGAAAAACGGTTAACTACATTAAGGACCATTCATGTCACTGCATATTACAAAGCAATAAAAAAACAATGCATTTGAAGACTATGCAATGCCAGAGGGGAGTGTTAATGTGCAGTACACTCTAATTTTGTTTTTAAATGATAGGGGTATAGATACACACGAAAGAGTGGAAATACAGCCAACAAGCTGACAATTGGGAAACCAAAAGACTGCAAAAAATAGATCAATATACAGGTAGATTTATTCTTCTGTTTCTCCTTTACTGCCTTCTTTTGTTCATAGAGATACTTTAGAATTATATCGCATATATAAGACATACAGATGCTAAAATATAAAAAGATGTATAATATTCATAATTCTAATGTGAAAAATTATTAAATAAAGCAGTCCAATAATAAGTTACATTATTGATTAGTGAAAATGTACTCACCAACTTAGAAGAAAAACTTAAATGTAACAAAATTTCATCTAGACACTCACAGAGTGAGACAGTCAATTGAAATATAAAGATGAAATAGAAAGATTATAAGCATCCCAGAGAGATAAATAGATAAAAATATGTTTATGATGTCAAGAGGCATTGAGGCAAATTGAGAGGCTCCTGCATGTGTCTAAATGTACTGACTAGAGTAATTGAAGACGTAGTATGTGAAGAACTAATGGCTAAGAGTTTTCAACAGTTTATTTTAAAAATAAAACTTTCTCCATTTGAATGTATCTTGACAATGTATCCTGATAAATTGATAAAAATCTTTACTTATATCTCTCACAATGAAACTGCAGAACATTAAGGATTAAATTCACATGTTAAAAACATGAAAAATGTTACAGCAGCACAATCAAATAGGAAAAAATAATAGGAACCTGTCTTAGTCTGCATTGTGTTGGTATAACACAAATTATAAAGTGTCTAGGAAAAAGAAGTTTTAAAAAGAAATACAGTATCTTTACAGATTATATTATTAAATAATATCAAAGAACATAAAATAAAAGGTAAAATATATGATGTTCATGAGTGGGAAGATTCAATATGATAATCATATTAATTCTCACCCAAATTAATCTGTAAATTCAAATCAAATTTTTAAAAATCCCAATAAGATTATTTATGAAATTTGAGCAATAGTTCCTAAAATTTATGCATCAGAATAAATTTAAAAATAACTTTAAAGGAAAGCAAAAGGATTTACCCTACTACACATGAAAAGATACTACAACACTGTCTTTATTAGATCAATAAATAGAAATACAGGGTTGATAAATGTAATAATAGAGCAGAATGGCAACTCAGGATGCTGACCAAAGCATATAAATGACCCTGGTATTTAATAGAGGAAGCATTAGAAATCTTTGAAAATAAACTATTTAATAATTGGTTTTGCAAAATGGAAAAATTAAATAAAATTAGGGTCTTGTTTAACCCTGAGTTATACAGAAAGTTGGGCAATGCCTGGCTGGGGTAGTCAGAACTCCAAACTGCAGGTAATCTTATCCATTTATCCAATGTGTCATATAAATATTGTTTTTTGATAAAATTAAATTTAAAAATAATTTTTATCTGTCCCCTGAAACATTTATCCTTTGTGTTACAAATAATTTGATTATACTCTTTTAGTTATTTTTTAATGTACAATTAAAGTCTTATTGACTACAGTTCTCCTGTTACGCTGTCAAATACTAGGTCTTATTTTTATTTATTATTTCTATTTTATTTTTGTACCCATTAACCATCCCCACGAGGCTCCTGGTCCCCTACTACTTTTCCTAGCCTCTGGTAACCATTCTTCTATTCTCCATCTCCATGAATTCAATTGTTTTGATTTTTAAATCCCAGAATAAGTGAGAACATGTGATGTTTATCTTTCTGTGCCTGGCTTATTTCACTGAACATAGTGACCTCCAATTCTATCCATGCTGTTGCAAATGATAGGATTTCATTCTTTTTCATGGCTGAATAGTACTTCATCATGTATAAATACCACATTTTCTTTATCCACTCATCTGTTCATGGTCACTCAGGTTGCTTCCAAATTTTAGAACGTTGAACTTTTTCAGCATCATTTGAAATGATCATATGGTTTGGGTCCACCATTCTGTCAATATGATGTATTACATTGATTGATTTGCATATGTTGAATTATCTCCCAGCATCCTGGGATAAATCCCACTTGGTCATGATGAATGGTCTATTTAATGTGTTGTTAAGTTCAGTTTGTTAGTATTTTGTTGAGGATTTTCACATCAATATTCCTTAGGAATATTGGCCTGTAGTTTTCTTTTTCTGATGTGCCTTTTTCTGGTTTTGGTATCAGGATAATACTGGCCTTATAGAATGAGTTTGGAAGTATTCCTCCACCCTCTGTTTATTGGAACAGATTGAGTGGAACTGGTATTAATTCTTTAAGCATTTGGTAGAATTTAGCAGTGAAGCGATCAAGTCCCAGTTTTTTGTTTTTGTTTTAACTGGAGATTTCATGGTTCAATCTTGGTAAACTGTATGTATCTGGAAATTTCTTCATTTCTTCTAGATTTTATAATTTATGGGCATATAGTTCCTCATACTAGCCACTAATGATCCTTTGAATGCTTGCAGTATCAGTTGTAATGTCTCCTTTTTCACCTCTGCTTCATTTATCTGGGTCTTCTCTCTTTTTTTATTTAGTCTGGCTAAAGGTTTGTCAATTTTCCTTATCTTTTCAAAAAAACTACTTTTTGCTTCATTGATCTTTTGTATCGTTTTCTTCATTTCAAATTCATTTATTTCTGCTCTGACCTTTATTATTTCCTTTCTTCTACTAATTTTGGATTTGGTTTGCTCTTGCTTTTCTAGGTCTTTATGATGCATCATTAGATTACTTATTTGAAGTTGTTCTTCTTTTTTGATGTAGGCACTTAGGGCTATAAATATCTCTCTTAATATTGCTTTCACTGTATCCCATAGGTTTTAGTATGCTGTTTTTCCATTATCGTTTGTTTCAAAGAAGTTTTCAATTTCCTTCTTAATTTCTTCATTGACCCACTGGTAATTCAGGAACATATTGTTTAATTTCCCTGTGTTTGCATAGTTTCCAAAATTCCTCTTGTTATTGATGAGGAATTAATAACAAGTAGTTTTATTCCATTGTGGTCAGAGAAGGTGACTTTTTTTGTGACCTAACATGTGATCTATCTTTGAGAATGACCCATGTGTTGAGGAGAAAAAGGTACATTTTGCAGCCATTGGATGAAATGTTCTGTAAATATCTATCAGGTCCATTTGTTCTATAGGGTAGCTTAAGTCTGATGTTTCTGTTGATTTTCTGTCTGGGAGATCTGTCCAATGTTGAGAGTGGGGTGTTGAAGTGTCCAGTTATTATTGTGTTGGGGTTTATCTCTATCTTTAGCTCTAAAAATATTTGCCTTATATATCTGGATACTCCAGTGTTGGGTACATATATATTTACAATCATGAATTGGCCCCTTTATAATCGTGTAATGATACAATAATACAACAAAGGGGCCAATTCATGATTGTAAATATATATGTGCCCAACACTGGAGCATCCAGATATATAAAGCAAATATTATATATCTTGTGTTGAAATCTATTTTGTCTGATATAAGTATAGCTACTCCTGCTCTTTTTTGCTTTCCATTGGCATAGAATATCTTTTTTCATTGCTTTATTTTCAGCCTGTATGTATGTTTATAGGCAAAGTGTATCTCTTCTAGGCAACAGATCATTGAGACTTGTTTTTTTTTTTTGTATCTATTCAGTCACTCTATGTCTTTTGATTGCAGAATTTAGTTCATTTACATTCAATGTTATTATTGATAAGTAGGGCCTTACTCCTGCCATTTTGTTTGTTTTCTAATTGTTTTGTGGTCTTCTCTTCCTTCTTTCTGTCCTTCCTGTCTTCCTTTTAGAAAAGGTGATTTTTTTCTGGTGGTATGCTTTAATTGCTTGCTTTGTATTTTTTGTGTATCTGTTGTATAGTTTTCAATTTGAGGTAACTATGAGGTTTGCAAATACTACCCTATAACCCATAATTTTAAACTGATGACTTAACACTGATTGCATAAACAAACAAATACACTGAAAGAAAACTAATAAAAACTCTACATTTTAACTTCATTCCCCCACTTTTTCAGTTTTTGTTGTTTCTCTTTGTCTTATTGTACTGTCTATGTCTTGAAAAGTTTTAGTAGTTATTTTTGACTGGTTCATAACTTAGCCTTTCTACTTAAATGAGGAGAAGCTTACATATCATAATTACAGTGTTATATTATTCTGTATTTTTCTGTGTACTGACTATTACCAGTGAATTTTATACCTTCAGAAGATTTCTTCTTACTTATTAACATCCTTTTCTTTCAAATGGAAGAACTCCCTCTAGAATTTTGTGTAGGACAGGTCCGGTGTTGCTGAAATCCCTCAGCTTTTGTTTGTCTGAGAAGTTCTTTATTTCTTCTTCTTGCATAAAGGATATTTTCAGTGGATATACTACTCAAGTTTTTTTCTTTAGCACTTTAAATATGCTATGCTACTCTCTGCTGGCCTGTTAGGTTTCCACTGAAAAGTCTGCTGTGAGATATATTGGAGTTTGGTTGTATATTATTTGTTGCCTTTATCTTGCTGCTTTTAGGATCCTCTCTTTATTCTTGACCTTTGAGAGTTTGATTATTAAATGCTTTGAGATAGTCCTATTTGGGTTAAGTCTGCTTGGAGTTCTATAACCTTCTTGTACTTGAATGCTGATATCTTTCTCTAGATTTGGGAAGTTCTCCGATATTATCCCTTTGAATAAACTTTCTACCCCTATTTTTTTTTCTGCCTCTTTTTTAAGGCCAATATCTTTTACATTTGTCCTTTTGAGGCTATTTTCTAGATCTCATAGGCATACTTTAGTGTTTCTTTTTTTTTTCTTTTATGTCCTCTGACTGTATATTTTCAAATAGTCTATCTTCAAGCTCACTGATTCTTGATCAGTTCTGCTATTAAGAGATTCTGATGCATTCTCCAATATGTCAATTGCATTTTTCAACTCTAAAATTTCTGCTTGATTCTTGTTAATTATTTCAATCTCTTTGTGAAATTTATCTGATAGAATTACAAATTTCTTCTCTGTGTTATCTTGAATTTCTGTGAGTTTCCTCAATACAGCAATTCTGAATTCTCTGTCTGAAAGTTCATATATCTCTGTTTCTCCAGGATTGGTCCCTGGTGACTTATTTTAGTTCATTTGGCAAGGTCATGTTTCCTTGCATGGTGTTGATGCTTGCAGATGTCACATGTCACCCAAGTTCACTGTGCCTAAGTCCAACCTAGCATTAGGAATTGCCTAGGAATTGCAGACCTTGGTCATAGACTGCCTTACAAATTTACCTGGGACCCCAGAACAAATAAACCCATGGTAGCTAGGTTTCCTGAGAAACTCAAGTTCTGAAAACTGATACAGGCAATTTGCCTGTGGCTTGGAGCAAATGCTCCCTCTGTGCATGGGGACCAGATGAGCCCAGCTTGGCTTTATTCTTGCTGTGACAGAGCAGCACTGAGTTCAATGTGAAGTCCCCCAGTGGCTGCACTCTCCATCCCCCAAGTGCAGAGATTTTCTCTCCATGCCACATTGCCACTACCAGGGGATGTGGGAAGGGTGGCATCAGCGATTTAAGACTTTTTCTTCTGCCCTCTTCAATGCCTCTTTCCATGATATGAAGTTAAAACCAGGTACTATGATTGCTCAGTTGGTTTTTGATTCTTGGGACAGTGCTTTCCTGTAAGCAGACAGTTGTTAAAATTTGGTCTTTCAGTGAGGGGGACAAAAGGTATAGGCTTCTATTCCACCATCTTGCTTCACCCTCCCTATATATTATTTATTTATTTTTGAGATGGAGTCTCGCTCCGTTGCCCTGGCTGCAGTGCAGTGGCACGATCTTGGCTCACTGCAAGCTCTGCCTCCTGGGTTCACGCCATTCTCCTGCCTCAGCCTCCTGAGTAGCTGGGACTACAGGCACCCGCCACCATGCCCAGATAATTTTTTGTATTTTTAGTAGAGACGTGGTTTCACCGAATTAGCCAGGATGGTCTCCATCTCCTGCCCTTGTGATCCACCCGCCTTGGCCTCCCAAAGTGCTGGGATTACAGGCGTGAGTCACTACGCCCGGCCACCCTCCCTGTATATTATTTCTAAGTATACTATTATGTTAAAAAAAGTTTAAAAATATTGATTTAATGAATTCCCAGAAACTAGGATTTTACATGTCACGTTTTCTTATTATAAAAATAAAAATCAACAATAAATATATGGTAAAAGTAAAAAGAAAAACAAAAACAAAAAGTGAAAAAAATAAACAACACTCCTGTCAAAAAACAACAGTTGTGATAAAACTTAAGTGCCTGAAAATTTAGAAACATCCTTCTAAAGAAGTTCTGAATAAAATAAGGAATAAAATAATCACATAGTTTTGGTCATTGGTTCTGTTTATGTGATGGATTATGTTTATTGATTTGTGTATGTTGAACTTATCTCAATAGATGCAGACAAGGCCTTGATAAAAGTTTTTAACACCTTTTCATGTTGAAAACTCTCAATAGACTAGGTATTGATGAAACATATCTCAAAATAATAGAAGCTATTTATGATAAACCCATAGCCAATATCATACTGAGTGGGCAAAAGCTGGAAGCATTCCCTTTGAAAACTGGCACAAGACAAGGATGCCCTCTCTCACCACTCCTATTAAATGTAGTATTGGAAGTTCTGGCCAGAGCAATCAGGCAGGAGAAAGAAAAGGTATTAAAATAGGAAGAGAGGAAGTCAAATTGTCTCTGTTTGCAGTAAACATGATTGTATATTTAGAAAACCCCATTGTCTCATCCTAAAAACTCCTTAAGCTGATAAACAACTTCAGCAAAGTCTCAGGATACAAAATCAATGTGCAAAAATCACAAGCATTCCTATACACCGATAATAGACAGCAGAGAGCCAAATCATGAGTGAAGTCCCATTCACAATTGCTTCAAAGAAAATAAAATACTTAGGAATACAACTTTCACGGGACATGAAGGACATTTTCAAGGACAACTAAAAACCACTGCTCAAGGAAATGAGAGAGGACACAAAGAAATGGAAAAACATTCCATGCTCATGGAAGAATCAATATCATGAAAATGGCCATACTGCCCAAAGTAATTTATAGATTCAATGCTAACCCCATCAAGCCACCATTGACTTTCTTCACAGAACTAGAAAAAAACTATTTTAAAACTCATATGTAGTCAAAAAGAGTCGGTATAGCCAAGACAATCCTAAGCATAAAGAACAAAGCTGGATGCATCACGCTGACTTCAAACCATACTACAAGGCTACAGTAACCAAAACAGCATGGTACTGGTACCAAAACAGATAGATAGACCGATAGAACAGAACAGAGGCCTCGGAAATAACACCACACATCTACAACCCTTTGATCTTCAACAAACCTGACAAAAACAAGGAATGAGGAAAGGATTCCCTATTTAATAAATGGTGCTGGGAAAACTGGCTAGCCATATGCAGAAAACAGAAATGGGACCCCTTCCTTACACCTTATACAAAAATTAACTCAAGATGCATTAAAGACTTACACATAAAATCTAAAACTATAAAAACCCTAGAGGAAAACCTAAGCAATACCATTCAGGACATAGGCATGGGCAAAGACTTCATGACTAAAACACCAAAAGCAATGGCAACAAAAGCCAAAATTGACAAATGGGATTTAATTAAACTAAAGAGCTTCCACACAGCGAAAGAAACTATCGTCAGAGTGAGCAAGCAACCTACAGAATGGGAGAAACCTTTTGCAATCTATCCATCTGACAAAGGTCTAACATCCAGAATCTACAAGGAACTTAAACAAATTTACAAGAGAGAATCAAACAACCCCATCAAAAAGTAGGCAAAAGATATGAACACACACTTCTCAAAAGACGACATTTACGCAGCCAACAAACATATTAGAAAAAGCTCATCATCACTGGTCATTGGAGAAATGCAAATCAAAACCACAGTGAGATACCATCTCATGCCAGTTAGAATGGCGGTCATTAAAAAGTCCGGAAACAAAAGATGCTGGTGAGGATGTGGAGACATAGGAACACTTTTACACTGTTGGTGGGAGTGTAAAGTAGTTCAACCATTGTGGAAGTCAGTGTGGTGATTCCTCAAGGATCTAGAACTAGAAATACCATTTGACCCAGCAATCTCATTACTGGGTATATACCCAAAGGAATATAAATCATTCTACAATAAAGAAACATGCACATGTGTGTTTATTGCAGCACTATTTACAATAGCAAAGACTTGAAACCAACCCAAATGCCCACGAATAATAGACTAGATAAAGAAAATGTGGCGCATATATACCATGGAATGTATGCAGCCATAAAAAAGAATGAGTTCATGTCCTTTGCAGGGTCATGGATGAAGCTGGAAACCATCATCCTCAGCAAACTAACACAGGAACAGAAAACTAAACAATGCATGTTCTCATTCATAAGTGGGAGCTGAACAATGAGAGCATGTGGACACAGGGAGGGGAACGTCACATACCAAGCCCTGTAGGGGGGGTGGGGGCAAGGGGAGGGAGAGCATTAGGACAAATGCATGCGAGGCTTAAAACCTAGATGGTGAGTTGATAGATGCAGCAAACCACCATGGCACACGTATACCTACGTAACAAGCCTACACGTTCAGCACATGTAACCCAGAATTTAAAGTAAAATAAAAAACAAAATAAACAATAATAACTGAACAAGCAGAAAATCTAAAAGGAGACTATTTCATTTGAACACATACGGAATATAGTCAAAGTTACACTCAGGGAAAAATACATAGCCTTAGAAGCTTTTGTTAAATAGAATTTTTTCTTCCGATTATGAAGGATTAGTTGCTAATCAATTTAATGGAATCACTAGGGGAAAAAAGAACAATATGCCTAATCATGATAATATTTTAAATTACCAGAAATAGAAAAGATTCTGAAAAAACCTTGACAATTAAAAAAGGAATAAGAATACCCCAAACAGCAATAAATTGAAGAATAACTTCCAATGTTGGGAAAATAAAAAAAATTTTCAGCAGAATTTGCTACCTAGCTTAACTATCACTTAACTGAAAAAGCAGATTAATAATTTTTTTAGATATGCAAAGCCTCTAATTTTACCTTTCTGTATCCTTCCTTAGAAAGCCATAGGATTCTTTTAGCTAAACAAATGTTTAATAATAATTGTAAAAAGTAGAAAACAAAGAATCCCAGAAATTTTTCTTTAAATAAAGAGGATTGGAGAGAATTCACTGGACTGCAACAGATCTAGACAGCAGCTAGTCCAGCCTTTAGCAGGAGAGAGGACCACAAGAGGACCCCTGGATAATTTAGTTTTTATAGATTAGATGAGATAGTAGATGATAGAACATCCAGAAAAAGTAAGTGGATTAATGGAAACATGCAAATGAAAAAGAGGCAATTATTAATTCAAGGGAAAACAAAAAGCTGTATCTGACTAGGTTCTATAGTGAACAGTATTTATATAGGAATAAGTGAAGGAATGTTGTTTATTGACTTAACTAAAATTGCTCAATAACTTTTATTAATTTAACTAAAAATAGTGGTTAACTATCTGAAAAGTTAAAGAAGGGTATGGTGAAGGTCTAAATAAATATTTATCATGTTATGAACTCAATAAAATATTTAAAATTAATAAATGTAAAAGAACATGATAAACTTAACACTTGAAAATATGGATGCAATGACCAGAATAAGTAGCTAAATACAGAGGTTAAGTTTCAAATAGCTAGAAAGAGGACATTGAATGGTCCCAACACAAAGAAATGATAAATGCTTGAATTGATGGGCATACCAATTACCCTCAGCTGATTTGTATACGTGTGTTACACCATCGGTATGTATTCATGAATGTGTACAATTATTATGTGTCAAACATTTTTTTTTAAAGTGATTGTCGATGGAGATTTGTGATAGGGGCTAGACAATGCATGAGTGGAGGTCTACTCTTTGTGTTTTTGTTTTGTTTTGTAGTTTTTGGTTTTCTAAACTTTAAAGGCTTTTTATTGACTTTTTTTAATTCATGAAAAGGCTTTTAATAAATTATAGTTTGTTTCTCCCCAAAGCTAATTGAAATAATAATTAAATCCACTTTGTAAAAGCTGTAAATAGACTACTTTTGGCAAGTGGTCCTCAACTGGCTTATCATTATCTAATCTTTCTCCCAGTTCTAGATGGTAGTTTTTAAATTTCTGGGGAAATTTTAAATTTTCATGATGACCGAAGTAGTACCATAGGCATGTAGTATATGGGGCAGAGGTGGGGGAGAGTAGATATAAAACATAACCAATGAACGTCAATCTCTAATGTTCCACTAAATATAATTTACTTGGAATATATCTATCATGTACATTAATGGAACTTTACTCTGTTGTTCACTATTGTAGAAAAATTATACGCACTTAACAGTAGTACTTCTTGTGGTAAAAGTATTGCAAACATGAATATAACATAAACATCTTATTTAGGAACAGAGTCTGACTGCAGTGTTTTATATTTACTGGTGCAGTTGTCTGGAAGAATGTATATTTTGAAATACCAGTTATTTATTGTGAAGGAATTGAAGAGCTGCACTATAATCCTTCCTGTGGCTCCAGGATGCTGAAGAACAATTTGATCCTTAGTCAACATTTTTGAAATATCAAGTGAAGGAATATATCCCCTGGAAATAAATGAGAGTCTTGCTGGGTTGCTAGTTATTGATTTCATCTGAGAACGTTCCTAAGCATGCCATTCCTGGTTGTCCAGATTGTTTATTTGGTCACATGTAATTTACTGTTAGCTGCATTAAATAACAAAAACAGGATACTGATCTATCCAAGTGCTACAAAACTAGCAATGTATTTAAGCTGACAACTCCCAGATGGGGGAGTTACCTGTGCTGGTGTGATTTACATGTGTGTCAGTGCTCATCTCTCAAGATCAAGACATACATTGTGTTTTGGGCATTGATGATCACTTCTGGCTACTTTCAAAAAGCTTTTTCTTGCAAGCTCTTATGCTCCCTGTTTGGTATTCTTTTATAATGCTAAGTTTAGTTGGCACTGGATAGGGCTACTGTGTTATGTAACCTGAAATCCACTAATACTGTCTTTTAGGGCATTATATGAATTCTAAAGCCATATAGTAGTCTCTGTATAGTAAAGTGTGCATAACAAAATATTCCTAAGATAGAGAACGAGAGGGTTCCTGAAGACTTAGTTCCACAGGTATAGTCATTAAGTATTAATTTCCATGGGCTTTCTTTTTCTATAAATCAATTAAAATATTAAATGAAATAATTTATACACAGTGAGTAGATGCTTAGTCTGTAGGCATAAACTTATTTAGGTCTAATTCTCAATTTAAGGATTTGGATTTCGAAGAATATTCTGTAACTGAGAAATTGTAGAGACTTAATAACTTAAATCAATACTCACACCCTTTCGGTTTACACATTTACACCTTTCTTAAAGATAACACAATTTCAAGATGATACTGGGAATACATGAAACTTATCTGGCCAGGAGGAAGATTTTAAATAGGAATGTAAGAAAGTGGTGGGCAGGGAGATGGAAATGCAAGTGTTACATGGGATTTTCTGCAAAGCCCCATAAAAGGAAACAATTCAAATAAAAGAAGTGCTCTTTTTCCCACCTTCCCTCTTTCCACTTGGTACTTATTGATGTCTGGAAAGGGGATGGGATGGCGGGAGCATTTTTGGTGATGGCCTTTCTAAAAAAGGTTGACCAAAAATAAATTTCCTTAAATGATCTCATTAACTTAGAGACTTCCCAACACGGATTAGTCTTGATCTGATCAATAAACAGAATATTCAACTTTCTATTTTGCATAAAAAGAAAACCTTTTATTACAGCATTTTTTTTCTAGGTGATTAAAACAAGTAAAGCTCCCTGATTCTAGATCTGATTTTAGATTCCACTCATAATGACCTTCTCTCCTGCTCGATAAAGTTTCTATGCACAAGGAGGGAGGAGGAAAGTCTTTTAGAAGTGATTGGTGTACACTGTAACAATATTCAAAGGATATTCAAAGTTATCAAATGAAAAGAAACACTTTCTGGATATTACCAGAATTCAATTTCCACATTCCACAGTAATCAAAGTTTACTAATTTTGTGATTGTTTAAAACTTTTTTGTGGTACTTTTTTATATTTCAAAATAATACCTTGGTGTTCCTGATTTAAAACTTTTTTGTGGTGATTTTTATATTTCAAAATAATTCCTTGGTGTTCCAGTCAACTTAAGATGCTGTTGTCTCCCCATTATAAAAGAGGAGAAAGTTTGCCTTAAAATTTATTTCTTTTGAAGCACTTTTTTTTGCATTATTATATTTGTGTTTTTAAAATTTTTCTAACTCACAGTGATATTCTCCTACATTTTGTTCTATTAATTTTACATTTCATTTTTATGTGTTTACTCTCCTAGGATTCACATTGTATTGGGTGGGGTAGTTGTTCAGTTGAGGTAGAGCATTCTTTTTTTCCATATTTTTCATTACCATCTACTGAGTAGTCTCTCTCCTCTTATTTGTTTTTTTATACATACTATTTTTATTATTCCCAGAAAGCATAATTTATTTAATTCACAATACACAAACATACACACAGTTTACATTTTATTTTGAAACTACGTAATCTAAATCTTTTACTGTCATGTATGTAATACATTATTCTCATTATTATCTAGTTATTGCATTAAAATTTTTAAAAATGTTTTATTTCTATAGGTTTTGGGGGAACAGGTGGTATTTGGTTACATGAATAAGTTCTTCAGTGGTGGTTTGTGAGATTTTGGTGCGCTTATCACCCGAGCAGTATACACTGAACCCAATTTGTAGTCTTTTGTCCCTCACCCCCCTGCCACCCTTTCCTCTGAGTCCCCAAAGTCCATTGTATTATTCTTATGACTTTGTATTCTCATAGCTTAGCTCTCCTTGTAAGTGAGAAGATACGATGTTTGGTTTTCTGTTCCTGAGTTACTTCACTTGGAGTAATAGCCTCAAGCTCCATCCAAGTTGCTACAAAAGGCATTTTTTTATGGTTGAATAGTATTCCCTCTTTATTTTTGCTGCGAATGCCATTAATTCGTTCCTTTTTGTGGCTGAGTAGTATTCCATTGTGTGTATATGTGTGTGTGTGTGTGTGTGTGTGTGTGTGTGTGTATGTGTATATAGATATATAAAATTTCTTTACTCATTGATTGATGGGCATTTGGGCTGGTTTCAGATTTTTGCAATTGCAAATTGTGCTCCTATAAACATGTATGTGCAAGCATCTTTTTCATATAATGACCTCTTTTCCTTTGGGTAGATACCCAGTAGTGAGATTGCTGATTCAAATAGTAGTTCTACGTTTGGTTCTTTAAAAAATCTCCACACTGTTTTCCATTGTGGTTGTACTAGGTTACATTCCCACTAGCAGTGTTGAAGCATTCCCTTTTTACTGCATCCATGCCAACATCTATTTATTTATTTTTTTTGATTGTGGCCATTCTCGCAGGAGAAAGGTGGTATGGCACTGTGGTTTTGATTTGCATTTCCTTGATCATTAGTGATGTTGAGCATTTTTTCATATGTTTATTGGCCATTTGTATATCTTCTTTTGAGAACTGTCTATTCATGTTCTTAGACCACTTTTTGGTGGGATTGTTTTATTTTTTCTTGCTAATTTATTTGAGTTCCTTGTAGATTCTGGGTATTAGTCTTTTGTTAAATGTATAGATTGTGAAGATTTTCTCCCACTCTGTGGGTTGTCTGTTTACTCTGCTGACTCTTCCTTTTGCTGTGCAGAAGCTCTTCAGTTTAATTAAGTCCCAACTATTTATCTTTGTTTTTGTTGCATTTGTTTTTGTGTTCTTGGTCATGAAGTCTTTGCCTAAGCCAATGTCTAGAAGGATTTTTCTGATGTTATTTTCTAGAATTTTTACAGTTTTGGGTCTTAGATTTATGTCCTTGACCCATCTTGAGTTGGTTTTTTTACAAGCTGTGAAATGAGGATCCAGTTTCATTCTGCTATATGTGGCTTGCCAATTATTCCAGCACCGTTTGTTGAATAGGGTGTCCTTTTCCCACTTAATGTTTTTGTTTGCTTTGTTGAAGGTCTGTTGGCTGTGTGTATTTAGGTTTATTTCTGGGTACTCTATTCTGCTCCATTGGTCTATGTGCCTATTTTTATATCAGTACCATGCTGTTTTGGTGAATATGGCCATATAGTATAGTTTGAAAGCAGGTAATGTGATGATGCCACCAGATTTGTTCTTTTTGCTTAGTCTCGCTTGGGCTATAGAGGTTCCTTTTTGGTTCCATATGAATTTTAGAATTGTCTTTTCTAGTTCTGTGAAGATCGATGGTGATATCTTGATGGGAATTGCATTGAATTTGTAGACTGCTTTTGGCAGTGTGGTCATTTTCACAATATTGATTCTACCTATTCATAAGCATGGGTTGTGTTTTCATTTATTTGTATCATCTATGATTTCTTTCAGCAGTGTTTTGTAGTTTTCCTTGTAGAGGACTTTCACCTTCTTGGTTAGGTATATTCCTAAGTATTTTAATTTTTTTTTCAGCTATTGTAAAAGGGGTTGAGTTCTTGATTTGATTCCCAGCTTGGCTGCTGCTGATGTATAGCAGAGCTACTGATTTGTATAACGTAATTTTGCATTCTGAAATTTTACTAAATTCATTCATCAGTTCTAGGTGCTTTCTGGAGGAGTCTTTAGGATTTTCTAGGTATACAATCATATCATCAGCAAACAGTGACAGTTTGACTTCCTTTTTACCAATTTGAATGCCCTTTATTTATTTCTCTTGTCTGATTGCTCTGGCTAGAACTTCCAGTACTATGTTGAATAGAAGTGGTGAGAGTGGGCATCCTTGTCTTGTTCCAGTTCTCAGAGACAATCCTTTCAACTTTTCCCCTTTCAGTATTGTGTTGGCTGTGGGTTTGTCATAGATGGCTTTTTTTACATTGAGGTATGTCCCTTGTATGCTGATTTTGCTGAGAGTTTTAATCACAAAGAGATGCTGTAATTTGTCAAATGCTTTTTCTGCATCTATTGAGATGATCGTGTGATTTTTGTTTTTAATTCTGTGTATGTGGTGTATCACATGTATTGACTTGCATATGTTAAACCATACCTGTATCCCAGCTATAAAACCCATTTGATCGTGGTGGATTATCTTTTTGATATATTGTTGGATTCAATTAGCTAGTATTTTATTAGGATTTTTGCATCTGTGTTCATCAGGGATATTGGCCTGTAGTTTTCTTTTTCTGTTATGTCCTTTCCTAGTTTTGGTATTAAAGTGATACTGGCTTCATAGAATGATTTAGAGAGGATTCCCTCTTTTTCTATTTTGTGGGATAGTTTCAATAGGATTGATACCAATTCTTCTTTGAATGTCTGATAGAATCCAGCTGTGAATCTGTCTGGTCCTGGGCTTTGTTGTTGTTGGTGGTGGTGGTAGTTTTTTTTTAATTACCATTTCAATCTTGCTGCTTGTTATTCGTCTGTTCAGGGTTTCTAATTCTTCCTGATTTAAGCTAGGAGGGTTGCTCACTAGAGGTTAAGAAGCACTAATTTAGATGATTTTCACCATCCCTCTGGCTTTCAGAATTTTGTAACAGTCATGATATTTTTATTGAAGATGCATTACAAGCAAACTCCATGGGAATTGCAAAGAAGTGTATGACATGCTCTTGTCTAACTTAAAATTTAGTTGAGAAAACAGACTTGGAGGTTAAGTATAGCCGGACTGATGTCTGATGATCAAATACAAGTGGATGTGGTGATTGAACTCTGAGTGGTCTCGGCTACCATGTCTGCTATAATAGGAGGGATCAATCAAGTCATGAAGCTGGTGAAGCTAGAGGCCGGCAAGAAGGTTCAGGAAAGTGCAGAGGCACCAATGTGGGAAATGAACTGTGTCTCGGATGGGGCACAAGAGTGAGGAGGTTGTGGCAGTGCCCCTGGGCCTTCACTACCCGTAAGTGGATAGAGCATCAATACTTAGATAGGCTCAGGTGTGAGAAAAAATGGACACGGGGGTTGTAGCCAAATGGTGAGGAGCCTTGAATATGGAAATAGATTTTTTTCATACTTCAAATAATTTTTATTCAATAACAAAACTATATATCTAACTCTAAATATGCATATATTTATTTTTGCATATGGAATATAGCTTTATTGCAAGAAAAAAATCATTCAAGACAGAAACTTAGGATAATCCTGAAGACAGACTCACTGAATTTTGGTTCGTATAGCTAGACTTGTGAACCTGGAGGCATCCTTTTGGTCGGTGTTTTCAGAATGTGCTCTTATACCCCTTGGGAATTCTCTGACAAAGATTTTCTGAGGAGGTAACAGGTGAACTCTTCAGCTTTCTGCTCTCCTCTGCCGGGTAGACAGAAAGGCACTGCTGATCCTATGTGGATTGCATTGGGCTTTCCTGAAATATTCCATTCCTATAACCCATATCCCAGGCTCCATCCTTAGCCTATGATCCAGCCTCAACAGAGTGGCATGTTCAAGACTGCTCTGTGGTGTTTCTGCTCTCACAGTAAAAGCCCACACTCTCTTAGCCAAAGCCCCTCATGGCCTGCCCTTCCACCTTTTCCCTCCCTCTGCACTATGCCCCGCTTCTTCCCCTCCCTTCCAGCATTCTCCCCAACCCCAAAACTTAGAATAGAACCTGGCACAAAATATCAATATTTGTTGAACAAAGGATTCAAATGAGTTAAATGATTTAAAAAAGGAAATTAAAAACTACTGCTATATGGAATAAGGAGCCATTAAAATCTCCTAAGATTTTTTTTTTTTTTGGAAGCATGTGAGGAGTATATTTTTGGGAGTATGTCCTTTTTGGGAATATGTGAGGTCAGCTCTCTAAATATACATTTATTCTAGAGTGTTACAGACTTTTAAAAAAATTTTTATTTATTTATTTTTTTTAAAGAATGCATTCCTTTGTTCATGAGGGCCATCCTCCCATCTTGTTCTCATTTGCTTAAAATTTGTTTTAACCTAACATTAATTAAACATTTTTGAATGTGTGCAGAAGAGGCAAGGAGACAGAGAAAGGGGACTTAAACCCGCGGAGACAGCGGCAAGAAAGATTGGCAGAAACTCTCTGGCACAGCCTGTTTCCCTGCAAAGGAAGGTGCTGGCTTCAGCACCCTTGTGTGGCTTGTGGGTGTGGTCAGGTCAACTCAGGACGTGGGGATGGTGCCAGAGAGCTGACCCTGTTCCAGGAGCAGGGTCCATGTCCCTTTCTCCTGAGCCCTAGAAAGCTGGGACTGCAGCACTGCTCACAGGAAAGCCTCCTCCTCCATTCTGTGGCAGTTATACACAACACAAACCATTTCTAGGTATTTGTGTTTCTTTCTTGATCTTGTGAATCTTTTCTCACTAAATTCAGCTCACGTCTATCTTTTCGACTTCCCTATGTGTAAGATAAAAGTTATCTTGGAAAGCAGTCTGCACATTTTAATAAAAGTAACCTTTTGTTTTTGATACCCAAGTCTTAATTTTTCTGGTAAACCTTCTTACCTTGTTATGGAAATGACAGCAGGAGAGAGATGAATGGCCCTGTAATTAGTTCAAGGAATTCAGATGGGATAAAGCTTTCCCTTGCCTTTTGGTGCCCCCCAGCAGAGCTCTGCTGAAAAGATGCGTTTAGATTGCTCCCAGAACTCTGCTTTTAAAATAAATGTGGGGATATGCATGTAACTGCTGCAATGCAAGCCATCTCATCTGTTGGGTTCAAAGTTGCAGCATTCTTTTGTGAAATAAAAGAGTTCTTTATTTGACTGCCATCCTTTGCTGTTTACAAGTGCGGATACTTTGATGGTCCAGGAAGAGAGAGTGTGCATTGTGTGCTCTTAATGAGCACTTGTGCACTCAGCCATGCGCAGCAGAGGACGAAGGTTTTCCTTTTAAAATCAAGCATCCATTAAAAGAGACAACAACAACAAAAACTTGACATAGAAGCCCTGAAATGGGAAAGTTTGTCATCTTCATTATTTCTTATTGCCAAGAGGAGCCCAACTTAATCACATTTCACTAGGAGGCACACCAGTAAAACATGTCTGGCAGAAACAGAAGAAAAAGCCAGAGGTGGACACAGCTAATTGTATTTATGTCAGGTTTTGAGAATAATCAATATGCCTTTGCTTTATTATTTATATCTAGTCCAGCAGATACACACCTAATGCTCAATATTTTTCTTAGCTTGTTTTATTGCTGGAGCTCCTGGAGCTCTGTGCACATGCCTTCCCAAACAAGCGGAAAGGATTCTCTAAATGATTGTGCTGTTAAGCGACACATAAGCTTAGAGAGCCGGGTAACTACTTTCTGCAACCACAGTTTCTTTTTCCTTTTTATTATAATCCTCTGTTCTTGAGCCACAGTCTCTGTTGGGAATTTGAAGGTCAGATTATCTTTATATGTTTCCAGAGTTGAATCATCGCACACCCCAATATATTTGTTCTTTTAAGACAGTAAGTTCCTTATTAAGGAAAGGTTATTCTCTTGTCTGGGTGAGAATTATGTTGAAAGATAAATAACCTTTTCATATGAAGCCTCTAGGCTGAAACCATTTGTGTTTCACATAGAGGCGATGTCTTTTAGAGAAATCTCAGGCAATTAGAGCTGATACCCACACCTCCTTTGCACGGAGGGCCCTGGTTGGGGGCCCCTGGTGGCCCTGGCTCTGCTCAGTGCCATGGCTCCCCTGGCACATGGTTTATTCCCTCAGAGCATCCTGTCACCCACACCTTCTGATAGTGGTGTTTCCAGTCACTGGTCCTGCACTGACTGGGCAGTGATGTTTTTCTTTGGATTCTGACTTCTTTTGTGGTGGCTGACGTAGCTTCCAGCACCTTCTCCTGTCGTGGCTCAAACTTGCTGAATTATACAACTCGTTACCGCTGTCTTACACTAGGGTAGGGACCCAATGATGGAAGAAGGGAAAATGTACCCTTGTTTTGGCTTTGGAGAGTGGACAGATGTTGTTGATACTTTAACGACTTCTCTGTGACCTGCCATAGGAAGTCTAACTGTTATAATGTGGCAGTCAAGGCCCTTGACAATCTGTCCTAGCATTCCCTTTCTATTCTATTTCCCTCAATATGCCTTATTCTTTAGTACACTTCTCCATATGCCCTGAACATGCCTGTAAGTTCAGGCTTTTACTCCTTTGCCTACTGTCATCTCTCTCATGTCAAGATAAGGGATGAATGGAGAACAGCAGGTTTGGGGGAAATCGGCTACTTCTCAGGATTTGCTTTTGAACTGGATTTCAGAGCCACTCATAGTGAGGAGCCTGCTGTCTTCCCCGATGACAACAATAATCTGCATGGCTCATGGTGGGAACAGTGTCAGGCCACAGCTCTCTTGCATCCTTTCTTCTGTCTCCTGACTCAGTGAATCCTTATATTTGCAATGGGGTTCCCTGATGGGGTCTCACATCCTTCCCATACCCAACTGCAGGTCACAGAATGTGAGAACGTGGGATGGCTTACTGATTCAATGGGTGCACAGAGGCCTATGCTCAGAGACAGCCAGGCCAACGGCCAGCCATGGCACGGATGGCTCCTAGGTCCAGGCCTGCTTTCTTTGTTCCCGCCTTGGATGGAGCCCCCGCAAACTTGTGACATAAGACCCTGATCATAATCAGACTTTCCGCCACTTCATCTCATATTCTTTGCTCGAGGCTGGTGTTTGTCAGCTTTAAGTGCATTCCATTCTTTCCCAAGCTCAGTAGTTCTTGTGAGGAATGACAGGGTTTGAACTTTATTTTGCAACATCGGCAATTGTTGCCAACCAAAATAACAATAAAAGCTTTTTTTTCTACTGAGCACTTACTAAGTGACAGCTGCTCTTGTAGACATATGTCATCTCATTTAATCCTCACTGCAACACTAGGAAGTGGGGGTCTTTCAATATACCTGTTGCACAGAGAAGGAACTAAAGCTCAGAGAGGTTAAGCCACTTGCCCAAGACCACACAGAGGTCAGTGGCATGGGAGAGATTTGACACGGGGCACTCTGGCTCTGGCTGCAATCCGCTACACAGGAGGAGCGAGCTCAGGCTGAGGGCACAAGACATTCAGATTTCATGGGACTCTCCCACAGCTCAGTTGCTTTTTGCTCAGGCCTGTGGGTACATGGACAACCCAGCCTCCATCCGAAACCTAAGCAGACAAGGTCATAAAAACAAGGCCAGAGCAGAAGCTCTTGATCGTGTCTTATCACTGACTCTTCTCTTTTCTTTCATGGGAAATCAATAGCTATTTATGAGATCCTGTATTCTTTCTTATGGATATTTGAAAAATAGTGTAATTCTTTACACAAATAGGTTAACTTCTCTGTAGAGGTCTCTCCTGTGAAACTGTATTTTCACACAAAAACTAGGATATCTTTTTATTTATCCATGGCATTCCTGGGCACTTTAAATTTGTGTTATAATTTTCCTTATTTTGTGGATCACTTGTTTCCATTTCCCTTTTAAGAGCTGTTAAGGTGGTTCATTAGAGATATTGTAAAAAACGTAAAATGTTTCCTGTACTTTGTGTAATTTCTAAAAAACACGTGATACTAATCAAGCAATGATCAAAAAACCTCTTGGTAAATCTAACCGGGGTGGCTTTTTGACATTTAAATCAATATTTAAAAATTTAAAATAATTATGTGATATGTTGTGGTATGTTTGATTTTTGACTTAATTTAATATTTTATAGTTTTTTTTTAAACTTCAGATTTGCAAACAATATTGCTTATCAAGATTTTAATTAGTTTCAACTAAGGAGCAGATGGCTTATGTAACTGCAAGCTGCCTTTATATATTCCATCTCTCCAACCTGTAGTCAGTATGAAAAGCTGGATTATGCTAATGTTTGTGATGCTGAAAGCCTGGTTTATTTCCTAGCTGGTGGAAAGAGCTAGTGTGTGTCTGTGTTAAGTTTAATTAGGGGACTTCACGGCAAAATAACTGAGCCCAAGATGTTGGGTACTTCAAAATCCTCCCAGGTAACTGGAGTGGAGAGAGTGGGGTGAACTATCCCTGGGGCACTGGAATGAGGGGATATTGTTATCCTCTCACAGAGGGCCCACCTTGACACCCTGCTGGGAACATCAGGCAGTTTCTTCCTTTCCCCCAGGGACCTTGTGCTTTCCTGCACACTGGCCTTGGTCAGGAGCATCTCAGCCCATCAGGCAGGCTTTAAATTATGTTTAAATTGGCAACCTAGCAGGGTTCGGTGGCCTGCACCAATAGTCCTTGCTACTCGGGATGCTGAGCTGAGAGGACTGCTTGAGCCTAGGAGTGTGAGGACAGCCTGGGCAAGAGTCTGACCCTTTCTGTAAAAATAAATAAGCACATAAATAAATAAATAAATGACATATAAATTGGCAACTTATTAGCTCACACACAAAATTATTAGTGCAAAAAGACACACAGCTATTTCTTGACTTGGGCACTCGTTACAAGGTGAGTTCACTTCGTCATAATTCATCAGTCTGTGCACTTAAGATTTCTGCACTTTTCTGTTCGAATGTTACACCTAAATAAATGTGATTTTTTTAATTACATGAGGAAAGTAGTGTTACTCATTGTCAACTTGCAGCATCCAAATGTGTTAACCGAGGAAGGAGTAAGAGTACTGGGTCCCTACTCAGTGGAAATGCTCAAAATGCCTATTTACATACAGACCTGGTGAATAATTTTCTCCTCTTGTTAACCTTTGGCTCTACAGTTATGTAACTTGCCCCAGAACCTGTCTTGCTGCCTCTCAATTCTGAGCATGTTCAGCCTGAAGAAACCCGAAATCTCATCCATTCAAATCATGATTTGCTCTTCAAGCTAGAACTTGAGTTTTCAACCTTTAAAAGACGGTCAAAGAATTATTGTGAATGTGTTCTTTTAAAGCCATAATCTTTTTTTAGGGAGGTTTTCCAAAAATTTTTTATAAAAGCATCCAAACCAAACTTTGAGATTTCTGCCACTGCTTGCAAGATATAAGAATGAAATCAACTTAAGTTGAGCAGGTTATGCCATTTCAAGTTTTATCCAAGAAATGTTTCATTTTTTAAATAAAAACCAATGGATTTGGGCAGAGAATGTTGGATTTCTGAGTTATTAAAAGAAGAGAGAAATAAGGACAGAAACAAGTCTAGGAAGCTGCCTTCACTGGATCATTGATAAAAAGTAATATAAAAATATGAGACTTGGCATTCAAAGAAATAAACACTATAATCTCAACAGATCTGAGCTAAGAAATAGGCATTTCTTTCTTGGCTTTGGGCAAAGTTAAGTTGCAAGGGGAAAGTCATAATGGAAATTGATTCTTTTGATCTTTTGTTCTTCTCTTTTACTCTTTCTTCTCTCATTTTATTCTTTTTTTCCCCTCTGCTTTCCCTTTTGTTTGCCTTTCCAAAAAGGACTATTGCAATTTAGAAACTCTCATGTGAGTTAGTAGGTAAGATGAACTTGTGAACTATTTACTAGCTTTGCCCTATCTGATGGGATCTGCTTTGTTTTGACAAATAAGTTAGGGGATATATTTCCTGAAGCAGTGAAAACAAAACACGAACTGGTGAGGTCTGAGACCATCACCAGGCTGCTAAAGCTGCCTGGGAGAACTTATGATTTTGTAACCTCACGGTGCCCTTTGCCTGTCCTTTGCCTTGCACTTAGCTGTCCCGATTTGTATAAAATTTTGAAAAGATTCCCTCCTGTACACAAGCCCTTTCCCTTCATAAAAGCACAATATAAAAAGTAAATTTCTTGCATGTCAATTCTAGTTTGTGAGTGCATTTAGGATTTAATCTGCAATTTTATGTTTCCCTGTTTGGGGGATTTTTTGCGTGAATGGAGACGTGCAGTGGAGACCAGGGCATTCTGTACAGTGTCTGAAGGACATCACTGGCCTTTTTACTGTCCCTCCTCAAACAAAACAGGGAACCAAGCCTATGATGGGGTGTGGGCCACCCAGAGACCTGGAGACATTGGATAAACACTATAACACCTCTGTAAAAACAGGGACAATGACAGATGCTTCTTTTACAGTTGTTATGAGGCATATAAAGTACTTAGCCTGGGCATGTTCTACCTACTCGATAAATGTTTGTTCTTATGATCAGGAGGCCACAGATCATCTTGACCTTAGAGCACAAATCGCTTTAAGCCTGGGGAAAGAATGAGAGTTGATTTAATGACACTACCGTGTTTCCGGCTTCTATGTAGCAGTCTATTCTGTCCCTATGTACATTTTGCTTATGTGTGTGCCCTCTCCCTTTTAATTCTTTGCTCAAGCATCCCCTTCATAGTGAAGCCTATGTTGACTCTCTCATTTAAAATTCTCAGTCCTACCAGTTTCATCTAACCCCATCCCAATTCTGCCCCCGCCCCATATCCTGCTTCATTTTTCTCAGTGGCATTTATTGCTTTTTAAGGACACCATATAACTAATTTATGTGTTAGGCTGTCGTCTGTCTCAGCATTTGCATGTGAGCTCCACAAAAGCCAGACGTGTTGCCTGTTTTGTTTTTGTTTTCACTGCTGAATCCTCAGTGTCCTAAAAGAGTAGCTGACGCAAACAAGAGCTCCATAAACACGTGCTGACTGAATCAAAGGATTTGTGTCTCTAGGACAAAATCTTTTCAGTGGCGAAGCTGAGACGCTTAGGAAATGGTGACAAAATTTTGTCCATATTTTACCTCATCTGGACAGAATTTGGATTTTAGAGAAGATCCAAGTTCAAATCCTAGCTCTTCTACCGAGTGTGACCTGGAGCAAATCACTTACCCTCACTCATTCTCATCTCTTTTGTTTGTATTGTAGGGACAATAATGGTACCAGGATAAAGTGAGAATATTGATTTGATATTAGAATATTGATTTGAAAGTGCTTGGCATAGAGAGGAACAAAAATATGTCAGATTCTTACCCCTTTGCCCTGAAGAAGTCAGTATACCTTGAATCAAATTATACACACACACACACACGCACACACACACACACACACACACAAAGAAGAAAAGAAAAGAAAAAGAAAAAGAAAACTCCAGTACTGGGCCAGTCCACACGCTATGACGTTTCATGAAAGCTATAAGCTGCCCCATTAATCAGATCTTTGGAGGATCTGATTCATGGAGAAATAAAAATAAAAGTGGGCTGGATGCCATCTCAAAGATGTCCATGCCCAAATCTCTGGAAGCTGTGAATGTGTGTTACGTAGCGAAATAAACTTTGTGGAAGTAATGAAGGTACGGGCCTTAGAATGGGAAGAGGATCCTGGGTTATCCATATGGGACTGTTCTAATGACATGAACTCTTAAAAAGCCAGGAACTTTCTCTGGCTGGAGTCAGATGGAGGAGGCAAAAGAAGCAATTGGAAAGATGTGAACTGTGAGAGAACTCAATGCACCATTGCCAGAAGGAGCCACATGCAGAACGTGAGAAGGAAAGCAGGCAGCCTCTGAGAGTGGAGACCAGCCCTGGCTCTCAGTGAGCAAGGACACGGGGACTTTGGTCCCACAACCAGAAGCTACTCAATGTGGCCAACCACCTGCAAAATATTTTAAATGGATTATTGCCCAGGGCTGCTAGTAGAGAATGCACCGCTGTTGACAGTTATATTTCAGCCTTGAGACCCTGAGCTGAGGACCTAGCTGCACCCAGACAGGCTTCTAACTATAGAAACTGTTGAGAATAAATTTGTGTTGGTTGCTAAGTTTACAGTGATTTGTTATGGCAGCAATAGAAATATAATCTTAAAAACCCCAATGTAGAACACTTAAACGGATTTTATGCTATGTAAATTATTCCTAAATAAAGCTGTTAAAAAAGGAACAACATTGTAAGATACTAGTAAACTACAATAGGTAGATAAGAATGCCTATGAAGGTGAATAGTCACCACTCAAGAAAGGATTTTATGACTGAGACAGGCTGAGGTGTAGTATTTTCATTCTACTCTCTTCCTTGAACTTTCATGTGTAAACACACACACATTATGTCCCCAACAGAGTGTCTCCGTAATTATGGAGAAATGCACAGAGAGGAACACAAATTCATTTTGGAATAGCAGGAGGGCACTGTCTTAATTTTATTGGCCAAGCCTTAAAAACTCAAGACTGTGGAAGAGAAAAAGGAAAAAAGATTCAGATAAATGTAACAGATTTCAGATAATGAAAAGAGTACATAAAAATTCATTAAATCACCCCACTGCCATGAGAAATGCTTGTCGGAGTATTCAGGCTTTGAAAGGGGCTGGTTTACCACCACCGTCAGGGCCACCTGCCATATGCTATTTTGAATTAAGACCCAGGAAGATATATGCTTGGATCTGAAAATATAGGCTTGTGCTGTGGTGAATAGAAAGATTTAACTGTTCTGGGGGAGACAGCAAGCTGTTCTTTTAGTGCCTTTAATCTTCAGATTTCAGAAGTGGCCAACAACTAAATTTGACTTTTTGTGTAATTATTCTAGGTAAAGTCAGATAATCATTTTTTTTCCTTCAAGGTTTATACTGATTTTTCCCTCCAGAGAATGATTTAAAAGATGTCAGAAATTTTGAACCCACTTTAGTCTTGGGCAGTAAGATTGTTTCTACATTACCAAGAAAATATCTATTTTTCTGACTCACCTGTAACCAGTACTGTCACATCTATTTGATGAAAACTGGAAAGTCACAGGGAATTTTCTACACTACTTTCCATCATCTTTTTCATCCATTTTCTACACAACTTTCCATCATCTCTTTCTCTGCTCTTGAACTGTGGTAGCTCTGATACCCTCATTCTTCCATATGAAAGCACTGTCTTAATTTACTAGTTGTGTTGAAATCCTCTGGAACTGAATTCTGCTTGGAATAATAATTCTGCTTGGAATAATTTGGCTACCAGCTCATTTTTGAAATACTCTTCTAAAAACACACACATATATATATTTAGAAATACACACACACACACATATATATATACTTAGAAATACACACACATATATGTATGTGTGTGTGTATATATATATATTATATATATATTATATAATATATATATTATATATATATTATATATATATATTATATATATATTATATATAATATATATATTATATATATATAAAATATATATATATATATAAAATCAATAGTTTTACTGTAAGTTCTGGTTTTTCTCCAAGTATGACAATTAAAACAAAACAACCAAAGAACAGCAAACAACATACCCTAAGCCATTTATGTACCGTCAGTGTTCTACCAGTGATGTCATAGAGATGGTACTCCCCTGTTTTCTGTGTTTTAGTACAACAGCTCAGAATTAGGAGAGACAGAGACGTGAGTTATAATTCTGGTATGCCACTTAATAACTTCATGTTCATTGGAAAGAAATTAGTTTCTCCAAGTCCAGTCTTCTTGATCTGCGTAGTGCAGGACATTGATGTAGAGCAAATGGGATATGCCCAGAATCCCCGGCCTTTCTCTGCAGTTCCCAGGCCACTGCTGTTCAACTTCCCTCATAATCTGGCCATAAGTGATTTTTTCATTTACATGGAATCACTTATTATTATAGTCACTCTCTTATCCTTTGACCTTGCCACTTTTGAGAGGAGTTTGAATTTATTTGTTTAAAAAATAAATTTTTGTTTTAAAAAATGTATTCCATAATATTTAATTTTTGTGTTAGTGCAGTTATAAGGGTTCTAACATATGTGGAGATGTGTATAAACATAATTACAATTTTTATCACCCAAACAAATTCCCCTCAATACTTTGCATTCAGACCCTCCCCCTACCCCACTCCCTGTCAGCATTAATCTGCACTCTATCCCTATGGTTTTGTCATTTTTGGAATGTCATATAAATGGAATCATGAAGTATGTAAACTTTTCAGATTGGCTTCTTTCACTCAGTGTAATTTCTTTGGAATTCACCCACGTTTGGAGTATATCAGTAGTTTTACCTTTTAATTATCCTCTGTGTAGATAGATCAGCCTTTATCCTTTCCACTGTTGGGTGACACTTGGGATGCCACATGAGTTTGGATCATATTTACCGAACATGCTCTTTCTTCTTCACTCTCTTGGCCTTTGCTTACAATAGTTCTCAGATAGGAATGCATGACTTCCTGTTCTGCCTGTTTCTTCCTTTTGCATGGCCTTCCTCCAAGGGCCGTGTTCTGAAAACCACACAGTGAGAAACGGAAAATGAAAGATTAGTTTCTTTGCCCTCACCTTCACTGATCCTTTTCTGAACTGTCCCAGTCAGAACTGGCCATTCTTTTCCTACGTTGCTCATAACTCTGCTACATAAGTCAGTTTTAGACATGCCTACTACACCCAGCACACTTAAGTTCCTTTAGATATAGGTACACCTGGGCATCCAGTACACAGTTCAGCAGATTCCCTTGCAAAATTGAATGGAATTGAACAAGATTGTGAACAGGACTGAGCCTATAAAAGTCAGGAAGTGGCAGGGGCTTGTTTTTTGGCTCCCTAACATCTGTTTATACCTATTTCCCTGACTTTCCAGCAGGGCCTAGACTGGACTATGAACTCACCTTTTCTCTCTGTATCTTGCTCATAAACAATTTGCACTGAGTTCAAATGACTGATGCCTTAAAGTACTTCCCTGGAATATTTATAATTTTACAGAGACCAAAGTCCTCAGGTATAGAGAGGAATATCTGAAGGTGGAATTATGAAGTTCAGAGCACGAGAAGAGGGTACATGAAAACGAAATGGACCTTTGAGCACTGTTGAAACCACTCTCAACAAGCTTGCCTATATCACATTCCTATAAGTCCAGGCTTACATGTTTGTTATGCTATCATCTCAAACTAGGTTTTATAATCAAGGCAGCACCCTGTGGAGGCCTCATTGTGGCAAAGTGTTGCCATGTCAGAAAATGTGGCAATGTATCCAATATGATGGCATTGCTAAGCCTGACTGATTGCTCTTGCTGGATCTGGGGCAAGGCATGAGTGGGGATGGTCTCTACCGCAAGGAATTGTTGGTCCGGTTCTGGAGTGTTTTAGTGGTGAGCAGGAGCAGGGGCCACAGATATTCCACAGGTGAAGGCCAAGTTTATAAAGTTTTCACATGCTGCCTGCTGAATCTTGGATCTTCATTTAGGCTGTCTTTGAGGAAGCCTAGGTAAACACATACTGTTTGTACATAGCATTTATTTGGTGGTACCACTTCTCAAATTTTCTAAGCCAATTTAGAACTGCATTGATATTCTAAATCGACTTTCCTGGGTCAGTAGCTTAACAATGGCAGATAAATGGTATTTATTTGCTAGCCTAGCCTATCCATCCAATCATCCATTTCCCCATTCAGATGTCTGCTGCTTCATTCTGAAAGAACATAAGGCAGATACATGAAGTAGCTGAGAGTATCTCAATGCATTTTATGAAATGAACAAGAGCCACGCTATTCTCCAGAAGACTAGGCACTCACATCATCACCATTCATTCTGACCTGGAAGCTTTGCTTTTGACCTCAGATAACTAACCAAACTCTATTCTGGTTGATATCTACATGTAGGTCTACAAAAAGGCTATCAAAATATTCTAAGCCTTCCCTGATTCATTCTCCTGGCAATTTCCCGTGCCTCCTCAAATACTCACATACATATTCTACACCTTCATACATATTTTTGCTTTTTCCAGGTGTTTTGTGGTTACCCAAGGGTGCTTCTCTTGTTCTGCTTGAGGAATACCCAATCCTCTGATTGTTTTCTGTGCTTGTGGTACTTATGATGTTACATATCTTGGAGTTTATGAGGAAATCAAGCAGCATTTGCTCAGCACCTGATAGAGCAGATGCTAAGCTGGAGTCATCATTTCTGCCCTCCAGTTTGTGCTCACCATAGAACTTGGAGGAAAATGTAAGTGCTTCTATTTTCACAGGTGAAGGGACATATGTTCAGGAGAAGGTGAGTCCCATTATATCAGGACTTGGATCCAGACTTGTTTGACCACACAATTGTGATCCTTTCTTTGGAGGTGCTGGGCAGGGGTCTGCCTGTTTTGACAGATATGTTGCGAATAAGAAATATTGTAGAAAGTTCCCAAGATCTGGTTTTCAGCACAGAATATTCCCCATTTTTGGAGATTCACAACACATATGGGAGTGATGCATTTGGTGGGGAAGCCAGACCATCAAACCTCCACTCACCTCACACCTCATTCTCCCTTTGTTCTCTTCCTTGGAACATTCCGGATGGAGAAAGAGACCCAGGAAAAAAATGCCTCCTAGTGAGAAAAGAATGCCTCTTACCTGAATTTTCAAACCAAAACCTGACAGGAATTGCTTTGAAAGCATGGGGGACTAAGGACCTTAAAGTTTCAAGTGGAAATTAATTGTGGAGGGCCTAGTATTGTTTATCTGAGTAATACAAAACACATCAAGTAGAAACTATACATTTACTGTGTTGTCTTTAACTTTATTTTAATGTAAAAGTTTACATAAGGGGTTTTACAGGTGGACTTGAGATTTCAGTTGTCCAACACTTTGTTTTTTCCATAAAGGCTCAATCAGACTTTCCAATTACAGGCATTTTCGTTATCACTATTCTTGAAATACAGGGATTACTGCTGCTATGTATCTGCTTCTTTAGGTGTTTCCTTGGCAGAAGGACCCCATAGACAGTGGAGCAGAGGAGCTCCCTGTGCTCCTGACTGTGGTGTGGGAATCCAGCCACGTGGCACTGATGCCCACTCCTGCCAAGATGCAGCCCCTCTGCCCTTTGCAATGAAGCCTTGCCCAGAGCCAAGTGTGGGATCTGTCAACATGTGGCTTGGTTGGACTCAAGTTTCCTTTTCTAACACTGGAAGCAATTTTAATGAATACATTAATACTGGGGACAAGATTGAAAGGAAGAGACGTTTGAATTAACTAGGGAATAAAATATCAAGTGTATCTTGCCCTCTTGATAGGAATGTACGGTTCTTCTCATTGAAATTGAAATAAGAAAATGCCAAAATAGAACATACTGTTAGACTCCTTAAACTGAATGTTGCAAAAATTGTTTGGTGTAAAAGAAATCACAGGATAAACAAAGCACATGTTCTTCCTGGGACACTTTGGTTTGATGTTCAGCAATTTAGAACGTTTTAATTGAATTTAAATATGCATGGAAATGTTATGTAGCAGAGTGAAAGATTAGAGTCAATTGCAATATCATAGTTATACACTCAAGCGTGCATACACGCACATAAATACATATGCTCACATGCATGTGGGTTTTCCCTCTCATGCTTCCTTAACCAAGGCTCTAGAGCTCAAGGGTTGTCTGAGTTCTTGCTGAGACACGAGGAATAATACGAGAGAAGGAGCGATGCAGCACTCAACATGTTTCTTTCTTTTTCTTACTCCTCTTCCCTTTCCCTGTTCTCCCAGCCCAGGCTGGGCAGGCTTAAACTTGGAGGAGGCTTACCCAGGAAGGAGCGGAGGAAGCGCAGAGACTGTACTAGCCTGGTGAGGCAGGTGGTGCAGGGTGGTTAACTGGGTGTGAAGCTGCACCCACCAATCTTGGCCACAGCCACTCCTAGTTCATGTGTGGCCCCAAGTAGAACGACAACAGGTTTCTTGTGTTTTTGCTTCATTTCATTTGCAGTTCTGCCTCTATTTCTAATCTCCAATGTCTATTCCTCCCTTCTAGTCACCCTCATGTACTTTCAGGGCTTTTTAAGTAATTCTGTGCCTGGCTTACCCCCACTTCGGCTGGGACATCTCCCCACCTGATCCAGACACCATCCTGGCATCCTGGAGTCCCATAGGCCCCCTAATTTATTTTAGTATTTGATTATGTAATCTCTCTTTGAGGGACACTTATGTAGTCATGCATCACTCAATGATGGGGGTACATTCTGCAAAATGTATCCTTAGGTGACATTGTTGTTCTGTGAACATCATGGAGTTTACTCACATAAACCTACTATGTGGTATAGCCTACTACACCCCTGGGCTCCCTCGTAAGGCTTATTGCTCCTAGGCTACAAACCTGTACAGCATGTCATTTCACAGAATACTGTAGGCAATTACAATACAATGGTAAGTATTTGTGGATGTAAACATATCTAAATATAGAAAAGGAAATTTTCAGCTCCATTATAATCTTATGGGACCACCATCTTATATGTATGTAGTCCATAGTTGACTGAAATATCATTATGTGGTGCATGACTGTATTTTATTTTATTTTATTTTATTTTATTTTATTTTATTTTTGAGACAGAGTCTTGCTCTGTCACCCAGGCTGGAGTGCAGTGGCGTGATCTCAGCTCACTGCAACCTCCACCTCCCAGGTTCAGGCAATTCTCCAGCCTCAGCCTCCCTAGTAGCTGGGATTACAGGTGCACGCCACCTACCTGGCTAAGTTTTGCATTTTTAGTAGAGATGGAATTTCACCATGTTGGCTAGGCTTGTCTGTTGACCTCAAGTGATCTACCCAACTCGGCCTCCCAAAGTGCTGAAATTACAGGTGTGAGCCACCACCGCACCAGCATAACATGACTGTGTTTTTAAAAGGGATTTATTAAGTTCATCTTTATTTGATAAAAATGTGTAGGAATAAATTTTTGAACAGATGAAGCTTCAAATGGTCTAACAAGAACTTCATGTATGATTTGGTACAATCTCCTACCCACCTTCTCAAAGTTCCAGGAAATAAAACACACTGGAAGTTTTGTCTCACTGAGTAAACAGATGGCCTGACCCACACATGGGCATAAATCTCTTCCCCACTTTCCTGAGTAATTCCACTCATTCATTCATTCATTCATTTGCCGATTCAGAAACATCATTCAGCTTTTACTGCATCTCAGACACTGGAGACTCAAAGGGAAACAAGAATCTGACCTCGTCCTTGAGAAGCCCATAGTCTGGGAATAGAGAGATACTAACTTTATTTCTGTTATAGCTCACAAAATTGGAAGTGAAATAGTTGTAAGCAATACTCCTGACTTCAAGCAGCCATGGAGGTTGTGTGGTGGTTTTATGAGGTAAACGTCATCGTGCCTGTGGCTCTGACAAATGAGCTTTAGGAGTTCAGGGTTGCCCCCATCAGGATGCTATTCTTCCTGCAAAGATGAGTCCTGGCTCACTGTACTCCATTTGATAGTGATCCAGATCAGTCCCAGACAGGGGCAGAGATGTGATCATTAAAGGTGTTACTACTTATAGAACTCATAGCATGGAGAACACAGCTGAGCTCATTATCTTCATCATTATTGTGACTATCAGACACGTATGTATGTCCCTAGTCTCTTCCTAAGGAAAAACTGTTACCACCTAACCTAGGAGATATTTTTTATAGCTTCTGATATATAATTAATCTTAAGTCAATCATGTTCTCTTTTTTTTTTTTTTTTTTGAGACAGAGTCTTGCTCTGTCGCCCAGGCTGGAGTGCAGTGGCATGATCTTGGTTCACTGCAACCTCCACCTCCCAGGTTCAAGCAATTCTCCTGTCTCAGCCTCTCAAGTAGCTGAGACTACAGGTGTACGCCACCATGCCTGGCTAATTTTTGTATTTTTAGTAGACACGGGGTTTCTCCATATTGGTCAGGGTGGTCTTGATCTCCTGACCTCAGGTGATCCACCTGCCTCAGTCTCCTTAATGTTTTTTATGGTAGAACGTACTCTTTCCATTAACAGTTAATAACATATATTGATTTCTAAGCCAGAATGGGCAACTTTTATTTTTGTAGGTCCCCAGGTTAAAGAACCCTTACAGTTATTAAAGTGGAGATCTTCGTCAGCCACATCGACTTGACCATTGCCCTCAATGTGAGGAGAGCAGGCTATGAGCATCACCCTTGTAGAGCATGGTCTTTGTTAGGCTTACTTCTGTTCACATGTGCTCCAGAGCAGAGAAGAGCAGAAGGTCTTTATAGTTATTTAAAAAGAACAGAGGAGAGAATAACTAACTTTGCCTGGGAAAGTTCTGAAAAAGCTTAAGTGGGGACAATTTTTTTTTTTTTTAAATACAGGGTCTTGCTTTGTTAGGCCAGAGTGCATGATCCTAGCTCATTGCAGCCCTTAACTCCTGGACTCAAGGGATCCTCCCACCTCAGCCTCCTGAGTAGCTAGGGCTGCAGGTATATACCACTGCACCCAGCTAATTTTGTATTGTTTTAATTTTTTGTAGAGTTGGGGGTCTCTCTAGGTTGCCCAGGTATGTCTCAAACTCCTGGCCTCAAGTGATCCTCATGTCTCAGCATCCTAAAGTGTTGAGATTTATAGGCATGAGCCACTGTGCCCAGGTGAAAAATATTTTTTAGCTGGGTACCAGAGGAGCTGATGACTTTTGGGGATACAGGAACTGCTCAGAAGTTGATATGGGGATTTGGAGCCAGATGGAACTGGAGTTGTATCCTGGTTCTGTCACCTACTATGTGACCTTTTTTAAGTCATGAACTTCACAGAGTTTCAGTTTCCACTTCTGCCAAAGAGACAACTACACGTATTTGCCAGGATCCATGTGTGGATTAAATAAGATAACCCATCTAAAGTATTCTGGGAACATAGATAAGAGATATCTATCACTATTGGAAGGGAGGGAGATCATATCATGGCAAAAGCAGCCTGCTGGGAGGCTGGGGTCACATGAGTTTAGAATGGCTGAAGATGAGATTGTCAAGAGCTCCAGTTCTATCTGGCTCCAAATCCCCACCTACTGAGAGGTAGGCAGGGACCATAATGGACAACCTGGGATGTCACTGGGAGAAGTCTACCTGGTGAGGGAGCACAGGCTGGAATGGAGAACAGAAAGTCTTTTCACAAGCAAAACTCTGGAAGCCAGAAACTTGGAGAACATTACATATTTTAACAGCATTAATTTGAGCACAAACAAATAATATGCTCAGTAGAGCGTAATCTTCCTTATTTGTTAAACAGGCCCAGTAGGACTGCCACTTGGTGCAGGTTATTAAGAGTTAGCTGGAGAATCCATATTCTGTATTTAAAACCATAAGATTCAGTTTCTTTTAAAATACTTGATATTTGGATTTTGTGTTAATTTCCCTCAGTTAAATCTAATTAGTGTTTTCTTCACAGTGCCATATGCAACGTTTGCTTAGCCTGGAAAGGTGATAAATTGCTTTGGTTTACTACTTTGTCCCAAGGCTATTTGTGAATGAAAAAACAAGTACCCTTTTAATGAATTAAGGTCCCCTAATAAAGACAAGTAAACAAACCATTAAGTAGAAAAATGTCAGTGTAGGCATAATCACCCCAGGTTTTTTGCATTTCATGGACATTAGCTCATTTATAGACTTTGTGATTTTATCATAAAAATATATATCTGATGATAAGCCATATTAACATTATCTATTATACCCTCATAATCTGCAACTTAATGATAATCTGTGAGAACACTGCGGCAGACTCAAAATGAGGGTGGCAGTGGAATGGCCTTAGAAATGAATATACTGTGTTCTCTCTCTGTCTGGGCTTCACAATCCAATAGAAAGACTCAACTGCATCTATGGATCTGAACGTATGCTGAACCCTCTTTGTGCTTTAAAACTATAGACCAAATGCTGGGGGATATATGGGGAAAGAGCTGTTAAATTTCAACTCTATGGACGGGGGAGGTGAGAGGTGGTGGTCAGGGTCTTATGAAGGCTTCCTGGAGGAGATCACATTTGAGTTTATCCTGAAAGATTGGTATGTTGGTGGTCTCTAACTCATTATTGAGGGAAAGTATGGTTTTTACTTTACTGCTTTTTTCTTTCTTACTTGGAATTTGCTATAACCATCATTCTGAAAAGAAGTAGCAATATGCACTCGGTGGAAAATTTGGCAAGTATAGTAAAAAGAAGCAGGAAAAATAACCTAGAGGTAAATACAGATACTCCATTTGAGATTGTTCCTTCTAGATTCAGCTAGATCTATTTCATGTGTCCTTATCAAGAATGATTATATGTCCAGAGGGGTTTACACTGGCATGTGACCTGTGATCATGACTTTTTATGGTAATTGGATTAGATTCTAAGTGATTATTTTACTCTTTGAATTTAAGCACATAATTTCTTTAATGCATTTAAGTATGGTCAACTGTTTGAAACACTGTGGTAGGCAAACTAATGGTGAGGTCCTAATCCCTGCACCTTACCTGGGATTTGGTGGATGGGATTGAGTTGATTATCTTGATTAAGATGGACAAACTGTCCTGGGGCCAGTGTAATCACAAGTGTCCTTGTAAGGGAAAGAGGGAGGCAGGAGTGTCAGAGGGAGGGCAACGCGTCCGGGGAAGCAGAGTTTGGAGTGATGCAGCCCAGCTACAAGCCAAGGAGTGTGGGCGGCCTCTAGAAGCTGGAAAAGCCAGGCAGTGGATTCAGCCTTGGACCAGCAGAAGGAATGCAGCCATGCTGACAATTTGTGAAAATGATTCAGTCCAGCAAGACTGATTTTAGACTTCTGACATCAAGAACTGTAAGATAATTTATTGGGGTTCTTTTAAGGCATCTACATTTGTAGTAATTTATTATAACAGCCATGAGAAGCTGCTATGCAAAGCCATAGAAAAGGCTGATACAGATCTGCAGTTTTCAGTAAGTTAATAAAAGGTTTAAAAGTTTAGAAATGTAAAATTTATTGTACCATGTCTAAGAATCCTGAGATATTATAAAATAAATGCGGAAGAAGTATCTGAGCAGAGATGAAAGGCTATGAAGATGGAAATGAACTGAGACAGCAGATGCAACAAGAAGACAGGTTGGGAATGGAAGGAAGAAGTAAACTACCAGCCTCACCTTACAGAAAACTACTCACTAAAGATACCACAACTGTGTCAGCCTGGAGATCAGAGCAGAGGGAATCTTCTTTATCACACGAACTCTATAAGGAGGAGATGCTGGGGGCAGAGGGATCTGACAAATGCAGATGCTCTGCTTGCTAGTTAGTATATTAGAAAATTTTCCAGTCTTTTCAATAAAGACTCATTTTAAATAGTCAATATCATACTGTGTATACACATTTGAAACGGGATTTTTTACCTACATGACATTATAAACATTTCCTATATATAATCATCCTAAATAATGGTTGTGAGCAAAAAAGATTCACATAGCATTTCCGTGAATGTTATTATTCCTCTATTTTGGGCATTTTTTGTTCCCAATTTTTGCTGTTAGAAATATCGCTGCAATGAATAATACTGTAGATTAAATATGTGTACACATCTGATGATTTCTTTGGAAGAATTTGAAAATCTGAGAATATTAAATCAAAGGGAATGAGAATTTTAAGACCACCAATCTACTTTCCAGAGATATTGTAGTCATCTACACCCTGAATAGCACATCCTGTTTGAAAGGTACTGTAAGATACAGTTTTTGAAGTCATGGAAAGGACATAAGAAACCATCAGTTTCACCTAAATATAATGGGAGCAGAATAGAAGGCAGGGATTAAAAGTTGCAAATAGACAAGGAATAAAAATGGCTGAGTTCTGTAACAGGAACCACTTTGCAAGGGTTCTCAGGGTAAAACGTGACGGTCAGAAGCAGGGGAAGGAGGAAGATTTGTCTTGAAGCTGTATTCATAGGGTAGCAAAGAGTTTTTACATACACTGTAGGTAATATGTCAATAAACATCTAAATGTTTTTCAACGATTCACAGATTCATCCTTCCCATGAGATTTTAATCTATGAATTATTTGTGTCTGCTATGGCTGGGGAGGTTACCCATGACATTTTTGGGAGAAGAGTTAAAACCACTCCAAGCCCTTCTGTTGCTACCACTGAAGTCTCAACTGTTACTGATCACCCCTCTGTAGGCTTATGGCAGATTTGGGGACGGTAACTAGAGGAAAAATAGACATGGTAGAAGTGCATATATGAAACACATAATTATTAATAAATAAGTAATTAGAAGGGTGCAAAGTACAGGAAAGAAGGAGGTCAGGATGCTCTGGTTACTTTGGTGAGAGATATTTCAGGAAACAATGTTCAGGTTGATACATGATAGATGCATTCAAGTTAGCCAGGTAAAGTGAATAGGAGATGAGAGTCCCAGCCTCAGGCCCAAGGTAGTGTATGCCAGCGTTCAGGGGGCAGAAGATACCCCACATGAGAGCTCCCTAACTATTTAGGTGTAGAAAAATGATTTTAAAAATGAACTTTATAGATAGCAAGTGAATGCAGGATAACAAAGGCATTAACGTAGACCTATTAGCAATATGCTCATATCTAGAGATAAAATTTCTGATTTAAAAGTAATTGAAGTACTTTTCTTTTCTATTTATTTATCTCTATCACACAGGACACAAAAGAACACACAATTATGCTCAATTTTATAGAAAAGCCCGAGAAGAATCTGGGGTAGTGGCATGTTTGCTGAAATCAGGAACAGCTAGAATGCATGCTTTATCTTCATATACTGATCTCATATCTCAGCAGCCTCGGAATATTACAATCAAACACATCTAATGAAATGGTTCCAAAAGTAATTGGAACAAAAGCACAAGCCCAAGTAAAGTGTAATTTGTTAAGCTAGCTAAGAATAAGAGACTTAGTTTATGTTCCAAATGCTACTTTGAGCTGCAATTCTGTTTATACTCCTTATTGAAAATGTCTCTGCTGCTTGAAATCCTGCAGCAGGGATTGTGAAATCCAAATGCAGACTTCAGATCCTATTAAGATGAAAAGGATGCCAGTGACTTGGAGAGTGAAGTTAGAAGTAGGGGTTTAGGAATGCTCTTCCTTGGCAAATATATATATGAAGACTCTGACCATTCCCTTGATTTTTTGAATCACTGTAAAACCATTCACAAAGAAGAAAATGGCAGAGTTTTTGTAAATCCTTTTCCATGTCATTTTAGTTGCTATGGAGAAATTTTGCTAAAATATTTCATAAACAGAAAGGAATAATTCAGTTAACAATGAACTCCAGGATGAAGCAAACAGCACTCAGGAATTCTGAAATGAATAGTCTAATCACTTGATTTGAAAGATGTTTGGGATGTAAATAGGCACTCTAATAGAAGAGCTTTCAAAGTCTAAAATATAGATTCATATATGCCTTGTTATGCGTCAAAAATGAATTTTTTTCTAACAGAGTACAAATGCCATTTGGAAAGTACTGTTTTTAAAAATGGAAAACAGATGAAAGGAAATATATTAAACAAAGATATATCACGCACATTAAAATGTATAAATGTTAAATACATTTATATAGCAGTAACTTAGGTTGAATTACTGCTTAATCAGACTATTACGGATAGTGGAAAAACAATAAAAAAGGTAAATTGCTTAAGGATATTTAATGAGACATGCTTATGAATTGCCTACACTTCATTTCATAACTTTTAAGGTTTTACAGTAATTAATTATTGTCTATAATCTTGACTTTATTTTAGAAAAATGTTCCAATTTCCAGACAAACTGTTTAAATGAACCAAGTTTATTTCATTATTTCTTTGAATTCAGAGCTCTCTTGGCAGTGGAATGAAGTATTATACAGACAATCGCACTCTGATCATTGTCACATTGTCTAGTCATATTCTAAGGTAAACTAGTGAATAAGTTAGAAATTTCAGCAGAACAATTATGGCTTTATATCATTTACTCTTGATGGCTTAGACTGGAGATAGATGAGTTTGGATATGATATCCATTGAGAATATTGAGATATATCCAATTGAGATATCATTAGGCAAACTTCACGGATTGCCTAATGTCTCTAGAATCAAAAATAATTGTTATTTTTTGACAAAACTTCCAATAGTCTCAACAAGACTGAAGAAGGTAGTATTTTTCTCCATTTGTAGATGATAATCAGAATGATTTGTTTACTTTTTAAAGATCTCACATTGAGCTCTATATTTAAACTTTCTACAATCAACTTTCATGAATCTTACAAATTTTTCCACTACAGTGCATTGTTTGATAATACCAAGATAATTTGGTATACATATGGCCACTTTACTTTCCGAAGCTACTAGCTTTTGTATCACATCAAACAATATAAGGGCAAACTCTTGATAACATTACTTTAGCAGTAAGCCAAAATGACTATAGGTTGTGCTTCTGGCAATTTTAGACTAGAAGGTTTCTGACCAAACTTCCAGGTGACAGCATTTAGAAATATTGGTCAAAATATGTAAAGCTTCTGTTTTAAGGCATCAGAAAACTACCAAGGCATTGCATTGTAGGATCAAAATTCAGGAGAGGAGGAAGGAACTGAGAGTTGAGCCCTGTGTTTGCACCCTCTTTCCCTTCTGTGTGATTACCAGCGGCCGAGTGACTGAAATGTTTAGTTGTGCTCTCATCTTATGTTTAAGGCAGGGTTAACAGAGACTGCAATTCTGGGTCCATAAAGGAGGAATTGTCACATTGTGACAGGGCAGGTGTTTACCTGCCCTGTTAAACACCCAGATTACTGGGATAATAAACGATTAAAAAAATGTGTACTTCAACACTTGTTGGATGCAGTTAAAGCCCAGATTTGAAGATAATTTGTAGTCTTAAAAGTATATGTTGAAAACAAAGGCTACAATAATGACCCAAACATCCACTTCAAAAGAAACAAAAGAACAACAAATTAAGCCAAACACATATAAAAGGAACTGATAAAGATAAAAGCAGATATTAATTAAATAAAAAATAAATATGTAATTAGAAGTATCAACAAACCCAAAAGTTAGTTCTTTGAAGAGACTAATAAAATCGATAAATACTTAGCAAAACTAATTAAGAATTTAAGAAAAAAAGACAAACAAAACCAATATAAAAATGACAAAATGGAATATCATTATTAAATTTATGGACATACACATCATAAGCAGAAATTACATGTAAGTTTACACCAAAATATTTAAAAATTTTGGTAGCACAAAAATAAATCAAAGATCTGAATTGTTCCACACCTGCTAAAAATTCATAATGAAAAATTTTCCCATGAAGAAAATAATAGGCTTCATTAGCTTTACCCAACTAAGTTATACAAATAACAAAAGAAGAAATAACTTCAATATTTCACAGAATCCACTATAGAATAGAAATATTGCAAATAGTTCCCAACTTATTTTATGAAAACTACAAAACTTGGACTGGGCGCAATGGCCCATACCTGTAATTCCAGTACTTTGGGAGGCTGAGGCAGGTGGATCACTTGAGACCAGGAGTTTGAAACAGCCTGGGAAACATGGCGAAATCCCGTCTCTACTAAAAATACAAAAATTAGCAAGGAGTGATGGTGTGCCCCTGTAGTCCCAGCTACTTGGGAGGCTGAGGCACGAGTATCACTTGAACCTGGGAGGTGGAGGTTGCAGTTGGCAGTCAGCTCAGATCGAGCCACTGCACTCCAGCCTAGATGACAGAGTGAGACTCTGTCTCAAGAAACAAACAAACAAAAAACAAAACTACAAAACTTAAATACCAACGTCTAATAAGAACATTCAATGATAAAAATCACAGACCAATCTCTCTCATGAATGGCCATGATAAAATCCTACAATAGTGGCAAACAAAATCCAGCAATACGCAAAAGATAACATCACAATCAAGTGGTGTTTCTCATACTAATGTAAGTCTGGTTCAATGTTTAAATACTAATTAATGTAATTTACCTTTTTAATGGAATATAAGAGAAAATGTAAATTATCATTTCAATAAAAATATTAAAAATTAGGCAAAATTGAACACCATATTTTTTTACAAACCCAACTGTTAGAAAACTAAGACAAAAGGTAACTTTTTTGATTTTATAATGATAATTTCAATTATCTAAATACAGAAAAAGTTGTACTTAATGGTGAAATGTTGAAAGCTTTTCTTCTGTGGTCAGGAAGGTGACAAAGATGCCTCCTATCTCTATGTCTACTCAACATTCTAAAGGGTGTCGTAAGCAATACAATCTGGTAAGAAAAAGAAATAAATACTGTGAAGGCTTAGAAGGGAAGAAATGAAAGTATAATTATTTGCTCATGATAAGATTGTGTATGCATAAAATCCAAAATAATGTACTTGATGCATTCTTAGAATTAATAATTTAGCCAGACTTCTGTGTACATGGCCACTCTACAAAAAGCACTTTAACATTTAATGTAAGTAACAGAAAGTGACATTTAATGGAAAGCATCAAACAATTTCAAATAACTAAGAATAAATGTAAAAAATATGTTCATCCTCTACATAGAAAATTGTAATTTATTATTGAAAAATAAAGATTATTTAAATAAATGAAGTCATATATCACATTTATGAATCAGAGGGTCAATATTATAAAACAATAATGACCTCCATGTTGATCTATAGATTAAATGCAATTCCAATATAAATCTCAGAATAATTTATTTATTTGTTTTGTAGAAATCACAAGCTCATTCTAAAATTTGTACTGAAATGCCAAAGGGTAAGAATAGAACCAACAACCACAAAGAAGTGGGAGGACTTATTTCATCAGATATGAAGACTTATTGTAAAGCCACAGTAATTAATCCAACGTCCTTTTGGCTCAAGGGTATATATTTACCAATAGATAAATATATAGCCCAGAAACAGACCCTTGTATGCATGAACTTGATTTATAGCAAAGGAAGCACTGTAGTGCAGTGGGTAATAAAGGTCTTTTCAAAATACTGATGCTGAGTCAATTGGTTATTCGGAGAGAAGAAAATAAATCTTGACCCCTACTTCTCATCATACACAAAAACCAATCTCAAGTAAATCATAGATCTAAATATAAATGGTAAAGCAGTATAGCTTCTAGGAAACAATATAGGAAAATAGCTTCATAACCTTGAAGTAGAGGATATAACAGGACATAAAAAATGCTAATTATAAAAAGATAAACCGTACAACATTAAAAACTTACACCCAGCCAGACACGGTGGCTCATGCCTGTAATCCCAGCACTTTGGGAGGCCGAGGCAGCTGGATCACCTGAGGTCAGGAGTTCCAGACCAGCCTGGCCAATGTGATGAAACCCTGTCTCTACTAAAAATACAAAAATTAGCAGGGCGTGGTGGCATGCGCCTGTAATCTGAGCTACTTGGGAGGCTGAGGCAGAAGAATTGCTTGAACCTGGGAGGCAGAGGTTGCCGTGAGCCGAGATCGCGCCATTGCGCTCCAGCCTGGGTGACAAGAGTGAAACTCTGTCTCGAAAAGACAAAACAAAACAAAACAAAAAAACCTTACGTCCATCTAAATACCCCATTAAGAAAGTAGACAGACCATGTTAGTTAGGGAGGCAGCATCTGCAAACTATATAAATAACAAAGACCTTATATGCAAAATATAAAAAGAGTTATTTCACATCAATAAGAAAAGAAGACACACAACTCAATAGAAAAGCAGTCACTTCATAAGATAAGATATGCAAATGGCCCACAATTATATGAAAAGGTGCTCAACATTATTGTTTTTGGGAACCTTAAGATGCCCCTGCTGGTCTGGCACAGTGGCTCACACCTGTAATCCCAGCACTTTGGGGGACCGAGGCTGGCAGATCACCTGAGGTTAGGAGTTTGAGACCAGCCTGGCCAACATGGTGAAACCATGTACAAAAAAAAAAAAAAAAAAATAGCCAGGTGTGGTGGTGCACACCTATAATCCCGGCTACTCAGGAGGCTGAGGTGGAAGGACCGCTTGAACCCAGGAGGCGGAAGTTGCAGTGAGCTGAGATCGTGCCACTGCACTCCAGCCTAGGTGATAGAGCAAGGATTCATCTCAAAAAAAAAAAAAAAGAAAAAAAAAAAGAAAAGAAAAGATACCCCTGCCTATCTGTCGCAATTACTAAAATAAAAACGTCTGACAATACCAGCCATTGGTAAGGCTGCAGAGGGACTAGAACTGTGATATTTGGTGTTAGGGAGAATAAATTGCTTCAGCTGTTTTGGAAAACTGTCAGGATACAATAAAGCTGAACCTAGCAATGCCATTCCTTTGTTTATATCTAATAGAACTGTTCACATAAAATAGGTACAAAATGTTTATATAACTATATTAGTAACAAATTACGGTCCCCTCCCAACTTAGCAGATTACAATAATAAACATTTATTATCTCACAGCTTCTGTGGTTCAGGAATTTGTGTGCAGCATATCTGGGAGCCTTCAGCTCAAGGTCTCTCATGAGGTTCCAGCAAAGCATTGGTCTTGTCTGAAGGCTGATCATGGTCTGTCTTTGAAGGCTGGAATTGGGGAGGATCTCCTTCCAAGCTCACTCACAGCATTGGCAGTAAGATTCAGTTCCTTGTGGAATGTGTGCCAGAGGTCACCCTCGCTTCCCTCTCCATGGAGCTATCCACAGAGCAGTTCACAACATAGCAGCTGGATTTCCTTCCCAAGTGAGCCAGCAAGAGTGACCAAGAAAATGCCAGTCCTTCAGGAGGCAGCTCCACAAAGAGTGTGACTATTAGGAAACAGCGATCATTGAGAGTTCTCTCAGAGACTGCTGAGCTTATGCCATTATTCAAAGTAGCCAAATAATGGAAACAAGCCAGTAGGATCAATATGCTGTGCTATTGCAATACAGAAGAATATTATACTGCAATGAAAACAAACAATTGCTGTGCAAAGTAACATGGATAATTTTTGCAATGTAATGTTGAGCAAAAAAAAAAAAAGTCAGAGACAAATGACTCCTATTGCATTATCCTCTATGTAATGGCAAAAAAATGGTACAACTAATGTTTGTTTATTTTTGGAAGTGGGGGATGGATTAGTTGCTAGGGGAAGGCATGCAAAGAGATATATCTGGATGCTAATTATGTTTTATTTCTTGACCAGTGTGGTGGTTATATGTGTAATCACTTTTTGATAATTCACTGAGAGGCATACACACATGATTTGTGCACTTCTCCCTCTGTATTTATATGTGTATATACACATATATATATACACATATACATGAATATACACACACTATATTTCCATAAAACGTTTATTTACACATTGATTTTATATACTTGGTGCTTCATGTCCTTGGGTTCTGCAATATATGTGCAGATTCAACCAGTCACAGATCAAAAATACTTGAAAAAAATAACAAAAACAATAAAAATAATATAAATAAAAATTTAAATAACAACTATTTACACAGCATTTACACTGTATTATACCATATGTGTACTCTAGAGATTAAAGTATGTGCATAGATTATATGCAAATTCAAAGGAGACTGCAATACTGCAGAGAAGATTTGTTGTTTGAAGTCTAAGACACCAATGCATCTGACACGCTAATAATTTAGGCTACTTTCTCATGAATAAGTGGACTGAATTGGAATTTTGAGATGTATGTCTGTAGTACCTTACCTCCCGGCTCATTATCTCTTCCCCACCACCTTCTCCAGAAAACTCCTAAGTATCCAAAAACATTGTGATTGAAAGCTGCCTTGAGTTAAAAATGTTAACAAAAGAAGAAGTGTTGCAGGTTTAATATCCATGCAACTGCTTCCATGAAAGAGACATAGGAGAGCCAGAGATGAGAGGATTTATATCCCTAGTGAGAGCAGTGGACAGGGAGGGAAGCGAAGTGTCCTGAGCGAGGGCAGATGTAAGCCTCCAGCCCTAAGAACATCAGGTCCAGAGGTACTTGATGTCTTTACAGAAACCAGAGATTCAATAAGAGCAGAGAGCACACAGAGTGAGCTGAGAGATGTAGAGGTAATGAAGTAGCTGATAAGTCAGAAAAATAAAAAAAAAGTAAAACAGATAAGAAAGACTAGTTGGATAACTTAAGCTGTAGATTGACAAAAGTTGTATTGTTGGGGATAAAAATCTCAGTTCTGCAGAATGTTGAAAGGCACTAAAGCAAGGCTAAAACAGCTTTGACCTGAACTCTTCTCTGATGGAGAAAGACCATGAGTATCCAGGAATGATGGATCTGGAAGGAGAAACTGTGAGGTTCAGTGAGTTAGAAAGATTAGAACTTTCTTTCCTGGTGGAGCCAGAGGGAGAGCAGCTCCATGCTGAGGAAAGCTATAGAGGGTGTAGGGCCGTGTCCGGTTAATTGGCTAATATTAAACGTGACAGCCACACTGCATTTCTGACATTCTAGGCTGTGTGTGGAAGAATGCTTCAGAAAGGTACTCAGGGGAAAGTATGGCCATTATGAGAGAGACTTCTGTTTTCGAGTCCTATCCTAAGGCAATGTATTTCAAGGGTCTGTTACGAGGCTGATTAGAAAGACACCTTCCACAAAATTCTCAGACCTGTGCCTTCACAACCACAAAACTTCCTATCAGGAGTTTTGGGTTCCCCAGGAGCCATGGAATATTGGTAAAATCAATTTTTCCTCAACCAGCAAGTGGATACTTCCTATCTACGTGACTACTCTGTTATTCAAGGAGATTTATTCAAGTACCAAGGTACTAATATTCCTGAATTGCTATAAATGTTGAATTAAAAGAATCAATCAAATGTTATTCATTGAGAAACTTGAGTTGGAATAAGCAATATAGACAGCTTTCGAGGTCTCTATGGTATTAAACACTTCATATACATATTTCATATGGGACAATGATTACACAAGCTTGTATTTGGTAAGAAGGGAACATTTTTCTAAGGTGTTTTCCCAAAGCAGCTTAGCTAGAGGTGCTGCAAAGTAAAGAGCTTAATCATGTGTGGAATAAAAATAAGGTGTTTGTACAAGACGAGCTATAATGGCTAAGATGTCCTGTGCACCCATGGAACCTTGGACTATAGCCTGAGTCTGTATTAGATTCCTTTAATAACTACCATCAAACTTTATTTTACATACATATTTTTAAATAAATTTCTTCTACTAGATGGCCTTGTAGAAGGCCGTGTGTTTGGAATCCCCTGGTAGGCTACCATTTTTGCAGTGTGGTGGAGATAGTGACTCTTGTATGATTTCTCTTCCTTCTTGTGACAGGAGGAAGAAACATTAATGACAGTCATTACATTCCCCCAGACTTTCACATGGAAGGTGAGTTAATTATATTTATTCACACACACATACACATACTCTTCTCTTTCCTCATCTCTTTTTGCTTTTCTTCTTTTTTAGATGCCTGAAGCACTCAGACAGAATTTTCTTGTTTACTAAGAGGTTGGTATTTCAGTTCTCTCTTCTCCTTATAAAAATTATCCTCTCTTGTAGCATTTGAGGCTGGATGGAAATTTCATCTCTTGAAGTTAGAGTTGGGATCTATGCCAGTTTGAGTCATGGGAAGTAAATGTCATTCCTGAAGATGTGAATTTCACCTACCGACATACATTGAGTGCCTCATACCCAATCCACATTGCTAAGCACCGTAGAAGCACAGAGGAATGCAAGATAAGGTCCCTGTGCTCAGGGAGTGTGAAAGATATGCACACACACATCAAACCAAAATACAAAGCAGTCGGTACAGAGGAACACGGAAGGTGAAGAGAGGGTAAGGGCTTTATCATTGTGCGGAAAGGAGACAGTTCCGCTAGCTGTGGTGCTCAGGATAAGTTTAATGGTAAAATAGGCACTTACAGGAGACCTGGCAGTGGATAAGATTTGGATGGACAGAGAGAAGAGACAGCAGGAATTTCAGGTATGTGAGGAAATACATAACCATTCTACAAATGACTCATCATATAAGTCTTTTCCCAGTATAGACAGTTTCTTCTAAATGTAATGTCCCTTTCATCCTGAATTCTTCTAGAGCATTTAAAACCTGATTTGATTTATGCATAGTCTTCTGGAGCACGCTGATAACATAAAGCCAGGTAAGAACTCACATTTATTAGATGTGCTACCACTACACCTATCTTTGACCTCCATGGTTTCAATTTCTAGAGTCATCAACAAGATTGGCTACTAAGGGGATTCTAATAATTTTATCAGGGGTACAGCAGTTCTATTGCTTGCCCTTCAAACTCAGCTTAGATGCAGCCTTCTCTTATTAGGGTGCTGTCCTCCAACTTCTCAAAGCACCCTGTGATTTTGTGCATCATGTCTTTTCCCTTAGGCTCCCCTGAGGACAAGGACTAGAACTTCTTCGTCTTCTCTACATCATCCAGTACCTGGCCCATGGTAAACACTTAGTATTGCTTATTGTGTCAGGCCCTAAACTTTATGCTTTCTATGCCTTATCTCATTTAATTCATCAGCAATTATGTGTTATTATTATTATTGTTACTCACCTTTTATAGATGAGGAAACTGAGGCATGGAGAAGTTAAGTGACTAGCTGGAGGTCACACAGCTGCTACATGTCAGAAGAAAGACTTGAACCCAGATACCTAGCCCTAGAGTCTGTGCTCTTAAACACTGTATTACCCACTCAGCCATTCCTTCAAATAGACAGACTTTTGCTCTGTCACCCAGGCTGGAATGCAGGGGTGCAATCATGGCTCACTGCAGTCTTGAACTCTTTGGCTCAATTGATCCTCCCACCTCAGGCTCTCTGGTAGGTGGGAGTACAGTCACGTGCTATCATGCCTGGCTAATTTTGTGTGTGTGTGTGTGTGTGTGTGTGTGTGTGTGTGTGTGTGTGTGTGTATTTTTTGTAGAGGGTTCCATCTCTGGGGTTCCAGGCTGGTCTCAAACTCCTGGACTCAAGTGATCCTCCTGCCTTGGCCTTCCAAAGTGCTGGCATTACAGGCATGAGCCATCGTGTCCGGCCTTCCTTAGGTCTTTGGAATTATTTGACCACAGTGTGAGTTGCTCCAGAACTAGTGGCTGGAAATCCCAAGTCTCCTCCTTTCAGTTGAGCATAATTTGTATCTTTGGAGATCCTTTTGTTAGGTGGCTGTCTTCTGTCCTGTGTGTACATCCCAGATCTCCTCCTTTCAGTTGAACATAATTTGTATCTTTGGAGATCCTTTTGTTAGGTTGCTGTTTTCTGTCCTGTGTGTACATCCCAGATCTCCTCCTTTCAGTTGAACATAATTTGTATCTTTGGAGATCCTTTTGTTAGATTGCTGTCTTCTGTCCTGTGTGTCCATCCCAGATTTATCTCTGCACCTGAGATGAGGCTTTGTTTATTCTCTGGACTCAGAATCCACACTGAACTCCCACTTAGCATTTTTGAAGTTGACGTTCTCAGGACTTTGCAGGTATTTACTCATTGCTACTAAAATTCTCATCATTATCATTAGTTTTTCTTAAGTTACCACCTCATTAAGTTCCTTTGAGAAATTTTACACCTCTGTTCTCTAATCATCTGGAAAAACACTTTATTGCTTAAAAGTCAGCAGATATGAACATGTAACTATTTAGTGTATAATAATCATAAATTAAAAATTCATCTTAGATTTTGCAGAAATAAGTGGAATATATTCCAGCCATTTGAAACTATGCTTGTAAAGTATTTGCTGAGTTTTTATTTTATTTCAGATTCTATGTTTTTGCTCTTAATTTTTTGTTTCTCTCTTTATTCATTTTCCTTGTGCCGATTGAGCCAAGTGATTGAATACAGTCACCATAAGGGGATGGGCTGTTTGCTGCTTTGACTGGGGTAGACTGTTCTTCCAGGACAGTGCTCGCTTAAGCAGCTGTCTTATATAGAACTGGCATAGGCCTGGGCAAGGTGGACTTCTGCCTACAGGAAGTGCTTGGCAGGCCTTTGGCAGGGTTTCCCAGCTTCCCAGAAGAGGTCAGGAGAACTCTTTCAGGAGTTCCTTATCTTGGACCCAAATTTCCACAATTCTCACCCCTCCTGTGGAGTAGACTACAATCGCTGGTATTAACACCAACTGTTTCTCTCCTATGAGAGCTGATAATGATAATGTTGATCTCACCGGGTGGTAATGGTTGGTCAGATAAGGAAAGAACACAAAGATTTGAGGTAGTGAATCTCTCTGGACAGTGAATAAATAATATTGCATTCAAAAGAGAGTATTCAATACAGTCATTTTATCTCTGCAATGATTTATTTAACAAGAACATTTTTAAAAATCCAAGAAATAGCAAACCAGTAGAATGAGTGCTGTAGGATTTATGACAAAATACAGCCCTAAGTATGCTCCAAAGTTTCCATCAGCTCCTTCTCCTCATTTCCCTCCCCTTCTCCTTGACCTCTGTCGGAAGGCCTTCTCTCTCCTTCCTTTTCCTCCTGTTGCTTTTCTTCTTTCTCTCTGTCTCTCCTTTTTTTTTGTTTCTATTGACAGAAATAAATGGAGAGAAAGAAGAGGAGTGGATCAAAGAGATGGGATAAGATTTGAAGAAGATCAATCTCTTGATTTCTAAGTAGGAAGAAATCAGGACAGAAGGAAGAGACACTAAGGAGAAAAGAGAGCAAATGGGTACTTTGCTGAGTGCCACTAGATGTTTCAATGTTGAGAAGAGCTTGCATAAAGGTTGCTTAAAAATACATTACATTAAGTAGAAGACTTTTCTCTCCAGAATGTAAGACAAACAGAAACAATCAGAAAAGGATTATGGCATCAGAGGACAGCAGAGTCTTTTTTCCTTGGAGAAAGAGGGAACCAGATACCAACCTGGCCTCCTCAACCATCGCCTAGGGCCAGAGCAGCTGCTCGGTCTGTTCTACTTGTTCTAGTAGCAGAATTTTGGTGATTCCCTCATACTTGCCCTTTGAAATCTAGGTTTCCCATCCCTGCTGCCATCTGGCATTCTCCCTGCTGTGTAGTCTCTCTAAACATGGGTTAGGCTAAGCCAGGCAAATGCTTCTCTACAAAGAGCAAACCGTCTCTCCCTTCCCTTGGAAAGAGCACTGAACCTGGAAATGGATATGGGCAAGTGCCACAGAGAGCCAGCTTACTATAAAAAGATTCAGATTTGCACAATGGACAAAGAGCTCCTCTTAGTATTCAGTTCTTCTTATATATTTTAGATGTAACTGGATTTGTATACACACTCATACATACACATGCAAAGACATGTTAGTCTGTAGCTTGTCAAGAATCGTTTTGAGGCTGGGTGCAGTGGCTCATGCCTGTAATCCCAGCATTTTGGTAGGCCAAGGCAGGAGGATTGCTTGAGCCCAGGAATTCAAGATCAGCCTGGGCAATATAGGGAAACCTCATCTCTACAAAAAATTGAAAAAGTAGCTGAGTGTGGTGGCGTGCATCTGTAGTCCCACCTACTTTGGAGGCCAAGGTGGGAAAATCATTTGCGCCCAGCGGGTGGGGGTTGCAATGAGCCAAGATCATGCCACTGCACTCCAGCCTGGGTGACAGAGTGACACTCCTTCTCTTAAAAAGAAAAAAAAAAAAAGAAACCTAATGCTTAGAGTAAAGAGCATCTAAGGAAAGATGGTTATGTTTAATTTCAAATTTGTCAGGGCTGTGTATTTCCTGTCTGCTTCTCTTTTCTTTCTCTTTTTTTAATCTGGCCATCAGTAATTTATGAAAATATATAATTTTCATTGTAATTCAAATAATACCTACCATAGTGCCCAGCATGGTCACATGGTCTCTGCTGTGGGGAACTTACAACTTGGCAATAGGCATGCACATAATTAAGCAATAAGTCCTATAGTGTCCAAAGGAAATGAAGACTCTTTACCCTGTTTGCTAATTTATGAATCAATTTAGTCTTCCTCTTGTGACTTTCCTTTTTGGAAGATTTTCTTAAACTCAGTGGATACGCTCAATAGTGTCTCTAAATTATGTTTTTACCTGTTTGTTTGCATGTGAAATTTAATTCTAGTTTTCCCAATTTGAAAGAATTTACCTAAAATGTCACATGCTGGATTCTGTGAATGCCATGCCCGGTGCTAGTCACAGAGGCTGGGAATTCCATGGACGGCCCAGGGATCTCAACACAATGTGCTGAATGATGGTTCTGCTCCAGGTGATGTGCTAAATGCTGCAACAGGGATACAGCCCCATCTTCAAGGAGCTTAGAATGTTCTAGAAAGGACAGATTCAAATGCCACAAATGTGCACAAGGCAGGCAGAAATTATTTCTGACCAGAGAGAATAAGCAAGGCTTTATGGAAGAGACATGATTTGGGTAGGTTGAAAGATCACTGAATGGTGAGGAGGTAGTAAGATACAGAAGTAAGAAAATTTCAGGAAGAGACAGAGAACCAAAAGAAATCCATAGAGGGAGTGTAAGGGACACTGCCGTGAGTGCAAGGGACACTGCTGTGAGTGCTTAGATAAGCTTGAATTGTTGTCAGTTCATGTTGATCTGAGTGTAAACTTGGGCAATATTTGTATATTTTCCTATTTTAGTCTGCAGCTCTCTTGCAAGAAAGGTGTTTAGAAGAGTCTATTTCCAGAAACCTCTTTGGAGATGCAAGCCTGGCAGCTGGCATGATAATGAACCCATTTCAATAGAATAAATCCCATTACTATTAATATTAAGCAACCACAGAATGATTCATGAAGCTCTTTTCAAAATTCAAAAAAGTGCTTAATCAAAAGGAGGGGGAGGAGAAAGAATAAATAGAAATTATGTCACGAGTTGATTATTGTTGGCGTTCTTTAAGAGTCAGTTCCACTGTTTCTCAGGCTGACTGCAGCAGACGTAGAGGGCATTGATTTATTTTACTAAATAAAACTGTCCATTTGGACTGATAGAGAAAAATTTAACAAAAGGCCCTAAATGTCCAGAGAGTTAATTGATTTTTAAGCAGGTCACACAACTGCCCCAAGGTTTATAAGTTCTGTGTTCAGGATTTTTGATATGTTTCCAGCTTATGAATTTTCTTTTAGCCTCTCTCTCTCTTTCTGTTTCTTTATGCTCACCTCTTTCTGCTTTTTGTTTCTCAACAAATAAATACCCCTATTTTCTCTTGTTACAAGAGAAGCTTTTCAGGTAAGCTCTTGATTACTCAGGTAAGACTGAAAATAAATTTTAAATCTAAGATCTCATCATTACAGAGGGTCCCATGAGACAAAATTGATAAAACAAATTTACAATTGAGAGAACGAAAGAAAGTTACAATTTTAGGTAAGAAGGACACTAGAATGGAAGCCTGTGGGCGGCTGTATTACTCTATTTCCAGGGCAGGAAATGAGGATAAGTTGTCGTTCCCGCCTGTAATTTTTTCCAACACTCTTCTGACTGTGTTCCCTGTAAGAGTTTCTATAAAGCCAAAAGTACGCCTTTCAAAGGAGCTCCATGAGATTTAAAGAATCCTACAGGGTACCGGAGATTGCAGTAACTGTTACTATAGGCACCACCCACATCAGCACAAAATGCAGGATCAAAGTCACACTGATGTCTCCTTCCTCTCTGTTCTGCAAACTCAGCCAGCCTTGGATTTCAGGCTGAAATCTGTTCTCAGAAAAGGCAACCAACCCCCTTCATCCTCTTTCAGTTATTTTTTTTTCCTCCACCAGATTTGTACACTTTTAAGGGGCAAATCCTGCTGTATCAGTTATCTCTTGCTGCCTAAAAATTACCTCATGATTTAGTGGCTTCAACAACAAACACTTATTATCTCACAGTCTCTGTAGGTCAGGAACCAGGTGCAGCTTGGCAGAGGGCCCTTCACGAAGGTGTGATTGAGGTGTCTGCAGTGGATGATCAGTTTCCAGGTTACTGTCCTGGTGGCCGGCAGGCCTGGGTTGCTGTCTGCTGGCTGGAACATCACTGCTTTCACAGATGGACTTTCCTTAGAGCAGCTCACAGCATGGCAGCTGGCTTCCCTCAAAGTGAAGGAGAGAATGAGAGAGACCACTCAAGATGGAAGTCAGAGTGCTTTTGTAACCTAACCTTGGAAGTAAAATTTCTTTACTTCTGTCATATTCTATTTTTTGAAAGTAAATTGCCAGGTCCAGCCCACTCTCAAGGGGAGGACATTGCAAAAAGGAGGTGGACCTCATGGCAGCTGTCTTAGAGGTGTCTCCCACACATGCTTGTGACTTATTGCAAACCCACACACTCCAGGAGAGAAGCTCTTTGAGGACAAGGGCTGGTGCCACGGCATCTTGATGTCGTTGACATTCTCTGTTAGTTTGTCTTTTTTGGGATACCAAAATACAAAGGCTTTCCATATCACCTTCCAAAAATGGGAGTTCATCTTAAGGAATTCTCAGATCAGTCTCACCAAGGAAAGTCTGTCTCTGGCCATCTGAGTGGTTCTTTTTCCTTCCCACCCCTCCTTGGATGAGTGCTCATGGCTGTCCCTTCACAGCCTTGCATTCCACATGCTCATTGTGGCCAGCCTTTCTACATCTCTGGCTCTACATCTCTCTGGCTCCTTTCTACATCCACTCTCATTGCTATCTGTGACTTTCTTCCCAGAGCCTCACACACCTTCTAAGGTCACACCTCTACTGGAGCACGGCCAAGTAGGTCAAGCCCCGCCTTGTTCCATCCCATTCAGAGGCTCAGTCCAAATGGACCCCATAGAGTTTTCAGCAATGATTAGTGAATGATTCTGTCTCCTGTCACTAGCCTTCTGCAACTGGGAAGAACCTTCCCCCCACCACTGCCAAGAACATTTTCTCTCATTCCCTTCTTGCTCTCCATCTGCTCATAGCAGGTCACTTTCCCCAATCACCCACTGCTGTCTGAGCTTTTCTGCTCCACCTGCCTTTCAGAAATCCATATGTATAGATTTTTTTTCTTTTGATTCCTTGTCCATTTTCTCAGTTCTTCATCACAAAAGGATAAAGGAGCTATTTTGACAAAGGCAGAGCCCTCTGCACAGAGGAAGGAATTAAGGGGTCAAGAGATACCTAAGGAGTGGGTGAGGGGAGGAGTCTGGGGTGCCACACATTTGCTGATACAGCTGTGGTTGTGTTGCTTTTCACATTCTTCAAGGACTTATAACTGGATAGACCAACTCACCACTTCGAATCAGCACTAATTAGGTGACCAACCATAATCTAGATGTTTTTCCCTTTCATCAGGGGACATTTGTTGGTCCACAAATCTTTGGAGATCCTGGGTTGTGGTATACGTAATGTGGTCATTTAGGTAGCACGGCCTGGGGGATGAGGCAAATCCCCTTAGAATCAAGTATTATCAGGGAAGGCAACGATTAAGTCAAGCCAATACATTCCTAATAAATGCAGAAAAAATAATCTGCATATGCATTAAAAACCCAAGAGGATACTGGTTCAGTAGAGATATCTAAATGATGTGAACTTATATAAGAGTAGACTGTCAGCAAAAGAATACATATATTCCAGTGGAATGGTGATCAGACTCAAAGTTTTGGACAGCATGTCTTCAGGGAAAGGCTTATCCTGATCTTTATCAATACAGGACTAAAAGAACACAACTTCTTCCAAACTTTCATACAAACTGATGGCAATAACCAAAAACAACTATTTTAATAATCACATTAAGACAATAATAATATCTGATGAATGCTTATTGTGCACAAAATAATTTTATGTGCACTAATTTATTTAATCACCCCAACAACTCAATGAGATGGTTTGATTGATATACTCATTTTACTCATGAGAAAACTGAAGATCATGAAGGTTTAGTTACTGGCGTAGGTACAGGTACAGGTGCTGAATTCAAACTCCAGGAAAATATGTTTGTCTCCAAACTCTACACTTGTACCCACTATACTGCACTGCATTCAAAACACCAATATTGTAGGAACATCAAATGATTACATGTCAAAGAACACTTTAACAGAAACAAGTATGTCTCTGAAGTAAAATTAGCTCTTACTCTTCCAAATTGAGCAGCTTCTTAATAAATAATTTTGTCTGAGCTAATTCTCTGTGACTGTTAAGAATTTGGTGAGCAGGCTGGGCAGAGAGTGGGGGTTTCTGTGTAGATGCAGCCTGGGCTTTGCCACTTCTAGATCTATGATGTGGGGTCATGTTTCTCCTCTTTCTGACTCCTCTATATAATGAGAGCAGATTTATCTTGCATCATATGTGTCTTTGAAGAAATGTGTGATAAACACCAAGCAAGCAGCACTTAATAAATGAAAGCTACTGTCATTATTGCTACTGAATAATTTCAGAGCTATGTCTAAAGAGGAGATCATGCTGAGAAGGCTTACAAAAGTTATTAAGGTAGGGTCTACACAGGATCAAAGGATCTGGAAGGAACTATTAGGAAAACATCTTTTTTTTTTTTTTTTTTGAGACGGAGTCTTGCTCTGTCACCCAGGCTGGAGTGCAGTGATGCAATCTCAGCTCACTGCAACCTCTGCCTCTTGGGTTCAAGCAATTCTCCTGCCTCAGCCTCCTGAGTAGCTGGGATTACAGGTCCATGCCACCACGCCCAGCTAATTTTTGTGTTTTCAGTAGAGAGGGGTTTCACCATGTTGGCCAAGCTGGTCTCGAACTCCTGACCTTATGATCCACCCACCTCGACCTCCCAAAGTGCTGGAATTACAGGCATGAGCCACATGCCCAGCCAGGAAAACATCTTAATATTTACCTGCCTGGTGCTGGATGCTCAGCTGTCCTCCAGCAGCTGAGTGATGAGCTGAGATTTTCCACATTTTACCTGGGGCATAGACAAAGTCCCTGTTTTTCTACATTTCTTCTTATGAGAATAAAAATAATTCTTCCCATGAACTACACAAAAATGATAGGAGGGTTTGCATTTTAAAGTGAGTTGACCTTTTACCTACAAATAAGCCCCAACTTTATAATTTATAGACTAGACACTTTTTATCATTTTTAAAGGAGTAGTTTATTCCTGAAATTCCCTTCTGTCCAAAATTATATATGCTGCATTCTTAAATATTTAACTGTAAGTGTCCCGATTTGTGAGAGGGCTTGCCATTATTTCTGTGGTGGGGAATTGAGAATAAGGATACAAGATCCATGAACGTCAAATCTATAATCCATGGAGTACTATTGTGTGAAGCGTGTACTAAGAGATATTATTTTTTTGTTTAACTCCTTTAGGCTTTTCTCTTTCTCATTTCCATGCCTGTCTTCCCAGCATTACCCAGCTTCATTGTTGCCTTGAACTCCCATGTCAACTGGAGAAAGAATTTCATGAATATAGTGTTTATGTGGGTTTCTTTTCCCTATAGAATGTATGGCAGGAAACCAAAGTTGTCACTTCTACTTTCTAACTAATAATGCCGATACAAAATAATTTTAATTTTCCAGCTTGGCACATCTTTTCAATCAGTAGAACTTGCAAAGTGAGGTGGAGTGGTAGAGAGAGAGATAGAAGATCAGAAGGCAGATGGCATCTGTGCAGTAGAGGAAGCGTCTAGGGAGCCTCTCTTTTTCTATTACTCTAAACACCATAAGGAGGAGCCAATCTTTATGCCATTGGTCACCCTCAGGAATCTGTGGCAGGATCAAGTCAGAAGAAATAAGATGAGAATTTCATGTCTCCCAGGAAGGAAAATAATGGCTTGTTTTCCCTTACAAACCCTGGCAGTTCTTCTTTCTTGAGTGTAATTATATGAGAAGTACAAAGAACATTACATGACTTAGGGAAATGCCTCCATGCAAGAACATTTATTTGATGCCTCATTAGAAAGGAAACTAGTGCCTTGACAGAAACTGCTTTGCTTTTAGGATAAGTTAATAACCAGCATGAAGCCTGCTATCTAGAAGAGGACTGACCCACCCAAAGCACCCAGACTGTCATCCCACCCAGGTATCTGGGGTTGAGAGGATCATGGCACAACCCTTCTCAGGCATTCTCAGCCTAGGCATCTGCTTAGGGGCGCTTGCCTCACTTTGTCGTGAAGATTACCGTGAGGAATCTGGTAGTCCACAAAAGTGACCCTCCTTGACAGTTCTGCCTTTTGAAATGTCATAACTACAAACTGTGGGGAGGGAACAAAAGCTGTTTCCATCAGTTGTGTGGGTTGGGTGATGGCATCTTTGATGCTTAGAAATATGTGATTAATTTCCTCTTCAACAGAAGAAGGGACCTCCAGGCTAATTGCATTATTGTTACTTGTTCTGAGCTTCCTCCCTTTACAGCTCTCACTCAACAGTGGTGTGATATAGTTATTTTCTCATATACACAACACTGTTAATAATGATTTACACGTCCTGTTGCTGCTGCTTTCAGAGCAGCAGTAAAGAATCTTCTTGCTTAAGTGCTGGGATACAACTTTTTAAGTTTTGCTAAGTATCCTTCCAGGTTGGCAGCAATATGGATGAGGTAACAAGCCCAGTTTATCTGATGAGAATTTTTTATGCTTGTGCCGACAACATACTATGCAAACCATATGCAATTTTCAAAAGGTGTGTTAGAGCTGGCATCAGTTTTTGTCTATTTGGAAGGTTCTAGCTGTCATATGTTTTTGCTGCAGCATAAAAACAAGCCACCCCAGAGACGCAGAGCTGGCACCTCAAGCGGAAGGCTGGCTACGTTGTTTCCACTTGATCTGAGCTTGCCGCCATTGAGATGGAAGATACTGCTTCCCTTGGGGAGGAGAACGTTGTGTGCCATGTGGCGCTGGAGAAATTCATGTGGACGCTGCGTGACTATTTGCTGGGGATTTTGTAGAGAAGATGTTAGCACTCTGAATGGTTAGACTTTCAATATTTCATATTTGATTTCTCCAAAATACCCAGAATGACTGAGGAGACTAAATATTTATCCTTAAGCTGATAAAGGCAGGTAGTATGAAATTACCCTCCGCAAACATACAATGTCTTTGAAGTTGTAAAAGCCATGCATAATTTACAACTTAAATCAAAATATATTTGTGTTTATGCTAATATGTTCTATTCTGATTATTATAGTGCAAGGACTAGAAATTAGTTGAACAAGTTAAGTAAAATGGCCAGCTTATGTTAAGTGAATCCATCTCGTAGAATCCAAGAACAGTGAAGGCGGGGGAGCTGCATGTTGTCGGGTGCTGGAGAGCTGTCGGGAGTGAGGGGGCTCTTCCCATTTCTCAGGGCTGCTTGTGTTTCCTCTCAGCTCCTCTCTGTGGATCTGCTCTCTGACATTTATATGTGGTTCAAAACAGAACCCTTCACTTTTGGGTCTATTCAGTCTTTTAGTTCCAGCCTTCAAGATCAAATATCTACAGCCTCTTAGCTCAAAATTGGAATGGTTATGCTCATTGGACCAGGTGGCTATCCCTAAAGCAAATTATTTAAGGTTGGAAAGGCAGCGTATACAGTTGGTGTTCCAGGGACTAAGGGTAGGACAGGTCAAACTACAAGGGGGAGTCCTACATACAAAGCAAATAATCTATAAGTAAATGTGATGTTCCAAGTTACTTTCCATCCTGAGAAGTCAAAGACAAACAGCAAAAAGTATTTCACTTTCTCCTGTACCTTAGTGTATAGCATGGAACTAGACAAGGTCTAATTTGAAGCTAAATTCCAGATTGTGTGCTCTCTCCCAGGGCCTGAATAATGTAATTCTTTCACAAAAGGAAAAAAATAGTAATTTTACTGTGAAAAGTAGAATAATATTTGTCAGACCAGACCTCATGTATTTTAGCTGTGTGCTCTTAGAATATAAATACAAAATGTAAAGAAAAGTAGTTTTTGAAGTCACCCTCCAGTTTAGTATGAAATGTAATGGCGTCTTCAAACTTGGGTGATGTTTACATCTTAAAATAACACTGTTGTTGTGATGAAATATATTACATAAAATTTACCATTTTAACCATGTTTGAGTGTACAGTTCAATGGCATTGAATTGTAGATATTTTACTCTTTCGGAACCTATTGTAAATGTGATTATTTGTTGGTGTATAGAAATACAACCAATTTTCTGTGTATTTGATCTTATACTCTGCAAATTTAATAAGCTCATTTGTAGCATTTTTTTTAAGTCTTTTGGAATTCTCCACATTAGGATCATGTCACCTGTGAATAGATAGTTTTATTTTATCCTTCCCCATTTGGATGTCTTCAATTTCTTTTCTGGCCTAATTTTAACAAATATGTATCATTTTAAATATGTCATGTAAATATATCAGTTATTTAAATATATCATTTCCTTGCCTCTAAATATATAATTCTGCTCTTTAAATATACCTTTCCTCTTCCTTCTAGTCTCCATTATTTCTGAAGATGAATTTACTGTTAAGATTGTTGAGAATGACTTGTATATAACAAGTCATTTCTCTTTTCTGCTTTCAACATTTTTCTTTGGCTTTGGCTTTTGATAGCTTGATTGCATGTTTTGATGTGTATCTCTTTGAGTTTATCCTACTTGGAGTTCATTGAACTTCCCGGATGCATAGATTTATGTAATTCATCAAATTGGGGCAGTTTTTAAACATTATTTTTCAAATACATTTTTATCCATTTCTCTTTCTCTTCTCTTTCTGGGATTACCACATGGCATATATTGGTCTATTTGAAAGTAGCCCACAGATACCTTAGGCTTTGCCTACTTTTATTCATTCCCTTTCCTCTCTACATTTCAGAGTCAATAATTTCAGTTGTCCTACCATCAAGTTCACCAATTTCTTCTTTTTCATGCCCAAATAAACTGTTGATTCCCTCCAGTAAATTTTTCATTTCAGTTATTCTATATTTTATTTCAGTAACTTATTAAAAAATATTTCCTCTTTATTGACATCCTCACCTTGTTCATACATTGTTTTCCTTATTTTCTATAGTTCTTTGTCCAATGTTCCCCTTAGCTCCTTGAACACATTAAGACAGTTTTTTTAAAGTCATTGTTGGCCAGGCACAGTGGCTCACACCTGTAATCCCAGCACTTTGGGAGGCTGATCACTTGAGGTCAAGAGTTTGAAACCAGCCTGGATAACATGGCAAAACCCTATCTCTACTAAAAATACAAAATCTAGCCAGGTGTGGTGGTGCATGCCTGTAGTCCCAGCTACTCAGGAAGTTGAGGCAGGAGAATTGCTTGAACCCAAAAGATGGAGGTTGCAGTGAGCCAAGATCGCAGCACTGCACTCCAGCCTGGGCAACAAAGCAAGACTCCAGCTCAAAAAGTAAATAAAATAAAGTCATTGCCTAGTAACTCCAATGGTTGGGCTTCCTCAGGGATCATTTCTGTAAACTTATTTTGTTTTTCCAATAGGCAATATGTTCTTGCTTCTTTGTATGCCTTATGATTTTTCCTTGAAAACTGAACATTTGACTACTATAATATAGAAACTCTGGAAATCAAGTTTCCTCTCTTTTCCAGGGTTTGCTCATTTGTGAGTGTTAAAGGTTTAATTTGTTTAGTGACCTTTCCAAAATGCTTTTGGAAAGACTGTATTTCTCGTTTGTGGTTACTGAAGTCTCTGTTCCTTGAGTCACCCAGCTAATATTATATATATATATAATATACACACATATATGTATTACACACACATATATATGTATACACACACATATATAAAAATGTATGTGTGTGTAGTGTTCAGCTGATAATTTGGCAGTGATTTTCTTGAATGCCAAGTGTTTAAAAAAATAAACACCTCTTGCCATCTTTGCAGATTAGCTATGTGTCCAGTTACCCCTTCAACGGTTAGGCTTGACTTGCACTGAACTTAAAGATCAGTCAAAGATTAAGATCTTCTGAGGTCTTTCTAGAGAATGCATCTCGCTTTGGGCATGTATGTGGCTTTCTACATTCCCCTATATAATACAGGGCTGCCTTTTAATTCCCAATTTACTAAAGAAGCTCTCTCCAGCTTTTCTTCTGAGGCCTTAAGCAGTCTATTACATGTTTCGTTTCTCCTTCTTTTTTTAAAATTTTTTTATTTTTTGACAGGGTCTCACTCTGTCGCCCAGGCTGGAGTGCAGTGGTGCATGGTTCACTGTAGCCTCAACTCCTGGGCTCAGGTTATCCTCCCACCTCAGCCTTAGCCTCCTCAGTAGCTGGGACTACAAGTGTGTACCACCACACCTGGTTAATTTTTTTTTTTTTTTTTTTTGGTAGAGGTGAGGTTTCACTATTTTGCCTAGGCTGGTCTTGAACTCCTGGGCTCAAGTGATCCTCTCACCTTGGCTTCTCAAAGTGCTGGGATTACAGGCGTGAGCCACTGTGCCTGGCCTTGCACGTTTCAACTATATCTTACCATAGCTCACTATAAGTGGTTGGTTAGCCTAGCAGAGGCTGCCATCTTTAATACTGCTACAGATTTGACTTGTGCATGGGGTAAGAAAAAGAAAAACTGCTACAAAGCTTTTCTGTCATTTTCATGTTTCCTTTTCCTGATTCAGCATTCTCTCAGTTGCTATAACATTTTGAGAGTGTTCTGACAATGTTGATTTTGAAAGTTTCTGTTTTTTAAAAATGTTTCTGGGAGTGGGGCAGGAACTTGAAGTCGCTACTCTGCCACTTTGCTGATGTCATTCCAGTATGGCTGATTTTATTTTTAATTATTTTATTTTATTGAGATGGAGTTTCACTCTTGTTGCCCAGGCTGGAGCGCAATGGCACAATCTTGGCTCACCACAACCTCAGCCTCCCGGGTTCCAGGGATTCTCCTGCCTCAGCCTCTTGAGTAGCTGGGATTACAGGCATGCGCCACCACACCTGGCTAATTTTTTGTATTTTCAGTAGAGACGGGGTTTCTCCATGTTGGTCAGGCTGATCTCAAACTCCCGACCTCAGGTGATCTGCCCGCCTCGGCCTCCCAAAGTTCTGCGATTACAGGCGTGAGCCACTGCGCCCGGCCTTTCATTTTTTTTTTTTAAATGTATTTGGTTTACTTTTAAAGCAGGAGTTGACAAACTATAGCCTGTGTACCACATGAGGCCTGCTGTCTGCTTTACTAAAGTTTTATGGGAATAACCATGGTCATTTATTTATGTATTATCTATAGCTTCTTTCTTGCTGTAACAGCGAAGTCAAGTAGTTTTAACAAAGACCCTATGGGCTGCAAAGTCAAATATTCACTATCTAGACCTTTACAGAAAAAGTTTGAAGACCATTGTTTTGAAGTAAAAGCTATTCTGGTGGACCCATTATTGTTTACTTAAATTGTTTTCTATGTAATATGACTTAAATATGTATAAACAAGTAAACCGTGTGTACTTATAGCATTCACAAATGTTTGAAACAAAAACAAATTTTAAAACAAAACAAAACACCTTAAAAACTTAATGCAGTTAAAATGAACTAACTTAATCTAATGTGAGGTTCCTTTGATAAGACAAAATTGGTGACACTGGCTTTAAGTAGAGAAATTATTCAACTTCATTTAGTTCTTGCGGACTTGATTTTATTTTCGACTGTGAAAATGATTCCTTTGAATTTTATTTATTACCATTTTTATTTTTATATTTTTTAACAATGAGCTTACTAAATATCATTGCAAAGTTACTTCAGTTTGAAAGCAAAACCATTTGAATTGTGCATTTTTCTTAGTTTGGGTCCTCAGTAGCATGCTTGGAGGGTAAGCTTCTCATGAAAGTGATATATTTGAGAAGTTTTCTCAGGAGAAACTAAGGAAAGAATGGTAGAAGCAAGATGGGGAGAAGAAAGAATCCAAGCAAAGGCTTGATTTTATTAGAAGTTCTAGACTTAGCCTGATCCTACTGGGAGCTCTGAAATGTAAGGTAAACCTCAGGGTTTGTCCAGAGTTAAAACCAGAAAGCTGGGTTTTCATTCTTGTGGAATCACTCTGACATTGCCTAAGGATGCCTAGGACATACGAACTCCAAGGAATTTGTGGTTCCCTGCAGCTGTAGACAAAGTGGTTTCAGTAGCCAAACAACAGTTCCATTAACACAGTTACAAGTGTCATTTCTTAATGAAAAGAGTGCACAGAAACCAGAGGAAGTGCTGCACAGAAACATTGAGAGGAATCTCAGGGAACCCGAGGAGAACACTGTGTCTGCTACACACTCTTAAATAGAATGCTAGATAATGAAGTATATAATGAAAAACTATTTACTGTATATTTGACACTGTATTATTGCTTTTCTGATTGTAAGTAAATATGAACAGAACAATATGTTGGCCCACACTGTGAATACAATACTGACTGCTGTGGTGCACGTTTTCATTAGTTTAGGATATCTATACTGCAATAAACTGTGAGAGGACTGAATTCTTTCACCATATTTTTCTACTCAACTGGCTGCACAATTTTCACTTGTACAGTGCACTGGCATGCCATTTGGCTCCCACTTTGAGAGGATGCATTATTTACACATTAAGTCCTCTTTCCTTTTCTCATTATCTCTCAGCTAGTAAAGTAATATATTTTTCTGACATGTTATGTGCTTTCTGTGGTGTCAAATCAAAATTTTGATTTAATAAATAATTTATAAAATTAGGTCTTACTGTAAAGAGTGTTTTTCACTTGTGAATTATCTCCCTCATTTCTGTCACCTTTATATCAAGTAAAATAAGTTCATAAGTTCCATGGCAAATGAAGAATGATTATGTCATTTTGATGTTACAATATGATGACTCCAGGGTGGACAGACATGTTCTGCAACATGTTAAAAATTAAACGCTATCACTCTACATGGCCATTTGACTCCAACACATTCATAAAAACAAATCAAACAGAAACACTGAGACTAAAATTTGATAACAATGCATTTTCTAAAATATTATCACAAAATAAATTTACTTAATTAAAAACTATTATTGCAAACTTGTGGACTCCTGACAATACTTTGGCAGGTTCCATAGGGTCTGAGGACATGATATGTAATACCATTGACTTTAGACTTGCATGTATGTGGCTTTGTACTGTTTTTTGAATTGCCTCATGTATACTTAGTCTCCCAATTAGAGTGTGGTTATTGAGAGCAGAACTTTATCTTCTATTCCTTTAGAATCTCCCTAAGTCACGTAGGGTATGATTTGTACATAGCATAGCACATGCTTGGTGAGTCATATAATGCCATAGCTAGGAGGAATTCAGATAGAAGCCTAAACACTTCACATGCCATTTGAAATCAAGGCTTGGAGTTGGAGACTATACAGATGTGTCATCAGAAGATCTGGGCTAATCAACCATCGACCTCTTACTAGCTGTATAAAAATGCACAAGTTCAACTCTCTCATATATAAAATAGGAATAATAAAATTAATAAGGAGACTTTAGTTTCAGTTCCAAAACATGAAGAACTTGGAAACTGTCAACTCCTGTCCTTTCAACTAGAATAAGCTGGGAAAAGTGAAATCAACAGAGAAATAAATAAACCAGGCAAATTGCCACCATGCAACCTGGAATGACAGGTGCATTCAGAGAGACACAGCATCCAAGATTTTCTTACCTGGGGCAGAAGCCACTGGGCTACATAAATCAGTAAGAAAACACTTAGACATTAATTCTGACAAATAGATGAAGGCCAGGCATGGACTAGTGTGAGCATGAGAAACTCCTAAGGACTACAGACATAGGGGAGCCCCACACACTTGTGGACTTCACCTGGAGGAACTCCACCAGGTTCTCATGGTGAGGGTTTGAGCAAGATCCCCTTGTGGCCCTCAAAGAAGAAGGAATGACAAGCCACCGTGAAACATTTCTAGATGGTTCACCTAACAAGGGCACTGACTCCAAGGGAAGGGATTCATCACAGAGAGATTCTCAAACTTCATCTCACCTGGGTAAAGAAATTCCACCCACTCCAGCCAGTCTTACCAAAGGGGTAAAGGGGAACACAGTCAATAAGGGAAATGGTTTTCAAAAAATTTGTTGGAAAGGTTGTATCCAAAAAATGAGGAATGAGCTATACCTCTGGAAGAGGAACAGAAACACACGTGAAGGACACAGCCCTAAGACACAGCATTCTTATAGTCAGATAAGACTCCTCACACCTCACCTTCATACTCTCCCCCACACCCCACCTCTGCCCTGACAAGCCTCCAGTATAGGAAGAGCGGTTTATAGCCAGAAGAACTGCAAGACACAGATTCCCTGAGAGAAGCAGAGCAGGAAGCTGCAAGGCCAAAAGGGGAGACAAAAATAAGATCACTTGACGACTTTGCAATGTCTAGTATCTCTAGTTTCAACAAACTTTAAACACAGTTCAACTTCTACCAGCTTAACCAATCTTCACATAAAAAGCTTATTTATCTCAATTCTTATGACCCATTACAATATGTCTGTAGTTTAACAACAACAACAAAAAATTACAAGGCATATCAAAGGCAAGCAGAAACACAGTCTGAAGGGACAAAGAAAGTATTAGAAGAAGACTCAGATATGACACACGTATCAGTCATGGTTCTTCGGAAAACAGAACCAACAGGACAAGAAACTGTCACTACGCACATATTAGGATGGCTAAAATCCAAAATGGGAAACTCCAGTTGCTGCTGATGATGCAGTGCAATAGGAACTCTTGTTCATTGCTGTTGGGAATGGGAAATGGCACAGCCACTTTGGAAGGTAATTTGAAAGTTTCTTACGTAGCCTAACTTTATCTTACCATACAATCCTGTAATTTAACTTCTAGGTATTTACCCAACTGATATGAAAAACTACATTTTTAATGTTCATAACAGCTTTATTCATCTCAAACTAGAAGCAACTAAGATGCTTGCTATGGTTTGAAAATGTCTCCTCCAACATTCAAGTGTTGCAATGTGATAGTGTATTAGTCTGTTCTCACATTGCTATAAAGAACTACCTGAGACTGGGTAATTTATGAAGAAAAGAGGTTTAATTCACTCACAGTTCTGCAGGCTGTACAGGGAGCATGGCTGGGAGGCCTCAGGAAACTTACAATTATGGCAGAATGCAAAGGGGAAGAAAGCGCATCTTCACATGTAGGAACAGGAGGAAGAGAGAGTGAAGGGGAAAGTGCTACACACTTTTAAACAACTAGCTCTCATGAGAACTCACTCACTATCACAAGAATTGCAAGGGGGAAATATGCCTCATATTTCCTCCTACCAGGTCCCTCCCCCAACATTGGGGATTACAATTCAACATGAGATTTGAGTGGGGACACAGAGCCAAACCATATCAAGTAGTATTAAGTATTAACTATATCAAATAGTATTAAGAGGTGGATCTAAGAGGGCTCCTCCCTCGTGAATGAGGTGAAGGCACTTACAAAAGAGGCTCCAGGTAGCATTTGGCTGTCTTGCCCGCCTACCTTCTGCATTGTGAAGATGCAGTCTTCCCTTCCTCCAGAGGACACATGTTGGGAGAAGAGAGCAGTCCTCACCACACATCGGAACCTGCTGGTGCTTTGATCTTGGACTTCCCAGCCTCTAGAACTGTGAGAAATTTCTTTTCTTTATAAATTACCCATTCTTAGGTGTTTTGTCCTAGCAGCACAGACAGACTAAGACAGACTCTTTCAATAGGTGAATGAGCAAAAATCCTATAGTATATCTGCACATTGGAATACTATCCAGCAATTTAAAGGAGTTACCTGTCAGGCTTGTAAAGATGTGGATGAGTCACAAATGAATTTTGCAAAATGAAAGGCTGTATCTTGAAAAGTTTACGTAGTGTATGATTCTCTTTATGTAACTTTTTTTTTTAAAGGCAGGACGGTAAAGTTGGAGAAGAGAGACGTGGTTACCAGGGGTTTGAGGAGGTGGGGAGGTTGAATAGATGAACTACAGAGGATATTTTTAGGGCAGAGAAACTATTCTGTATGACACTGAAGTGGTGGATACACAACACTATGCATTTGTCAAAATTCATAGAACTTTGCAGCAAAAAGAGTAAACCTTAATGCATGCAAAAGGTTTTAAAATTCCAGACTAGAATGCAGACTGTGATAAAAGAATCTAATTGTATTATATATGTATGTTATATTCTCACTGAAAAAGATAGAGTAAAAGGGGCTGCCCTACATAATTTTGGAATTGAATGGAGACAGTAAGACTAACAATTAAAGGACTTGTACATGACTGCTGCACTCTAGGTGATAAAGTTGTTTTCCATGGAGGTATAGGCTCGCAATTCTGAAACCACTACTCAAGTATGCTGAAATTGAGTAAGTAAGTAAATGGAGGAAAGAAAGTGAAAGCCAGATTTCTCACCATTGAAGAAGGAAGTTACAGATAAACAGAAAGTAGGGCCAGAATGAACCATATGCTGCTGAACTATATAGTTGGAGGCATTAATATGAATTCATGTTTACCTTAACATACATATAAATAAAAACATATTGCAATAATTATAGACATATATATATATATATACACACATGATTTAGTATATCCACATGTATTTTCATGTACTAAGAAGGTTTGGAAGCAATGCCACTGCTGTAGCAACAAGTGCACCTAGCATCCAGATCTTGGTTTTGATAATCATTCTCTGATGAAAGGAATTGGAACTCTTTGGAAAAATGGCTGATTCTAACACTTAGCTGGAATATGCAAGATGAACCTGAAGCCTTTTGCAGTGCCAGAAAATAAAGAAGTGCACACACACACACAGGCACACACGTGCACAAACACAATGTCAGAAATATTTCAAAGGGACACTGATGCCAATTGAAGGGATTCTCAATGGCCAAACCTGGAACAACTTGAGCAACAAAATAAACAAAGCAGTATTGCAATATAACCAATGTATAAAATAAATATTCATAAATCTGTATTGTTATTAATAAATGATTAAATAAATAAATGGGGGAAAATATACAAATCTCCCATACAGAATTTCAAATAATGTAATAATGATTTTCTTTAAAGGGTACAGTAATCGAGGTAACAGAGAAGTAACTTTACAGTGGACAAACGTGAAAAACTCTGCCTTTTGATCAAGCTTTGCATCCTTAGTGGTAAGTCACATTGACATGATGTGACAAAGATGGAAATTTACCTCTGTGATCTTCCTCTCAAAGACACATACCTCCAGTCTGGTGATGAGAAAAATATTATATGCTTCCAGATTGAAAGACAGTCTACAAAACACCTGACCACTCTTCCTAAAAACTGTCAAGGTCATCAGAAACAAGGAATGTCTGAGAAACTGTCACAGCCAAGGTTAGCTAAGGAGACATGATGACTAAATGTAATGTGATGTGGGATCCTGGATGAGATCCTGGGATGGAAAAAGGAATTGGAGAAAACTAGGAAAATCTTAATGTTAGTTAATAATATTGTTTCAATATTGGTTCATTATCTGTGACAAATGCACCATAGTAATGTAAAATGTTAGCTAGTGAGGACACTAGGTGTGGGGTTTATAGAAACTCTCTGTATTAGCCTTGCAATTTTTCTGTAAATCTGAAACTATTCTAAGTCTAAAAGTTTATTTAAAAAGTAAATAATCAACTCATGGGGTTGTCAAAAATTTTATATATATATATATATATATATACACACACACACACACACATACATGAAATCGTACATATTTGTAAATAACAAATATTAGTTACAATTGAGATTTTGAAGCAAGGTCAATACAGACACCCCTTTGTTAATTTCTTGAGTTCAGAATTAATTGAAAAAATTGACATAGATATCAGACAAACTGAAAATCAAGATATCAGCTTTGTTGTTAATAGAGCCTAGACTGGAATACATGGCTTTGTGTGTAATCATGATAGTCTTTCTAATATTTTACACCAGAGCTAAATTAAGTCACCCAGTGAGAGGAATAAGTTACAACTCCTTGTGGCCTGGGAGAAAACAGCCCCAGATTGAAATTTATCTGCAGGCAGGTGCTAAGAAAACAAAGCTCACAAAAGGCCCAGCCACACGCGTACCCTACTCCTTTTTCCAAAATCACTAATGAAAATACGTCACACTCCTTCTGATGGAGAGGAGTGAATGAGGAATGCAGAAAGACCAAGAAAGCTAACCTGGCTAATGTCCTTCCAAGTGGACACACGGAGCCAGGGAAAAGGGCAATTCTCTCTCTAGAGTTACAACAAACACTCGAGAAGAAGCTGGGTGACACAAGGCAGATCTACACCGGCATCTCCTGGTTCCTCACTGATGGTCGTTCCTACAGATAACAAGGCTTGTGAGCCAAAAAACTGAATCTGAAGGCACAGGCTCTTTGCTCTGAATCACATGGATCAGTTGCCAAATCATTTTGAGTCCATGTGATGATTATAATTCTTTCACACTGCCTTTGTAAAGAGATCTAATCAAACCCTTGGGAAGTCATTGAAAACATACTATGCTCTAGTTCCTCTAGCTGGCCATATGAAGAGGTTGTTTATTGTTCATCATGCCTAGCTAAGGGAGTAATGAGCTGGGAAATAGAAAGGAAAAAGCTATAGGAAGGAAAATAAGAAGATGTGATTCTGCATACTATTATTAAAAAGTTAAGAATTATCTACTTGAAATTTTCTTTAGAGGCAAATTTATGGAGATTCACATCCTACTCTGAAAACCTAGAGATCATTCCATGAATTAAATTTAAATTGTTTTCCATCTAAATATATTAGGAAAATGATAAATGTATTTTAATTGTCTTTACAGAGACACTCCTTGAGCTTTGTATTTAGTTCTGCTTATGGATTGTTACAATTTTAAATATCTGTAACTTGGATAGAGACAAAATAGTTCAAATGATAGTTCTATAGAACAAAAGTTCAAAGAAAAAAACCTTGGAAAATTCTACTTCAGTAAATAACAGGTATATGTATTATTCTGCTACATGAAAATGTATATTTATAATGATTTAGAGGAACACAAATAGAACCCAAAATACTATGTACACAGTGATTTTTTTCTTCCATATCTTGTTATTAATTTTTTTTTTACAGATGAGTTGTGAAGGTAGTAAGAGAGTTCCAATATATTATTCACTTAGCTTCTGTTAATGTTACCATCTTACATAATTATGGCACATTCAGCAAAGCTAGCCAATTAGCACCAGTACAATACTATTAACCAAAATGCAGACCTTATTTGGATACTCTGGCTTCTTCATGAATGTCCTTAGCACAGCACTTTTAACATGTGCTATGAGGGGGTCCTCTTCCTCTCTCCTCCACTGTTTCCCTTACTGTTGCCCACGGACCTGTGCTTCCTCTCCTGCTTCCCATCCATCCTCTGTCACACCCTCTCCAGGACAGTCTTGCTATTGCCAGTGTTGCTCCTGGAGATTTTGCTGCAGAGCTAGAGAATGGCAGGACCAGAACAGATTGTCTGGAGGAAAGAGAGAAGGGAACACAGCCCTGAGACCAAGGCCATCTACACAGAAAGGAACTTGGAAATAGGAGAGGGAGGAGGAGCCAAAAAATGCATTTTGGGAGCTGTAATTTTGGCTAATAATATACTCTAGTCTAGATCCATACGAAATATAAGAGAGTTGGATGAAACGAGGCTATGGGAAGTACTAATGGAAGAGTAAAATAAATTAGACTCATTTAACAATTTTTTTTCAAGAGATGATAGTTAAAGATTTAAATTCTACTTCCTTTTTAAAATTTTAATGCTCAGACTGGGATTTTTTGGGAACCAATTTCTATTAAGACTGGACCATGTAGGCCTATCACTTATATAGATGACAAAATTGTTTATATATACATGCTAATACTATATAAATTTAGATTAGTATAGACTGCAATGTACAGTGGGTCTTTCTTTATTACCTTAAACATTTTCTTTAGTAAAGTCTCTTTGAACACTACAAAAATAGAAATGCTAAAGAAAAATTCAGAACCACTGGATTAGATAAATCAGCTTCTGTACTACAAAGGTAAGGCGAGGTGCTCATGTTTGGAAGGTACATGTTTACTTAATAATAAAAGTCTCCATGACCGACTACTTTAGAGAAATCATACTCTCATTTAGTGTTTTTTAGGGAACTACAGGTTAAATGCTAGTTTCTCAGTGTGGGCTGAATCTAATCTTTCATCCCTGTTTGCTAACTCCTCACTCCATCTTTCATTAGACACAACTTCTTACTGCTTGAGACAATGGTCCTTTTTGCCATTTTGCCATGTTTCAGAAGTTTTGCTTTAAGGGGGTCGCATCTTGACAACATTAGTTCTTTACCTCCTTATGTCCTATTAATCTATTTCTTACAGCCCCATTCAAAATTAAATCTTTCATCTTTGTTAAAACACTTTTGATTATCATGGCACCATTAGCAGCTGAAAACAGTTTTATAAATACACACTGTGAGTAATATTAAGATGTCTGAAAGTACAGAAGTTGGATTTACATTCTTTAAATTCTCGTACTGCCAAATGAAATCTGGGAGTCCAGGGAGCCTTCCCTATCAATGTAGGTGGCTGGTGATAATCAGCACAGCTCCTAAGAATCAGTGTGGTCATCTCTTCTTAGTAGTGACTGTCATTACCAATTTTAGATTTGATATTTGTGTGATGGTGTCCTGCTTCTAGTGAAACTACCAAGGGCAAAGTCTAACCCAAGTCACTTGACATGTCATCCAAGAAGGCTCAAGAGAACCTGAGAGATATCCTTTCTTTGTTTCCTTGCTGTACTCACTGTCTTCAACATAGTAATAGTCAATAATGCAGTGTAAATATCAGACATTCTCCTACAGAATTTCCCTAAGCTATGTGGGTCTCACTCTAATCTCACAGGTATTTGATTGTACTTCTCTGTGAAATTCAATAACATGTGAACTGGTGGACTGTTGGGTCAAGTTCTTGGTGGATGATATCTTCTTTTACAACATATATTGGCACTCTCAGTCAGATTTCATAATTACTCTGAGCATCTTTTTTATTGTTTGTGGAATGGAGGTAATTATTATCTCAAGGAGATATTGTGGGGATTAAATTAGAGTACGTGTAAAGCACCTAGCACAGTGCATGGGAAATGGCTGTATTTCCAGAAGATATGTCAGCTTTCATGTGCCATGGAGATCCACATCTGAGTGTGAGCTCCTTGACAAAAAGTTATGTTCCTTGAGCAGTATGTTCTTATCCTGATTATCTCTGTATCACTCACAATAGCTGCCATGGGACGGGTACATGCCCATAAAAGCTGCTCAATCAATGTTTTCTGTATCCTTGGTGTCTAGCCCAGTACCAGGCACAAAGTTGACCCTTAATACCCTTTCTACCAACCCCCATCCATGGGACTCATGCTTAATCTGGAGCTAAAATTTCCCTGGCTGCTGCAGAGATTGGATCTCCTGGTCTTCCCAGCCCGGTCCTGACCTGGGGAAGAAGTGCAAGGTGGAAGAAAGAGAGAGGGCAAACAGGGGCTCCAGTAGGCAGTCCAGACCACCACCTCTGGCATCCTAGCAGTGATGACTGAAGAGTCAACATATGTAAATCACTCTCAAGGGGTCAAGCTCACAGTAAATTCAAATTGCCTGAAAATTTATACAGTGACAGCAGCTGCTATTTGACTTCAAAGTGACTCAAGGTGCAGGTAAGTGTCCCAAAGCTACTTTACCATTCTATTAATCAAATTATCCAAACCTACTTTGCCACTTCACACTCTCTTGATAATTGTGGCATTCAGAATTTACTAGATTACATTTTTAACCTTTTAAAGTTGAGGATCCTTTTAATAACCACATAAAAGCTATACATCTCTAACCAGAAATTTGCATGCACACATACACACAAAATTGACATGTAATTTCTATTAATTAACAGTCCCTCCAAAGCCAACTTTTAGATTCCCATTTCTATGAACCTTGAGTTAAGAAACCTAGTGTAGAATACCTCATACATTCAACCAGCAATACAAATAGGCTGATACAATACAAGATGCTGGAGATGTAGACTCACATGGATCTTTCAATCTACCTATCCTTGTAATGTGTAACATTACTACCTGTACAAATGATGTTATGGGAATGTGTGAATAGAGGCATTTCTGTAAAAATTTCCATTTAAATTAAATTCCTGTAAGAGAAAGGATCTTTTGGAGAATGGATCATCAGATTCCCACATGAACTGCAAGATATATCTCCCCAGCAAAATGCCAAAGAATTCACAGTAGGAGAAGTGTCCCTCTACCTCATGGAGAGATTGGTGGGTACTGATGGCCTTAAGAAGTAGACCAAGACAATGAAGGAAGACTTGACCTTCTCAAAAGGAAAAATGTCTTTTTAGAATGCGCTTAGTTAGCTATTCCCAGTAGTAGTATGTCAGTGACCAAAGTGAGCCAAATGCCCATTTTCTTAAAGCATTAAAGATTCTGTAATAAGATACTGCCCTTATCAATCCATTAATCAATTATATTTCACAGTAGCTTAAACTAAAGCTGTCTAATGTTTAGTCTCAATCCAGCCTGCAGGTCTCTACTCTTTCTCTCTCTGTCTATCAGTATATATATATATATGTCTATTTATGTATATACAAGTATACATATACACAGATATGTGTATGTATACATATATATACGTACATACATATACACATATGTATACATACATATACGTATATGTATACGTACATACACATGTGTATATGTATACGTACATACATATACACATATGTATACATACATACATATACACATGTGTATACATATATATGTATTTATGTGTGTGTATGTATGTGGGTGCATGTATATATTTGTATGTGTCTATACACAAAAACATACACATACACACCATATACATATATGCATATATGTATATAGATTTTAAGTAAACTGTATTGAAGTGTAATATATATATAAATCACAAAGATACTTATTTTTAAAAATGTAAACACCAATTTAAACCCACTCAAATAAAAAAATAGACTATTGTAAGTACCCCAGAAGTCACTATTATTCCTACCTATTTACTACCTAGCCACCTTCTTTCAGGCAAAGGTCAGATTGGTTTGTTTTTATAAATGGAAAAGTACATCGTGCAGTCTTTTCCATTAGGCTTCTTTTGTCTGACATTATATTTATATAATTTATTTGTGTTTAGTGTAGTGGTAGTTCTTTTTCACTTCGATATAGTAATTCATTATATAAATGTGTCACTATATTTTTATTCTACTATTGGTGGACATTTGTATCATTTCCTATTTATCACTTTATGAGTGACTCAGCCGTGAATTTTTTTGTATATGTCTTTTGGTGAACATAGATATGCAATATTTTTGAATATATTGCCAGGGTTGGACTTGCTGGTTCATAAAGTACATATATTTTTATTCTTATCTCTTATTTATAAATGTTTTTGAGACAGAGTCTTGCTCTGTCGCCTAGGCTGGAGTAGTGTGGCACAATCATGGGTCACAGCAGCCTCTATCTCCCTGGCACAAACAATCCTCCTACCTCAGTCTCCCGAGTAGCTGAGATCATAGGTGTCTACTACAGTGCCTGGCTAATTTTTTTTTTTTTTTTTTTTTTTGTAGAGACAGCACCTACCTTGTTGCTCACACTGGTCTGAAACTTAAGGGCTCAAGCAATCTTCTGTCCTCAGTTTCACAAAGTGTTCGATTACAGGCATGAGTCGCTGGACCCAGCCACATATATATTTTAATAGGTATTGCCAAAAAACATCCAAAGCAGTTTTACCAATTTTTTCTTCTACCAATAATGGCTAAGTATTCTAGCCATCACTGTTTGATATCATCGGTGTTTTTATTTTGTTGTTGCTTTTATCTTTTTCAGTATTAGTTAATTGCATGGGTGTGAAGTGGTATCTCATTGTGGTTTTTATTAACATTTCAATGATTACTCATGAGGTTAAGCACATTTTAATTTTTATTGGCACTTTGATATCTCCCTTAAAGAAGTGTCTAAGTACTTCACCCACTTAAAAATTAAATTGATTATCTTTTAATTACTGATTTTGAGAATTTCTTTTTTTTTATTATACTTTAAGTTCTGGGATACATGCACAGAAAGTGCAGGTTTGTTACATAGGCATACACATGCCATGGTGGATTGATGCCCCCATCAACCCATCATCTACATTAGGTATTTCTCCTAATACTATTCCTCCCCTAGCCCCCCACCCACTGACAGGCCCCTGGTGTGTGATGTTCCCCTCCTTGTGTCCATGTGTTCTCATTGTTCAACTCCCACTTATGAGTGACAATATGTGCTGTTTGGTTTTCTGTTCTTGTGTTAGTTTGCTGAGAATGATGGTTTCCAGCTTCATCCATGTCCCTGCAAAGGACATGGACTCATCCTTTTAATGGCTGCATAGTATTCCATGGTGTATATGTGCCACATTTTTTTTATCCAGTCTATCATTGATGGGCATTTGCATTGGTTCCAACTCTTTGCTATTGGGAACACTGCCGCAATAAGCATATGTGTGCATGTGTCTTTACAGTAGAATGAGTTATAATCCTTCAGGTATACACACAGTAATGGGATTGCTGGGTCAAATGGTATTTCTAGCTCTAGATCCTTGAGGAATCACCACACTGTCTTCCACAATGGTTGAATAATTTACACTCCCACCAACAGTGTAAAAGTGTTCCTATTTCTCCGCATCCTGTCCAGCATAGGTTGTTTCCTGAGTTTTTAATATTTCTTTATATATTACTGTATAAGCTTTTTATCTTGTATATGTGTAGCAAATACTGTCTCCCATTCTCTGAATTAATTTTTCATGTTCTTAATGGTATCTTTTGACAAAAAGGTCATAATTTTTATAAAAGTCCAATCTGTCTAAATTTTTTATGTGTTAATTCTTATTTTTAAATTTTATTTAAGACATATTTGACTACACTAAGGCCATGAAGATATCATACAGATGTCATTCTACATTACCTTCTGGAAATTTTATTGTTTTTACCTTTTATTAGGTATACAGTTCACCTAGTGTGAGGTAGAGGTAAAAATTTATTTTCTCCATATTCCTATCCAATTGATTCAGTATTATTTATTTAAAAGATCATCCTTTCCTCACTGTACTGCATTAGAACCTTTGTTATAAACCAAGTAACTACTTGTATGTTTGTCTTTTTCTGCATTTTTTATTTTGTTCAATCTGTCGATTTATCTGTCTTTGCACTAATTTCACACTTTCTTGATTGCTGTGGCTTTAATAAGTCTACCTGTTAATCTAAGTCCACCATATGAAATGTAGAATTAGCTTGTCAATTTTCTAACACAAATTCTTGATAAGGGAAATTGACATCACTTGAAGAAATAATGTATCTGGCACACTGGGTCTTCCATATTCATGAACATTGTATGTTTTTTGTTGATATAGGATCTTTAGATTATGCAAAATGTACTATTTAGTTTTCTGTAAAGTAGTATTTAGTTCCAGATATTTGATATTTCTTTATTGTATTGTAAGTGGTATTATTTTTAAATTGTATTTTTTAATTGCCTTTTGTTTGCATATAGAAATACATTAGATTTTTGATGGTTCACCTTAGGCATAGGGAATTTGCTATATTTACTTATTGATGCTATAAGTTTATCTATAGAATCTTATTTATTATTAATTTTGTGTTATTGCATGAGATGGAACTACTAATACAATGTTGATTCTGTTACTATGCTTGACATTGCCTTTTCACTACCCAGCTTTTCTATTCTATTACCTTTTTTTACCAGTGAAAAAATGATTGCTTCAATTCTCAGCTTTCTTCATATTTCAAGCTTCCACTTTATTTATTTAAGAGTATTCATAGTTTGTTACATAACATCAATTTTTTGGAGGCTTTGTTTGGATTTTTCTAATTCATTTATTGTCTATTATTTGCCTTGCTGTAACATAGTATTTACAGTTCAGCATGCAACCTGTATATGTAACTGTACAAAGAGCAACAATATGTATATATTTAAAAATACTAGTTGTTTTGTGATCAAAAAGTAATTTTGTGAGAAGAAGTTTTATCCTAACATTATAGTTTGTTATTTCTGTAAAATATTTTACTGTGTTTTCATTGTGCTAAGAAATTGGTTAGGCATTTTGACTTAATATACAACACATTGCATTTTTTTACATTCAAGATAAGGACGAAATATTTCTAGTTTGCATTTTTGTAAAGAATGTCTGATTTTAAGAAACGAATTAATGACAAAATGGGAGATGCCTGTATTTTTAAATGGTCCCATTACTGTGCCGAAATGAAAATCATAGATAACATAATGAATCTATACCCTTGATTTCAAAATCAATAAAATCCCCTCATTGTATTTTATTGGAGAAATAGAATGACAATAACTTATGGCATGATATATATTTCAATAAGTAAGTGCTTAGACACAATTATGGTAGAAGACATAGGTAGTGAGTCTTACATATATGTAATGAAGTGACTGAGAAAGTAGCAAATACAGACTACCCAAATACCACAAGTGATCCTGTCCAGGAGATATGATTTTCCAAAATACTGAACAGAACTTTGGAAAGTTCTGAATAAAGCAAAATACAAATTTTCTTTAACTTATACAGCATTGCATTCCTGGAAAATTCAGTGTATAATAAAAACATGCAACATTTTTATGATTTTTATATAAAAACAGAATTAGGTCCTGGCTAACATGGTGAAACCCTGTCTCTAATGAAAATACAAAAAATTAGATGGGCGTGGTGGCGGGCACCTGTAGTCCCAGCTACTTGGGAGGCTGAGGCAGGAGAATGGCCTGAACCTGGGAGGCGGAGCTTGCGGTGAGCCGAGATCGTGCCACTGCACTCCAGCCTGGGTGAGAGAGCGAGACTCCGTTTCAAAAACAAACCAAACAAACAAACAAACAGAGTTAGGTTCTAGCTCATATAATTTTAAATAGATTTTCTTTCACTCGTATCAATTTTCCTTGGGTTGTTTGAAAGTTGAGCAGAATGCAAAATAATGCTTCGCTCGCTGTATGAGACTATTCTGTATTTTGCATGAAGTGTAGCCACCTCAATCGCAATCACTGCATTCTCGTAGGGTCTCTCAATTGTTCCAACTGCCAAAAATCACTCTCATAAATTTTAAAAACACCTCATGAAGAATCACAGGTGGAATAGATTGTTAAATAAATATTTGTTGATTGTGTATAGTATTAGCGCTTAGCCTAAGGTGTAAACATCAAATGGGTGAGTGTTAGCAGGCATAAATAATAAAAAGCTAGATGTGGTCATACTTTTTAGGAGTTTGAAGATGCAAGAGAGTCCCACCTTTAATTTCCAGGGTTTTTAGGACCAAGGATGCTGAAGAAGGCATTGAAATTCACAGTCCAGTTTAGAGCTCTATTGGCAGTTGTCCCTTCAGAAGCTGGATAACTACGGAACAAAAAGTGAGTCATTTCACTAGTTTCAAATGAATTTTCCAAGTGGTCAACATAGAATTTGTGAGTGTTATAGATTGAATTGTGTCTATCTCCAAATTTTTATGTTGAAGATCAAACCTCCAACATGACTATATTTGGAGATAGGGTCTTTAGGGAGTTAAGTAAAGTTTAATGAGGTCATCAGGGTAAGGTTTCAATAGACTAGTGTCCTTCTAAGAAGAGAAAGAGAGACAAGAGGGCTCTCTCGCTCTCTCTCTCTCTCTTTCCCTGCAGAGCAAAGGGCAGTTGAGAAAACAGCAAGAAGGTGGTGTTCTATAAACTAGAGAGAAAGCCTTCACCAGAAACCAACCTTTACCCTCATCTTGGACTTTCAGCCTCCAGACCCATAAGAAGATACATTTCTCTTGTTTAAGGCACCTGGGCTGTGATATTTTGCTATGGCAGCTTTAGTAGACTAATACGGTGAGATTTCTTTATTGCTTTTCCTATTAGAATAAGATTGCACAGACGGAAGTTTATGTCTTAGAATAGTTTTTATATCAGCCTTTATCTGCAATCAACATTCTACCTGTGTTACCCAGGAGAGGAGTAGACCTGGGATCTCTCTGGCCACCAAGAATAATCATAACTATCCCTCTAGCTCTCTAGCTCGCCCCCTTCTGTGGGACCTGCCTTGCTGATCAGGTATTCGCCGGGAGGAGAGGGTTGTCTGCCTGGAGTGTATTTGCATTTGGTGTTCTGTACAGTTTTCACATCTCCTCTTGCAAGCATTAGCCATCATTTGATTTTTAATGATGAATTATCTAAATATGATTTCTGTCCTGTGTTTTAGCAGCTCCTTGAATTTTAATCTGCTGCTACTGTCAATTCCAGTCACTCCATTTTAAATAGACTGCTCCATCTGTGGCTCCACGTTTTTGGCATCACCAGTGGGAAGTTCTTGGTGGCACGTAGTAGTCACAGACAGTAAGAATCTACCTGTCCCACATATCAGAATTCGAAAGGATGCTACCTCTCTGAAGCCTCACTCACCCGCTGTTGGGTAGCAATGGTACAGTGGTTCCTGAGCTCACAAGGGGAATGAGCAGAAAAATTGGGTTTGCAGATTGCCAGGTCATCAGGAAAAAACAGACATATAAGTGGGGAGCTTACTACAAAGGGAAGGTAACAGGCACAGTCATCTTAAGGACGTGTTAGAAAAGCCCCAGATTTCATTTAAACCTTCTAAAAATTTGAAGACTGAATGGCAGAGACTCAGGAGCGTCACCACAGTGTTTTTTTCAATAGAAGAACATGTAATAGAAAAATGCTATTCAAATACTATCATTATCAAGAACTTGTGAGTTGGGATCAGTTTGGAAGTATTAATTTTCCATATTAAGCCACAATGCAGAGGCAACTAAAGGAGGTGCTGAATTGTAGCCAGGTGGGCAACAATTACTCTTCTTTTGCATAGCACAGATTACGGCGTATACTAGTCACTCCATAAATGTTTGTTTTTACTTGCAGCTTACTATTTCTGTTGGTTCTATGTTATTTAGCAAACGATTTACTCTCTTAATTTATTCAATTACTATTTACCGAATCCTCCACCCTCCAAGTTAGAGAAAAAATGAAAACAGATACAGGGATCTAGGGATGCTAACCTGTAAGGGAATATAAACCATAAACATAAGTAATGTTTTGCTTTGATAATATGCAGCACCACACCATTTTTTCTTACCCTGCTTAGATTGGGCAGGCACAATCGTAGCTACTCAATGGTTATGTGTTGGCTATCAAATAGGTCTCTGCTGTAAGAGTATGATTAGGAAGCTGGGGCTCACAGATACGATCAAATGCATCTAGTGAAACTATTAATCACAATTTTCATTTTAAGATAAAAAAGAACACTGGCTGAGAGAGGTAAGTGGTTTGTCAAAAGTCATGTAACCACTCTGTGGCAGATCCACCAACTGAACTCAGATCAAATTCCAAATGCCAAGCTCTTTACCTTATTTCATATTGCATAAGAGAACTTCAGACAAAGTAATTTGCAAAAAAAAAAAAGAAATTGAAAATTATCTGTGCACACCACAGAAGAGGAAATGAGTATGTGAATCATGACATTGCTCAGTGGTAGAAAATTACGTAGCCATAAAATATTATATTACTAAAAGTGATCTTTTGAGACAGTTTTATGTGTCCGTGTTATGTTTGTGTGGGGGTTAGGGCTTGAGTAGGGGTTGACAGCATAGAAAAGTGTATACTTAGCACAAATTACAACTACACTCAAATATAAATCAAATGAATATAAAAGAGAAAATCTAACATAATATATTTTTATAGAGGAGTTTTTCTTTTTTGTCACCTTTTCTATTTATTTCCTTCTGCTTATGTTCTCTTTCTACTCCTCTTGCTCTCCATCTTTTTTTGCTTTTCTTTCCAACTCTCTCCTTTGTTTTTCTTTATTGTTTCCAAATTTTGGATAATAAGCAAGTATTATTGATGAGAGGAAAATGGAAATTCTGAGGAGAGAAATTACTTCCACCTGAAATGCTCAGACAGAGGAAACGCTCCACGTGAGGAGTGGCATCCACGAGGCAGGGTGAAGAGATGGTGCACCGCAGGAGGTGTGCAGGGACAGCGTTCCAGGAGCAGGACAGTGAGTGCAGAGCCCTCAGAGCAGTTCAGCCCCTGGAAGCAGAAGATGCCAAGAGTGGAATGATGGAAACTAAGGTTGGTGAGGTAGGCTGTAGCCACTCTAGGCATTTGTGGGGTGGGAGGGAGTTGTCTTCATTTCTCTGTGTGTGATTTGGTTTTATGTAATTGGAAAGCAGCCTTGTATTTTTAGCACAGCCCTCAGGAACAAACTTGCAAAGTCTGTTCTGTCTGAAGGCGCAGAAGGCAGAAAACTCTTAGTTTTCTCGAAACAAATAAAATAGAAATAGTCATGCTCATAAGTAGATGTTAAATCTAGGGCAGGTACTTGCCAAAAACATAGGGCACTTGGCAAGATCTCCCAGAGCCATTAAACATGAACACTTATTACTGAATATTTATGGTCTGCACGAATCTTGAAATGGCCTAATTTGAGTGTCCCCCAACAGTTTACGGCAGGTATTTCTATAGCAATCATGAACACACTAGCGAGTTTCAGCAGCAAGGAAGTCAGCACTATTTTTGCCTTGCATTTTCATGCTCCCCAAGTAGCATAGGTGTACATTTCAGATAGACATAGTTTAGCACAGATAGTATAAAAACATTATTTTTCAACTTCAAATAGTTTCACTTGGAAATAGCTTTCTCTTTTAAAGAATATCCTACTTCTATTTTTATTAGGTAAGAAGAGAAAACAATTAATTCTAAATATTGCTGGGGTGGATTTCCATCACTGATTCTACCTAAGCCTTCTTTTGCCCCTGATGAGTCCCATGATTTAGTTTCTCTTCACTGGTACCTTAACCCAGGGCCAATAACATCAGGATGCATTTTGGACTTATTTTAACCTCTTCCTTTATTTCCTTTTTAAATTTTATTTAAATAGTTATTTATTTATTTATTTTTGAGACAGAGTCTCGCTCTGTCTCCCAGGCTGGAGTGCATTGGCAGGATCTCGGCTGACTGCAACCTCCGCCTCCCAGGTTCAAGTGATTCTCCTGCCTTAGCTTCCCAAGTAGCTGGGATTACAGGCGTGTGCCCCCATACCCAGCTAATTTTTTAAAAAATATATTTTTGGTAGAGACGGGTTTCACCATGTTGGCTAGGCTGGTCTCAAACTCCTGACCTCAAGTGATTCACTTTCCTTGGCCTCCCAAAGTGTTGAGATTACAGGCATGAGCCACCACGCCCGGCCTCTTCCTTTACTTCTTGCTACAAAAGGAGATCAACTCTCCCCCCATATTCTGTGGCTCAGGGAAGCCCTTTGCTGTCTCAGTGTGCCAACCTCTGATTTTCTGTGGGTTCTTCCCAGCTTTAGTTTTGCCCTACAACTGGAGTCCACCCAGTAGGAAAGTGTTTGGGTTTTGAGGTGATCGACTTAAATTGTCACACTTCACTAACACGATGGGAAGTTACTTCCATGTTTGTGCCTTAGCCTCTCATGTAAGAACAGGACTAATAATACCTTACTCTTAAGAATGGCAGAGCTGTTGTTTGGGGTAACAGCTATAACCTTGCTGAGCATAATGCCGGGCCCCAGGCAGACGGTGCAGTCTGACTCAACTTCTTAGTGTCCATAGCAGTTACGTTCTGTCTGGCTCTGAATTAGCCTTTCAAGTCCTGTCATGGAAGGTGAGGTGAAATTTCATGATTTTTCAACTTTCCCTCCTGCTAACATGGTTTAAATACTAGTCTAAAAATGGTTCTTTCAAATGATTTATCATTTTTTATTTATCACAGTCATTTTTCTAAGAGTAGTCAACAACTGATGTCATGTTGAAAAGGATCCCCTAAGGTGTAGAGTGGATAAAACTGGGACTGACAGGAAATCCATGACATAGAGAGGTATCTGCTCTACTCCCTAAGGCCAGGTCCCTTGGGGAGATTAAAACTTTGAGGTGCCAGGACTGCATATTCAGGCCAAGGACACCACCACGCCATTTCCCTTTCAGTCTATTCTTCAGAATTAACTATCTTTGATGCTAGGAAAGTCTTCCATTTACTTGAGTCTAGCTCCAACACTAATTAAACCTGAAAATTAGATATGAAGGAAAAATATTTCAAAGACTTTGCCAAAATTTAAGTAAAAATTGCTCACATCTTGGTGCAGATTCAGGAGTGATTAACTTGTTACCACTTATAGCTCTTATATCTTCTTATCATCTTATTATCTTGAAAATGAACAGCAGGGTATTATATAATCTGGCAGGATTTATTGCATCAGATAATAGAAATATGATATTTGTTGGCAATACCATTTAATATTCATTTCTAGAACATTCCTCATATAGACATAGAAGTGAGTAAAATGTACTTCTGAACCAGTTTCAAGATTTGGGGTTAATATGAAATGGGAGATGATGGGATGAATTTTCTTTTATTTTTCAGAGACTGAAATGAGACCACGGCTACTGTCATATAAGTTCAGTGGTGTAACTTCTGGCACCTCATTCCTTCCATAGCCCCATCATGGTTGGTCAGGTGTGGCGCCAAAGTGGAAGGGAGGATACGAGATGTGTTTTAGAAGCATAAATACAGGGTGCTAACGGGGAGGTATAAGGGGGCCTTTCAGCAAATTGTAAAGCAGCAAAATGTAGGTAAAGTGTGGCTACACCTAACCTCCACCCCAAGTCCATTTTCTTACTTTTTGCTGTATTTCACAGTCTTCCCTTTCCCTTTATACACACACACACACACACACACACACACACACACACACACACATCCAGCAGCCTGTAAGGCATAAAACCGTCACGATTGATAAGGGTTTTTCAGATAATGTGGGGGTTCTGCAGTCTGGATTAGCAGAGAAGGGCTAACTAAGAGATTTAACCTCCATCAAACTGCTTTTCTACTGGAGGCTGAGAGTGAGGAATGGGATGTAGGGATGCAAAGGGATGTAGAAGTCTTGGATCCCACTGGATTGATTTTAACACCAAATCAAGTCTTAGCTGAGGATTGGAGCAGAGTAGCAGAACCTCTTGACATTTAATAGTCACGCTTCTCAGTGGGCCATTCAGTTTAAAGCAGGACTTCAGCCAACCCTTGGATCATCAGAGAACAAGGCTGAGTGCCAAAGACTTGTCAAGGAGACTGTGCCTTCATTGTTCCAATATATTTTACCTGCACCCCTATTTTTTAAAAAGCACCTTCTTCCTCAATATACACACATTTATTTTATATAAATTATATAAATGTTCTATTGTACTTCTTAAAACAAAACATCATACACGTACCTCATAAAACAAGCACAAAAACTGAACAATTACTTTAAAAGGATAAAATTTTAAATATAACTGCAAATAGAGGTTATACTTGCTTGCTATGCTTCAATGGATCCCTTTGCACAATCTCTCTCAGACAAATGGGCCAGGGATCATGGGAAGGCTTGGATGCTCTGGGAGCATTTCTTGGAAACTAAAGGCTAAACTGAGTATGAAAACTGGAATAAGGCCAGGTGTGGTGGCTCATGCCTATAATCCCAGTACTTTGGGAGGCTGAGGCAGGTGGATCTTCTGAGGCCAGGAGTTTGAGACCAGCCTGGCCAACATGGTGAAACCCCATCTCTAGTAAAAATACAAAAATTTGCTGGGCGTGGTGGCACGTGCCTGTAATCCCAGCTACTCGGGAGGCTGAGGCAGGAAAATCACTTGAACCCAGGAGGCGGAGGTTGCAGTGAGCTGAGATCTTGCCATTGCACTCCAGCCTGGGCGACAAGAGCGAAACTCTGTCTCAAAAACAAACAAACAAACAAACAAAACCCAAACAAACTGGGATAGCACCATGGGCATGAGAGGACACCCCAGTTGTAGGGGAAGGGCAAGGGAGCCCTGGGATCAACCCCAGAAGAATGGATATTACATACATGACAGCAAAACTGATGCTATGCATTCTAAACTCCCAGAACTTGGAATTTGAATATATTCTTTCCCACTGCAAAGATTGCTCTGGAAGCTGCATAGAGCTAAATATGCAGACAGAAGACAACAGTGATGCAGGGTGAATAGTATGTATATTTATAATATAAACTGGTAGAATATACACACCTTTTCCTGGCAGATTCAGTGATTTCTTAGAGGTCTCTCAGGAGAATGAAGCATCTCTATCCCCGTTTTCCTACCACTTTAGGCTAAAAGAGGTGAATGCAAACTTGGAAAGTCATGAGAGAAAGGATCAACTTCTGAGTTTCGGAGTTCTCTGGGATTCCAGGAAATGAGGTACATATGAAGTGGACTGAAACCCAGCAGAAGCCTCGAACCAAAGGGGTACTGGGTATGTTTTTTTTCTCAGCAAGGGAAGCAACATGGATTTCTTAGAAAACATACGCTTTAGCCCATGAGCCAAAACACGGTAGGTCTGTTAAGGAGGTAAGTGGTGCAGTGCCAGTTTAAGAGGGGATGTAACCTTTGAGAACTAGTCTGCGGTGTCATTTATTGTTTTAAATATTTCTGTTATTTTTAAATTGTGGTTAAATTCACATAACAAAATTTATGATCTTAACCATTTTTGAGTGTACAGTTCTATGGTGTTAAGGGCATTCTCATTGTTTTGCAGTCTTTAGAACTATTTGTTTATAAAACTGAAACTCTACACCCATTAAGCCACAGCTTTTCATCTCTCTTCTCCCTCTTCCCTGCAGCCCCTGGCAACTACCATGCTACTTTCTGTCTCTGAATTCAACCACCCCAGGTACCTCATATAAGTGGGATCATACAGCAATTGTCTTTTTGTGACTGGCATAGCGTCCTCGAGTCTTATACGTGTTGTAGCATGTGTCAGACTTTCCTTTCTAAGACTGAATAATATTCCATTTTATATACACACACCACATTCTGTTTATCCTTTCATCTGCTGATGGACATTTGCTTTGCTTCTACCTCTTGGTTATTATTAATAATGCTGCTATCAACAAGGGCATGCAAACATCTCTTCGAGATCCTGTTTTCAATTCCCATGTGTACACACACACACACACACACACACACACACACACACACGTGGGATTGCTGGATCATATGGTAATTCTGTCTCTAATTTTTTGAGGAACCTCCATACTGTTTTCAATAGTGGCTGCACCATTTTACATTCCCACTAATAGTGCACAGGAGTTGCAGTTTCTCCACATTCCCACCAACACTTGCTATTTTCTGAATTCTCTGTTGATAGTGACCATCCTAACGGTGTGAGGTGATATCTCATTGTGGCTTTGATTTACATTTGTCTAATGATTATTGTTGCTGAGAATCTTCTCATAGCCTTTGCTCACTTTTTAGTTGTTATATGTATCTTTTATTGTTGAGTTGTAGGAATTCTTTATATATTTTTGACACCAACATCTTTTCAGATATATGATTTGCCAACATTTCCTCCTGTTCTGTAGGTTGCCTTTTACTCTGCTGATAGTGTCCTTTGACACACAGACCTTTCTGGGTACAAGGTGATATGTGCTCTCCTTTCTCATCCCTTCCCTACAGAGCTGCTTCCTAAGCATACTGCCTCTGCAGTTTTTTTGTTTTGTTTTGATTTTATTCTTGTTTTTGAGATAGTGTCTCACTCTGTCACTCAGGCTGGAGTGCAGTGGTGTGATCTTGGCTCACTGCAGCCTCCACCTCCTGGGTTCCAGTGGTTCTCATGTCTCAGTCTCCCGAATAGCTGGGACTGCAGGCACACGCCACCACTCCCAGCTAATCCAGCTAATTTTATTTTGGTATTTTTAGTAGAGATGGGGTTTTGCCATGTTGGCCAGGCTGGTCTGAAACTCCTGGCCCCAAGTGAGTCACCTGCCTCGGCCTCCCAAAGTGCTAGGATTACGGGTGTGAGCCACTGCGCCTGGCCTACCTGTGCAGTTTTATGCAACTCTATTCTTGGCTTTACGCTCTACTGTGACCATCTTGAAATTCTTAATACGTTTTGAACAAGGGGCCTTGCGTATTTATTTTGTACTGGCCCCCACAGATGATGTCACCAGCACTGCTTCCCGTTGCACTGCCGCCTTGCTCTGCCCTCCCACTGTCCTTGGGCACTCTTTGCACTTTCTTTTTTGATCTTCACTCTCCCCTTTAACATCCACAAACCCTAGATTTTCTTTGCTTTACATTTTGACAAAGCTGTATTGTATGTGCAACTGATCAGCACAGAAATCACATCTGCTAAAGTGAATTAAATTGGTTTGACTTAATTTAGGATCCGTGTGGCAATCATAACATGCAAACATGCAAGAAATAACATGGAGAAAAAAATTTCAGCGTTTATCAAAAACGTCAGGAAAACTTTCTGATCTGAAAGGCTATGCCTAACATTTGGTTATATCTTGGTTGACTCATACCCATTTTTGAGAGCAGGTATTATTGGGAGTCTTTCAAACATAGTAAACACAGCAGTTTAACCACTATCACTCTGCTGAGGCTGCATCCGTAAAGCATTTGCCATTAAATGAACTGTCAGGGGAGTTTTGTTAGAAAATTAGCCCTTTTATTCACAGAATACAAGTAAAAATAAATGACGAGAAAGCAGAGAGTTGCCAACAGGACAAAGAAAACCGGATTTTTGTACTGCTTGGCTTTAACACAGTAATTTTCCCTAATTGTGGTGTTCGAGAGCCTCCGGGGGAAAAGAGAGACAGGAAATATGTCAAACTGTGTAACTTTTCTCAAAGAAATAGCTGGTGCTATCAATCTCTCCATTTGAGATGAACTGCCAGCGAATACTAATGGCTGGGAGATCTGCATCATTGATCTTCATCAGGCGAGTGTATTATCCTTAGTGAAGTGCTGCTGTACCGCCCGCGCTGCCCACCTCCCAGTGCAAACCGCCGCTTCCTCTTTCTCTTGCCTGTAACTTTCATTTTAACTTTTGAGTCATTAATCAAGGCAGTGACCTTGACTACGAAAGTCTAAATTTGGTGAATAAATGGAATGGAAATCTGAAGATGTACAGCTCCAGAAACAGGAGACCGTACACTGATTCTTGACTGTTGTAGTAGAAACGCTGAAGGAATGATACCATTTACTGCAAACTTCTGAACACCTGCTCTAGTGTCTCAGCTTCCCACTGTCCTCAAATGATGGAATTTAGAAAATTAATGTTACCCGTAAGTGCCTTTTATTGTTCTAATTTTCAGAAAGAGTGATTATAAAACTTGCAGATGAGCTTTGACACAAAAATGCAAAATGAGTCTTGTTTTTCTCAATTCTGATGGCAGATTTCTTCTCTACAAAATGTATTGACTTTGCATACAGGCAGATTTAGATTTTAATCCCAACGAAGCTGAGAAAATTTCAGGAAGTGTCAGGGTCAAGGGGTCCTTGGGAGGGACTTCACCTTTACCTTCACCTTTCTACTCAGCTCCAGTCCTCCCTCTAGCTGTCCCAAATGAACCCAGGATCTCCGGAACAGCCTGTTTTCTGTGTAAGCATGACTGTTTGCTGTGTACATCCTTAGCCTTGCCCTTGGCCAGAGCGCTGCCCTGAGGATATCTATAGGGGACTTCTGGAACCTTCAGCAAGGGAAGCTCAACTTTTCACTTATCTAAGTTTCGGTTTAACATCTGTAAATCTGGGATTCACAGTCCCTGTCTTATAATATTTCCTGTGAAGATTAAATAGGGAACATTTTTAAAAGTACCTAGTACAATGTCTAAGATGAATGGGATGCTATTTTTTATGCAATAAAGCTGGTAGTTATAAAACCGGGCACCCAGCATCTGTGAACCTGTGACAGGAAGACTGTAGAATGTGTCATTCTGGAGGGGGAATATTTTATATAATCTGCAATTATCTATTCATGATCCTGAAAGTGTTACCAAATTTTATAAAAATATTTCTTGTATCTAGTATACAATTTCTTCTCCCCGCAAAATACATTGAATATAATCGTGTGTGTTGTGTTTCAGTGTGTGTGTGTTTGATGTGTCTGATATGGAGTGTGTGCATGTGTGTATTGTCTGTTGGGGTGTGTATGTGATTTTCGTGTGCCTGATGTGGAGTGTATGCATGTGTGTGTGTTGGGGTGGGTGTGTGTGTTTGGTTTGTCTGGTGTGGGTGTGCATGTGTGTAGTGTGTTGGGGTGTGTGTGTTTTGTGTGCTTGATGTGGAGTGTGTACATGTGTGTGTTGGGGTGTGTGTGTGTGTGTTTGGTTTTTCTTGTGTGGGAGTATGTGTGCATCTGTGTGTTGTGTTTTGGGATGTGTGTGTGTGCTTGGTCTGTCTGGTGGGGGGGAGTGTGCATGTGTGTGTGCCTGTGTGTGTTGTGTGTTGTGTGTATATGTGTGTTTGGTCTGCCTGGTGTGGGGTGTGTGTGTATGTGTGTGTGCCTATGTGTGTTGTGTTTTGGGATATGTGTATGTGTGTGTTTGGTTTGTGTGGTGTGTGTGGGGGGGTGTGCATGTGTGAATGTGATATTCTGATATGCCTGTTGTCATTATGAACAGGAATCATGGAAAAACATTCCTTTTCCAACTACAAGTGTTATATCCCAAAATCCCACGGTAGAAAATTCGAGGTTGAGGACCTTATATATGTTATAGGGTAATAATATTTGGTGCTCCCTGCTTATGAGAAAAACTACAAAAACACTTTAAAATAGTTTGACATTTATTAAAATAATGGCACCATGTTAAATAAAAAGGCTATCACTAGTGTCAAAATGTCACTGTATCCCATAAATATTTACGATTATTTTACCTAATAATATAAGAGAAAAAAGAGGCTATCATTAGTATTTTGCATACCTGAAACTTATAATACTAGATATGTAAAATGAAATGTATCCTTATCATCTCTTATTTACTAATCTTCTACCTGAAAATTCCTCTGAAATGATGGAGTGGATTTATTTTATTTAATATGCCAAGGGGATCTTGCATTGTTTATCTCTCCTTTTCTGATTTTGTCTCCAGCCGCTGACCTTTCCTTTCTCATCTTCCCCATGCAGGTCTATGTCTGGAATCTGAAACATTGCACCCAAAGCGGCCCTGCAAAGTCCCTCCCCACCACTGGGCCCTCTCCCTCCCCAACGGCTACTTTCCTTTTTGTTACTATTTCCTAAAAGGAATGACTTTTATAAATTTAAATAAACACTCATTATTTTGGAAAGAGATGTGCAAAAGTAAATCTGTATTTAGGCAATTATATTGTAGGAACATGCAGTTGGAAGGATTACTGTGACCCTAAGTGAGGGATGGCTATCCTGTGCTAACTGGCCCTTCTGAACTGTACTCCTTTATGTTTTAGCATTCATGTTAAAGATCACTCAATGATATATGTAAGCTTCTCTTTCATATGTCTACGTGACTGTATGTTCCTACCATACTACTTGAATATTGTAACTTTGTAATATGTTTTGAAATCAGGAAGTGTGAGGCCTCCAGCTTTGTTTCTCTCTCTCAAGATTGTTTTGGTTATTTGGGGTTCTTTGAGGTAAATATAAATTTTAGCATTTTTTAAATAATTTTGAAAAATTTTTTCCAATTTTGAAAAAAATGCCATAGGGATTTTGTTAGGGATTCCATTGAATCTGTAGATCACTTTGAATAGTATGAACATTTTAACAATATAAAGTCTTCCAGTCAATAAAGATGGGATATCTTTCCACTTATTTGTGTCTTCTTTAATTTCTTTCAGCAGTCCTTTGTAGTTTTCAGTGCCTGTCTCATGCCTCTTTGGTTGAGTTTATTCCTAAACATTTTATTATATTTTTTGATGCTATTGTAAATGAGATTAGTTTCTTAGTTGTTTTTTCAGGATGTTCATTGGTAGTGTATTGAAATTCAACTGATTTGCTGCATTGTTGTTTTAGTTCTAATAGAGTTTTTTGTGTGAAATCTTTAGAGTATTCTACTCATAAGATTATGTCATTGTAAACAGAGTTAAATTTACTTTTCAGTCTCTGATTCCAATGTTTTTTTTTTTTTTCCTTGACTTATTGTTCTGGCTAGGATATCCAGTACTATGTTGAACAGAAGTGGCGAGACTGGGCATCTTTGTCTTGTTCCTGATCTGAAAGGAGAAGCTTTCAGTTTCTCAACATTAAGTGTTAGCTGTGGGCTTTTCATAAATGGTCTTTTTTTATATTGAGGTAATTTTCTTCTGTTCCTAATTCATTAAGAGTTGTTTAAAATCATGAAACTGTGTTAAATTTTGTCAAATAATTTTCTGCTTTAATTGAGGTGACAGAGGCATTATTGTCCTTCCTTCCATTAATGTAGTATGTTATATTTATCAGCTTTTATATATTAAACCATTCTTGCATTGCAGGATGGTCACATGTGTAATACTTCTAATGGTTGTTGAATTTGGTTTGCTAGTATTTGTTGAGAATTGTCACGTCAGTATTCATCAAGGTATTGATTTGTCATTTTCTTCTCTTACAGTGTCTTTTTCTGGCTTAGGTATCAGGGTAAATAAACACTGACCTCATAGAATAAGTTTGGGAGTGTTCCTCTTCTTCAATTTTTTTGAAAGAGTTTGAGAAGAATGGGTGTTTATTCTTCTTTAAATGGTGGGTAGAATTCTCCAGTGAAGCTATCTGGCCCTGGACTTTTCTTTGTTAGGAGATTGTTAGTTACTGATTCAATCTCCTTTCTAGTAACGGGTCTATTCAGAATTTTTATTTCTTCGTGATTCAATCTTGGTCTTTCTTTTTCTTTTAATAGCTGCAGATTAGTTTCTCCCAGTGTTTAATCTGAATCTTTTTTTTTCCAGTTCTGAATTTGAAGTTTGTAAAGTTCACCTAGGTAGGACAGAATATCATTGGAAATTGTACCAACAAATATTTCCTGATGTAATTTAATAGGCTGAGTTTCAAGCTCAATTTTGTTATAATGATTGAGCTGAAAAAACCTTGGAAAACAATGTTCCAAACTTTCTAGCTGTGTTCAATACTTACAATAGTAATTGTTCCCTTTCATCTGATTGAAGGGATACAGAGATAAAATAGCCATAAAATAATTTTGATTTAACATGACTTTTCTGCTCAAGATTGCAAAATTATTTAACAATGCATCGATTCCAATAAAATTGTGATCTCTTATTTTTTTTTATCACCCTGCCCATCAAATTTCAGGCTCATGTTTTACTCGTATATTTATTATCTGTATTTTCATAGCCCACTTCCTAACCACCCACCACAGCTCAATATTCTAAGGTGCTTAAGGCGATTCATATTGTTTTGCATCATTCTAGTCAGTTACGTAGAATTGTTCTGTGCATATAAATCTTAAATTTATTTGAATACCAAATTCATGTTGAATAGATTAATTAGATTCTCAATTTTTCCCTCAGCAGCCTGTTTTTAAGATCCAGTTATAACAAGAGGCACACAGCTAATCTGTCACTTCTAGGTGCTTCATAGAGTTCTAGGATGTGCAGTCATATTTCATCTGCCCACTCTCCCACACATGAGCAGATGGCAGCTGTCCCCACCCACCACATCTGCAATGAACATCTTTGTACATCTTAATTCTGGTTTTGTAACACCTTAGACTGACATGTCTCCCACCATCTGATGGACTTTTGTAAAATCTCAAAATATTCTCAAAGAACAGTTCATTTTAGTTCACTTAAGATTTTAGAGTTCCCCAGAACAAAATAGTAAGTAGAACATCAGAATTTTAAGGATTGGTGAAAACAGCCAAAGCGAGGTATACCGCAGAATACATCAACACAACTCTAAAGATTACTTAAGATAACTACTGGTTCTAACAAGGAATTTACCAGTCCTCAAATTTCTCTTGATCCCCATTCAGGCTCATCCAAAGAAAAACTGTAACACTTAAAATGGCTGGTTTTCAGCCTCTTTATTTTTTTCCCCCATATCATTTTGGTGGGGTCTCAGTCTTCTCAGGGAACCCCACTTTGGCCAGATGTCCAGCTTATCTTCCTCGCCATTGCCAACATGTTCTCATCTTACACCTGTATTATCCGTTCTATTCTAGATAATTAGACACTAGGTTGGCTATGCAAAGTATCTTCCAAATTGGGATCCTTTTAAGAGTGAGAGAGACCCTATCAATAAAGAAGCTGGGGCCATAGGCAAAATTCTGAGCTATGCTAAGCAAATGAGGATGCATGGCCATTCTATTAAAAGCTGAGAGGTTGAATTGAGTCTTTCAAAGGGTTTATATATCTAAGATTTAGCAGTTTGGCTTCCAATGCTTTTCCAACCAACATGCATACAGGGGAAAGTTCAGGTGCTATGACAAAGTTGCTTGGAAGGATATTTTTGGCAGACACAGGGTATCCTTCCAATCATACCACACAGGCAGCTGCCAAATCCCTTGTTTTAATCACATTTATTTCTGCCTTCTTCTTCCCTTTCTGTGTTCTCCAACCCCATGAGGCAGGGGCTCTGCTTACACTCCACACTCCCGAGGGAGAGCAAGAACAGGTGGTTCCCAGAGATGCACAGCTGCTGAGCCCTGGTAGTCTTGCATGCAATTTTTCTGGGTTCAAGCATGAGCGGAGTTGTGCTTGTTTGTATGTCTTCACATATACCTTCTTTTGTCTGGTCTCCTGATTGGAATTGAAGGGAGATTAACAGAGATGTTAGAGGCAGTGGATTAATCTGCAGTAGACCTGACTTCTTGCCGGAGCACTTTATTCTCTCTCCAGCTAGACTGTGAATTTCTAAAGGGCCATGTGTCTCCATTCATTTCTTAAAATTGCGTCCTCAAAACCCTATTCTTTTCTCATTTTTCATGAAAACAAGTAGGACAGGTTTCTAAAACAATAGATATCTAATAAGTCATTTCTATCTGGTTAATAAAGCTACTGATTTATCCAGATTAGTCAAATCCTGATAAATACTCTCCATAGGAATTGCTTTATTTAATCTTCGTTTTTGCTTACAAAATGGCTTTGCTCTGAGGTTTGGCAAACAATACCTGTTTGTTTGAAAGATGATTTCTTTACCTTGAGAAAGGGCTTTGCATGGTATCACTTCTCTTATTTTTGATGTTAATTTAGAGACCTAAATTTTTATCCACTCTAACCTTATGATCAAAGATGTATTTTTGTGTTTACTGGCCTTTAACACTGAATTGAAGAGTGGATATGTCAGTGATTTCCTTGGTTCTCTTGAAATGGTACAAAAGAGATCACACATGGTGGGTGCATGTTCTCTGGGATGGTGTAACAAGATTGACTGAAGTGTATGCAACAGCTGCTTTTATCTTTTCCCATCCTGGCTGCTATCATGTGACTTTTTTATTTCCCCCTCCAAAGTCTTACCAAATTTATTAGAAACTTCTTAAAATGGGTCCAAACATCTGCCCTTGAGCAGTAGATGACACCAGTGTTCCGCACCCCTTCCTTTTGGTGATGCCATTCAGCTAGCTCCAAGGATGCCTCTTCATAGCACTGTGACTGGTGCTGACTCCCCTCCTCGTGCCTCTTCATTTGGGAGCTTCTGGCCTCAGACTCTGACAGGACCTCAGCTGCTTCGGGAATACGACTCCTTTCCAACACACAAATACTTGCGCCATAATAGTACAAGGATTCCACAGGAAGGTTGTGCTCAGACCCAAAGTCTGAGGGAGATGCTGGTGCAAGCATTGCAATTTCAGCATCTTTTCATAACCCATCTGTAAAATGTGGCTAGTGACGTACTTTACTTATAAGGTTGTTACAAGTTTTAAATTGCTTATCACATATAAACAGTACTTAGATCAGCGATTGATTCGTAGGGAGCTTTCAGTGAATGTTAGGCGTTAGTGCTATCATATATGCATCCACTTTCTCCTAGAGTTTTTTTTTATTATACTTCAAGTTCTAGGTAGATGTGCACAACGTGCAGGTTTGTTACATATGTATAAATGTACAATGTTGGTGTGCTGCACCCATTAACTCATCATTTACATTAGGTATATATCCTAATGCTATCCCTCCCCCCTCCCCCGACCCCACAACAGGCCCTGGTGTGTGATGTTCCCCTTCCTGTGTCCAAGTGTTCTCATTGTTCAATTCCCACCTATGAGTGAGAACATGCAGTGTTTGGTTTTTTGTCCGTGCGATATTTTGCTCAGAATGATGGTTTCCAGCTTCATCCATGTCCCTAAGGATACGAACTCATCCTTTTTTATGGCTGAATAGTATTCCATGGTGTATATGTGCCACATTTTCTTAATCCAGGCTATCATTGATGGACATTTGGGTTGGTTCCAAGTCTTTGCTATTGTGAATAGTGCCCCAGTAACATATGTGTGCATGTGTCTTTATAGCAGCATGATTTATAATCCTTTGGGTATATACCCAGTAATGGGATGGCTGGGTCAAATGGTATTTCTAGTTCTAGATCCCTGAGGCATCGCCACACTGTCTTCCACAATGGTTGAACCAGTTTACAGTCCCACCAACAGTGTAAAAGTGTTCCTATTTCTCCACATCCTCTCCAGCACCTGTGGTTTCCTGACTTTTTAATGATTGCTATTCTAACTGGTGTGAGATGGTATCTCATTGTGGTTTTGATTTGTATTTCTCTGATGGCCAGTGATGATGAGCATTTTTTCATGTGTCTGTTGGCTGCATAAATGTCTTCTTTTGAGAAGTGTCTGTTCATATCCTTTGCCCACTTTTTGATGGGGTTGTTTGATTTTTTCCTGTAAATTTGTTTAGGTTCTTTGTAGATTCTGGATATTAGCCCTTTGTCAGATGGGTAGATGGTAAAAATTTTCTCCCATTCTGTAGGTTGTCTGTTCACTCTGATGGTAGTTTCTTTTGCTGTGCAGAAACTCTTTAGTTTAATTAGATCCCATTTGTCAATTTTGTCTTTTGTTGCCATTGCTTTTGGTGTTTTAGGAATGAAGTCCTTGCCGATGCCTATGTCCTGAATGGTATTGCCTAGATTTTCTTCTAGGGTTTTTATGGTTTTAGGTCTAACATGTAAGTCTTTAATCCATCTTGAATTAATTTTTGTATAAGGTGTAAGGAAGGGATCCAGTTTCAGCTTTCTACATGTGGCTAGCCAGTTTTCCCAGCACCATTTATTAAATAGGGAATCCTTTCCCCATTTCTTGTTTTTGTCATGTTTGTCAAAGATCAGATGGTTGTAGATGTGTGATATTATTTCTGAGGGCTCTGTTCTGTTCCGTTGGTCTATATCTCTGTTTTGGTACCAGTACCATGCTGTTTTGGTTACTGTAGCCTTGTAGTATAGTTTGAAGTCAGGTAGCGTGATGCCTCCAGCTTTGTTCTTTTGGCTTAGGATTGTCTTGGCAATGCAGGCCCTTTTTTGGTTCCATATGAACTTTAAAGTAGTTTTTTCCAATCCTGTGAAGAAAGTCATTGGTAGCTTGATGGGGTTGGCATTGAATCTATAAATTACCCTGAGCAGTTGGCCATTTTCACGATATTGATTCTTCCTACCCATGAGCATGGTATGTTCTTCCATTTGTTTATGTCCTCTTTTATTTCGTTGAGCAGTGGTTTGTAGTTCTCCTTGAAGAGGTCCTTCACATCCCTTGTAAGTTGGATTCCTAGGTATTTTATTCTGTTTGAAGCAATTGTGAATGGGAGTTCACTCATGATTTGGCTCTCTGTTTGTCTGTTATTGGTGTATAGGAATGCTTGTGATTTTTTCACATTGATTTTGTATCCTGAGACTTTGCTGAAGTTGTTTATCAGCTTAAGGAGATTTTGGGCTGAGACGACGGGGTTTTCCAAATATACAATCATGTCACCTGCAAACAGGGACAATTTGACTTCCTCTTTTCCTAATTGAATACCCTTTATTTCTTTCTCCTGCCTGATTGCCCTGGCCAGAACTTCCAACACTGTATTGTTTAGGAGTGGTGAGGGAGGGCATCCCTGTCTTGTGCCAGTTTTCAAAGGGAATGCTTCCAGCTTTTGCCCATTCAGTATGATATTGGCTGTGGGTTTGTCATAAATAGCTCTTATTATTTTGAGATATGTCCCATCAATACCTAGTTTATTGAGACTTTTTAGCATGAAGGGTTGTTGAATTTTGTCAAAGGCCTTTTCTGCATCTATTGAGATAATCATGTGGTTTTTGTCTTTGGTCCTGTTTATATGATGGATTACGTTTATTGATTTTCATATGTTGAACCAGCCTTGCATCCCAGGGATGAAGCCAACTTGATTGTGCTGGATAAGCTTTTTGATGTGCTGCTGGATCCTGTTTGCCAGTATTTTATTGAGGATTTCTGCATCGATGTTCATCAGGGATATTGTTATAAAATTCTCTTTTTTTGTTGTGTCTCTGCCAGGCTTCGGTTTCAGGATGATGCTGGCCTCATAAAATGAGTTAGAGAGGATTTCCTCTTTTTCTATTGACTGGAATAGTTTCAGAAGGAATAGTACCAGCTCCTCTTTGTAACTCTGGTAGAATTCAGCTGTGAATCCGTCTAGTCCTGAACTTTTCTTGGTTGGAAGGCTATTAATTATTGCCTCAGTTTCAGAGCCTGTGATTGGTATGTTCAGGGATTCAACTTCTTCCTGATTTAGTCTTGGGAGGGCATATGTGTCCAGGAATTTATCCATCTCTTCTAGATTTTCTGGTTTATTTGCATAGAGATTTTTATAGTATTCTCTGATGGCAGTTTGTATTTCTGTAGGATTGGTGGTGATATCCCCTGTATCATTTTTTTATTGTGTCTATTTGATTCTTCTTTCTTTTCTTCTTTATTAGTTTTGCTAGCGGTCTGTCAATTTTGTTGATCTTTTCAAAAAACCAGCTCCTGGATTCATTGATTTTTTAAAGGGTATTTTTTGTGTCTCTGTCTCCTTCAGTTCTGCTCTGATCTTAGATATTTCTTGCCTTCTGCTAGCTTTTGAATGTGTTTACTCTTGCTTCTCTAGTTCTTTTAATTGTGATGTTAGGGTGTTAATTTTAGATCTTTCCTGCTTTCTCTTGTGGGCATTTAGTGCTATAAATTTCCCTCTACACGTTGCTTTGAATGTGTCCCAGAGATTCTGGTATGTTTTGTCTTTGTTCTCGTTGGTTTCAAAGGACATCTTTTTTTCTGCCTTCATTTCGTTATGTACTCAGTAGTCATTCAGGAGCAGGTTGTTCAGTTTCCATGTAGTTGGGCAGTTTTGAGTGAATTTCTTAATTCTGAGTTCTAGTTTGATTGCACTGTGGTCTGAGAGACAGTTTGTTATAATTTCTGTTCTTTTAAATTTGCTGAGGAGAGCTTTACTTCCAACTATGTGGTCAATTTTGGAATAAGTGTGATGTGGTGCTGAGAAGAATGTATATTCTGTTGATTTGGGGTGGAGGGTTCCGTAGATGTCTATTAGGTCTGCTTGGTGCAGAGCTGAATTCAAGTTCTGGATATCCTTGTTAACTTTGTGTCTCATGGATCTGTCTAATGTTGACAGTGGGGTGTTAAAGTCTCCCATTATTATTGTGTGGGAGTCTAAGTCTATTTGTAGGTCTCTAAGGACTTGTTTTATGAATCTGGGTCCTCCTGTACTGGGTGTATGTATATTTAGGATAGTTAGCTCTTCTTGCTGAATTGATCCCTTTACCATTAGGTAATGGCCTTGTCACTTTTGATCTTTGTTGGTTGAAAGTCTGTTTTATCAGAGACTAGGATTGCAACCCCTGCTTTTTTTTTTGTTTTCCATTTGCTTGGTAGATCTTCCTCCATTCCTTTATTTTGAGCCTATGTGTGTCTCTGCATGTGAGATGGGTCTCCTGAATTCAGCACACTGATGGGTCTTGACTCTTTATCTAATTTGCCAGTCTGTGTCTTTTAATCGGAGCATTTAGCCCATTTACATTTAAGGTTAACATTGTTATGTGTGAATTTGATCCTGTCATTATGACGTTAGCTGGTTATTTTGTTCATTAGTTGATGCAGTTTCTTCCTAGCAGTGATGGTCTTTACAATTTGGCATGTTTGTGCAGTGGCTGGTACCAGTTGTTCCTTTTCATATTTAGTGCTTCCTTCAGGAACTCTTGTAAGGCTGGCCTGGTGGTGACAAAAAATCTCTCAGCATTTGCTTGTCTGTAAAGGATTTTATATCTCCTTCACTTATGAAGCTTCGTTTGGCTGGATATGAAATTCTGGGATGAAAATTCTTTTCTTTAAGAATGTTGAATATTGGCCCCCACTCTCTTCTGGTTTATAGAGTTTCTGCCAAGAGATCCGCTGTTAGCCTGATGGGCTTCCCTTTGTGGGTAACCCGATGTTTCTCTCTTGCTGCCCTTAACATTTTTTCCTTCATTTCAACTTTGGTGAATCTCACAATTATGTATCTTGGAGTTGCTCTTCTTGGGGAGTATCTTTGTGGTGTTCTCTGTATTTCCTGAACTCAATGTCGGTTTGCCTTGCTAGGTCGGGGAAATTCTTCTGGGTAATATCCTGAAGAGTGTTTTCCAACTTGGTTCCATTCTCCCTGTCACTTTCAGGTACACCAGTGAAACGTAGATTTGGTCTTTTCACATAGTCCCATATTCCTTGGAGGCTTTATTCATTTTTTTTTACTCTTGTTTCTCAAAACTTCTCTTCTCGCTTCATTTCATTAATTTGATCTTCAATCACTGATACCCTTTCTTCCACTTGATTGAATCAGCTACTGACATTTGTGCATGTGTCATGTAATTATTGTGCCATGGTTTTCAGCTCCATCAGGTCATTTAAGGTCTTCTCTATGCTGCTTATTCTAGTTAGCCATTCGTCTAATCTTTCATCAAGGTTTTTAGCTTCTTTGCGATGGGTTCAAAAATCCTCCTTTAGCTCAGAGAAGTTTGTTATTATGGATCGTCTGAAGCTTTCTTCTCTCAACTCGTCAAAGTCATTCTCCATCCAGCTTTGTTCCATTGCTGGTGAGGAGCTGCATTCCTTTGGAGGAGAAGAGGTGCTCTGATTCTTAGAATTTTCAGCTTTTCTGCTCTGGTTTCTCCCCATCTTTGTGGTTTTATCTACCTTTGGTCTTTGATGATGGTGACGTACAGATGGGGCTTTGGTGTGGATGTCCTTTCTGTTTGTTAGTTTTCCTTCTAACAGTCAGGACCCTCAGCTGCAGGTCTGTTGGAGTTTGCTGGAGGTCCACTCCAGATCCTGTTTGCCTGGGTATCACCAGTGGAGGCTGCAGAACAGCAAATATTGCCGAACAGCAAATGTTGCTGCCTGATCCTTCCTCTGGAAACTTCATCTCAGAGGGGCACCAGGCTGTATGAGTTGTCATTCGGCCCCTACTTAGAGGTGTTTCCCAGTTAGGCTACATGGGGGTCAGGGACCTGCTTGAGGAAGCAGTCTGTCCGTTCTCAGATCTCAAACCCCATGCTGGGAGAACCACTACTCTCTTCAAAGCAGTCAGACAGGGACGTTTAAGTCTGCCTTTTTTTCAGTTATGCCCTGCCCCCAGAGGTGGAGTCTACAAAGGCAGGCAGGCCTCCCTGAGCTGCAGTAGGCTCCACCAGTTTGAGCTTCCTGGCCACTTTGTTTACCTACTCAAGCCTCAGCAATGGTGGATGCCCCTCCCTCGGCCTCGCTGCTGCCTTGCAGTTCGATCTCAGACTGCTGTGCTAGCAGTGAGCAAGGCTCAGTGGGTGTGGGACCCTCTGAGCCAGGCACAGGATATAATCTCCTGGTGTGCCGTTTGCTAAGACCATTGGAAAAGCGCAGTATTAGGGTGGGAGTGTCCCGATTTTCCAGGTACCATCTGTCACAGCTTCTCCTGGCTAGGAAAGGGAATTCCCCGACCTCTTGCACTTCCCAGGTGAGGCAATGTCCCACCCTGCTTTGGCTTACACTCTGTGGGCTGCACCCACTGTCCGACAAGCCCCAGTGTGATGAACCCAGTACCTCAGTTGGAAATGGAGAAATCACCCATCTTCTGTGTCACTCACACTGGGAGCTGTAGACTGGAGCTGTTCCTATTTGGCCATCTTGGAATCTCTCTCTCCTAGAGTTTTAAGATGAACTCATTTGCGTTATAAAGTCATCATAATAGAACTTGGATTGATAATACAAATCCTGGAGGATTTGACTAGAAGAGATTTAGCTAGATGTCAAATCAATTGATAGAGGTCCTTTATATAGACCTCTGTTAATTTTTCGAATTGTCGGAACTGAACAAAGTGAGAATTACATCTACCTTATTTAACACATAATGCCAAAGTATGGCAGCAAATACTATAGGATAAGAATGATATTACCAAGATGATGATGTTTTTAATTTCAATGAGATAAAAATGATATTACCAAATTGTCAAATATTTGTGAAATCGTGAACTTCTCCTCTGCCATCCTGTGATGTGCTGTGATGAATTGTACAATATGGGTCATGGGAAGATATGGGTTTAGGTCATTTAATACTTTTGCCACAAGAACAAGTTACTTTATTTTTCTGAACCTACTTTTTCTTCTGAAAGTTGGAGATAATAGCAATGGCTTCACAGACCTCACAGGAGGATGTGTAGATCAAACGAGATCACATCTGAATATGCTATGTAAACATCTAAGTTCTGCCACAAAATCATGCTTTTACCTTGTTATTAATATTTCCTCACTAGAAACATTCTATAATCTCCTTTCAAAAAATAAAATCTACAATCTTTGAATCTTCCCTGGCCTCCAAGACCTTTAATAATCTGACCTCAGCCAGACAATTTACTCATGCTATTGCTCCAACTTACTCAACTAAAAAGCACTATTAAATGCCTACTTTGACCACTTTAGTCTTTAGTCATTAATTTTCCTCCTCAGAATGTTCTTTTCTCTACTTGAATAGCATAATAATAATAATATTAATTATTAGCCATTCTACATGTTTTACATTAATGCCTCAAAACAATAATGTATTTTTATTACTTATTCTTTGTACAATAGAGACAGCAAGACTCACAGCAACCCACGCTGGCACAGCTGGCTGTGGACACAGCTGAGTGCTAACCCAGGTACTTTGGCTGAGTTAGCAGGTCTTGGGAACACACTTACAGCCACCACCTTTCATTGCATACTTAGATTCTCCTGAGCATGACCTTGTTTGTTCTTTATGGATGCCGTGTGTGCTGGGCATGTACCCCTTGCCTTATGGAAAGGATCTCAGAGGTCAGCCTCAACACATTTGTTTGTATCTTGGAGACTCTTCTTATGTAAGAGATAAATGTTCACTATGTTTCAAGACAGTTCTGGGTAGCTGTAATTCACAGAAAAGAGTTTTCTCCAGTAGAATCCATGTTCCACCACCGTTGCCTCACTGCAATCTGTATCAATTTGAATTCCACTCAGTCTCATCACCAAGGACTAATGCAGTATCCCCATCCCCTAAAGTATGTTTAGACCTGTATACTTAAATAATACTGAATCCTCTCCACTGCCTCTATTTATTTATTTATTTATTTATTTATTTATTTAATTTATTTATTTATTTTTGAGACGGAGTCTCACTCTGTTGTCAGGCTGGAGTGCAGTGGCACGATTTTGGCTAACTGCAGCCTCCGCTTCCCGGGTTCAAGTGATTCTTCTGTCTCAGTTTCCCAAGTAGCTGGTACTACAGGTGTGTGCCACCATGCCCAGCTAATTTTTGTATTTTTTTTTAGTAGAGAGGGGTTTCACTATGTTGGCCAGGATGGTCTCGATTTCTTGACCTCGTTATCCTCCCACCTCAGCCTCCCAAAGTGCTGGGATTACAGGTGTCAATCACCACACCCAGCCTCCACTGCCTCTTTCTATAGCAAAGCTTTTTAAATGGCTGGAGGCTCTCATATATTTCCTTATATACTATGATCTTATATTTTGAATGCCTATATTGAACCAGATATTTCATTAAATAATGATATTACTTAATTATTATTAAATAATAACAATAAAGATAATAGCTAATGTTTACTGAATGTGTACTGTGTGCCAGGCACCTGCTGATAACTTTTCATGTATTAGCTTATTGAATCTTTAGCACACTCACATCTGAGGGCCTGACTACCAGGGCTCTTTTGTCACCAACATCTCTCACCTTTCAGTGGGCCTGACGATGAACATAATACCCAGCTATGAGGAGAGATTCAGCAGAGAAAGGAGCCTGAACTCCTCTCATGCTGGACTCTCTCTGACTATCCCCACCAACTAAGCCTTCCTAAAGGGCACAGCGCACACATCTCCTAATAAAGCTGTGTTTGGCACTATTCTCTGGCCAAAGTTCTTTATGGTCAGGCACTATGTTAGGAGTGATTTTCATATAGTTTATCAGTGCTTGACTTTGACAAATAAAAAAAAAGACTCAGGAAAATGAAGGGCACAGTCCAAGGTGATATAGTAAGCAGCAGAGCTGTGGTTGGAAGCCTGACCTCCAAGCCAGTCTAAGGAGCATATCTTCTGCCAGCCAGCCCTGCACTACTGAGCTGGCCAGCTTAAAAATGATGCCTCCAGTCGAAGCCTTTGGTTGTTTTCTAACTGCTTCCTGGATGTGGACATTTCCATATCATCTCAAAGACAGGTTTCTGCTCCTTATAGATAGGTGTCGTGATAGTCTTCTCTTGTATGACCTATAATAAGCACAGTAGCAGGCATGCAACGAGGAGACCATAAATGTCTGTTGATTGGAATTAAGAATGTAGCAACCTTCCCCTGAATTCGCTTGCTTTATGTGCAGGGAAAAAGCACCGTCTCAAGCTCTAGCTCAATAATTTGTGTTCAAAAGGACAAAGTACAATTTTTTAAAGCAGTTTATTAGGATGGGTCAGTTTCTTCAGAACATGAGTGGTCTCTTTCTCATTGCATTAATTGCTTGCTAGTATTTTAGAAGAAACAGAGAGGTGCTAATGAGGCATTAATCACCCCACTGCCCCCCCGCACACTCTTTTAAGCAACTAATTATGACTAACAGCTATGAATCTATATCAGCTTTAAAAACTAATGAATTCAACCTTATGCAGAAAAATGATTAATGACTATATGGTCTGTACATAACAAGAAAAGGTCATGGTGGCTATTGAGAGTAAGATGTTGAAAATGTTGCAAATTACAGAATGGTTTCATCTTAATCTGTTATTTGAAATACAAAGGGATGTCTTCATATCTCGTTTTTAAAAGCAATCTGGAGGTTCAGCCAGCACTCTTTATTCCTAGGGCCAAGGGAAGCTTTGAAAATTGCAGCAGTTCTCTCCTTGGAACAGTCAAGGATTTCTTTCTCTCTGTAGGGTTGGTACCTCATTTGCAAGTTTTAAGAGAGCTTTGCAAGCTTGAAGGATTTGGGACTCCAGGGCAGGAATGAACCAGGAACTCACGTCTGTCCCTGTTGGTGCTGCTGTCTAGATTCTGTGCCTGTTTAATACCCTTCTCAGTGATTGACCATGTAACTGCCCTCTGGCTACGTATTAACTATTTTTTGACTTTACAATTTCTCCTGGTTTTGGCTGCAAGCTCATCTTTAAGTTTTTACAGTGTCCTTGAATGATAACATAGAAATAGAATACAAAAATTAATAGGAAATTATCTATTTTTAAATTGAATGAACGAGGTTTTTCTTATTTTAATTTTTGTATTTTGTAATAAATTTCCCATCACACTGTTCTTGACAGATAATTCACACAGCTACTACCTATGCATGCCCAAGGCTCACAACACAGCTCTTCCACTACCATTGCCTCACTGCAATCTGTAGCAATTTGAATTCCACTGAGTCTCATCACCAAGGACTAATGCAGGATCCCCATCCCCTAAACTATGTTTAGACCCAGAACTCTTCTTGCAGGGCACCCCTAGGCTGAGAGGCCCACAGAAATGAAGCTGCCCAGTGGTTTCTGTTGACTTGGGAGACTACATCCCTACACTTGGATTACACACAGTTAGATGTCAGCAAAGCCATGCTTCTTGTGTCCTCATGTTATAAAGAGTTCCAACTCTTTCAGTTTTGATTTCCATCCTTGTCTCTTCCAAGGTTTTCAAAATACAATCCCGGAGCTGGATTGGGAAGCACACAAATGAGAGCCAATCGGTAGTACGTCTCTCATCAAAGGCATGGATTTCCATCCCTGGATCTTCCAGAAGTAAAAGAATTGTGAAGGTTCCCTCCTACTGGAGTGCAGTAGGTACCCAGGAAACCATAGGCGAATTCTGTGATACCCAAGCCAATAAGATTTCATTAAGAAAATTTTCCTCCGTAACCTTGAATCTGTTAACCATAATTCCAAGATATGGTGTGTGTCACAGTTGGAACTATTAGATTGGTGCAAAAGTAATTGTGGCTTTTGCCATTGAAATAGCAAAAACCACAATTACTTTTGCACTAATCTAATATCTGCTTCACTCCCTCAAAACCTGGCAGCTCCATTATATTCATATTAATGCCTTTCTTGTATTTTACTCCTTTTGCATGTTAACCTGGGAGATTTTGGTAATCATTTGCATGTATTTTCTAATTGGTCTTCATTTCAACATGTGATGGCTTGCTTTTATATAAATATTGTCTTTATAGGAGTTAAACATACTTAAATGAGACTATTTTCCTTTTTAAAAAAATTAGCATAATTACTTTTACATCATTAAGGTATCTAAATTAATTAACAAATCTGGAAACCAATAATCTTTCAAAATTGGCTCAGATATATTTAAGTGTATATAAATTCATGTGTTTCTATATAAATACAACACACATTTACCAAAATCGAATAGCCTTCCGTTAACCTTCAGGTTTAATACTTAGCTATCCATCGGATTGTTAAATTCTTGTGGGTGGATACTGTCTTTAACTCTTATTTTTTTTCTCACAGCATCCAGCACGGTGTTAGCACTAGGGTCTATCACATAAAAAATATGCCACATGATTCTTTTGGCTATCTATCAAGTTACTGATTCAAAATAAAAAGAATTCTATTATTGCTTGTCCAGTAGTATTTAAGGGTCTGGATTAGAGTCATCCTAGGTCTGAACCTTATTTCTGCTCTATATTGACTACATGACCCTGAGCAAGCTACAATACTTATTTTTGCCACTGTTTTCTCATCTGTAAAACTAAGATAATAACAAAATATACATCATAGGGTTGTTGTAGAAATTACACGAGTTAATGCTTGTATAGCATTTAGTACATTGCTTGTATAAAACGAGACCTCAAAAATGTTAGCTTTGGGGATATTAATTCTCAGATCATTTTACTGATCTTTGTCAGATAATTGATTATTTTTGGACATTAGAGCTGAGCATCCCACAAAACAAAAACAGAACATGAGATATTAAACAGAGGTACGTGAAGCAAATCAAGAACCAAAAACCAGTATTATAAATTGAGCAGCATGATCAGAAAGTACATTAGCTGAATTCAGGCTTTTCTATGATATTCCTGATTTCCAATATTCTCTTCAGTTACTCCTATGATAAATGTATTTGACAATGCTCCCTATAGTCCTATCTATAGAGTCCTTAAGACCCCACATAATGGCCAGCATCAGGACCAGTAAATTCCCTTTAAACAAACTGTAACAAGGATGCTGAACTAAATTCACAAATCTTAAAGTAGTTTAACCCCCCAGTCAACAGGTCAGCACAGGTAGACTTGGGTCAACCTGACAGAGGCCTCCTTTTTTTTCCTGACTCTATGGGATTATTAATCATTAGCCAGGAAGGGAGGCTGCAAGGTAGCAAGTCGCTGTCATTTTTTTGTCAAAAGTGGAGTGTCCACCCTGACAGGCAGACCCTGCCTGCATCCTAAGCTTCTGTTACCTACTAGAAATTACCTCACCACTTTAAAACAAACTTTCCTGTTAACAACTGTATTGAAGAAAATGGTGAAGTATTTTAAAAATAAAACCCTGTGTATTTTTCTATCTTACACTTTACGAGGCAAGGAACGGTTCCTGTTTTTTTTTTTTTTTTTTTTTCCTGTAATGTATTTTCTGCTCAAAGCCACTAATCCACAGTCCTGAAAGTCTAAAAACATCTATCCTGACATGGGAAGCCTAAAATAATCAAAATAATCAACTTCTTTTGGAGCAAAATTAGTGAAGTGCAGTCTAATGCATGTTTCATAGCTTAGTTTTATCCATCTGCTGGTATAAACCTTTAATCCTCAATCCCACCTCTTGTTTAGGGAGTGCTTGTGGAAAGTCCCCCAAAATCGAGATTATATGGCCTAATGCTAAAAACAGTCGATGCTCTTAAAGTATTCAGCAACTTGCATCATGAAAATATTGGGTTGCACTAAGCACTGAGTAAGTGAGATTCTGGTGATGGAGGCTACATTTTACTGGGAAGTTAAGTAGGAAATTGGTTTTCTTTTTCTAGAGGCTCCACTTGCAATTGTTTTAAAAAGATTTACCTTCTGAGAACAAATGTGGCAGCTTGTAATATTTAAGTGGCTAACATTGCATCCTTTCAGATTAAAGCAAATTGTTAGGAAATGCTCATTGGCATGTTCTGTACCAAAAGGTAGATGAATGTATCTAGAGAGACTCTTAAACTCGACACCTTCTTGCTTCTCATCAATAAGGAAAGCTAATTTCACTGTACTAACTTGAAATGTTTTTGGCACCTTTGTTAGGAATAATTCACCGTGAAACATCTGGCAGACTCATAAAAGCTTTGCAGTTTCAAATAACTTTCTAGCCTAAATACCTCTGAATGTACCAGCATTTCTTTTGATTATTAATATAACGTTTTGTATTGTTTGGTGCCAACATGAAGGAGCAGTGACAAATGAAATTTGTTCTCAATGTCTAGTATTGCATGAGTGAGGAATGTTCTTCTCTTGAGAGCTTTATCTCCCATTTTGGTGAACTTGGCAACATAAACATTTGCTCCTCATGATGATAGCATGTGGGTGGAATTACCGAATTCTGCACTGAGCTGTTTGAGGTTTTCTTTTTTTTAAAGGGTTTTCTTATTTGGAAGTTTGCTTCCATATATTGTTATTGTTATTATTATTGTGCAGCCATAAAAATGTGTTTGTGGTTGATTTCAGTTCAATAGAAAAGCAATAGATGCTAAATGTACCGATTTTGCATAATTTGATAAGCAAATCGATCTTCCATGAAAAATGAGCTCTGCAGTTTTGGGACTGGCATCTATCAGAAAATAATCCACATAGCTCATAAATCATGCCTGATCTGGAATTTCCAAATATTAAATATTTGCACATTACGTATTTTCCAAAAACCCTTCAAAACTTTAATGTCGTTTAAAAGAACATAAAATAAGAAAATAAAAATTGGAATATAATGTGGGGAAATTAAGTAAAATTATAAAGAAAATAAAGCATTTTGATTGTAATTATTAAATTGTACCAATATCTGAACAAAAAACTGAGTCTTTACCTTCCTTTTAGCCAAGGCAACCAGAATATATGGCAAATTATCTAATTCTAACAATCAGTAAGGAGGAAACGGTTTTAGGGATATGCGCATTTAATTCACTGATTTATCCCTCCTCAAACAACAATTGCCTCAATTGCAAATAGCAGTGTAGAGCCCAAGGTGCTTCAGAGGAGCTAATTAAAACAAGTTGCATATGATATTTTGTTTCTAATCTCCTTTATAAATTAAGTGGTATGGGTTGTTAGTTACAATATCATCATCTAATTAAGGCACACTTATTGCATAGTCATTATAACAAATATGTAAATATAATGCCAATTACAGCTGTAATGTCAGGTCATAAATGTGGTTATGAATTTATTAGAAGTACCTAGAATAATTCATGGTGAAGTATTTCGTTCAAATTTAAAGATGGAGATTGTTATTAAGTTGACAAGAAACTCAGACTATGCAGACTTTTTAATCCATTTAATTGCACATAGAAATTGTGCGAATTGCAATTGAGCCTGTATAACATGACTGGGAGACTTAGATTAACATCCTGGGTCTCATGTAAAAGATCCAGCATCAAATCAGGATTTCCATCCCTAGATACATCCTTCACCCTTCCGCATCTGCTGTGTATCCCATGAAGCTGACCTATGTGTTGGGTATGACCAGTCAGGAGCATTCAGGGATCAAAGGCAGGGAGGACAGAGTTTGGAGAACTTATTCCTTTGGATCTTTCCAGTGGCATGATGTGATCCTCTCCTTGTGGCCACAACTCCTGCTAGGCAACCCTCTCCATGTACCTCCTGGCTATTTTTCCACCTGCTCGCACCCCCTTGCTCTTTTAGGGCCTTGGGTAAGGGCTCCCTGATATTGCTAGTCCCAGGGTACTGAACTACCTTTTGTTTCATTATACCATGCCCATTTTGAAAATATTCCATTGTTAAATTCTCCTCAAATTTTCCAGTTTCAGTTAGTCATATGTTTCATGTCTGTACCCTGATGGGTATACATATCACATATATTATTAATTAGACCTTTAAACTCCATATTGACATTATTCCATTTGAGAATTTGGTTGTTGGAAAATTTAAGTTTCCTCAATCTTCATTATTTTCTAATGACAGAGATAATAAAAAGTCAAGGAAATGATAAGAATAACAACGAATATTTCATAAACACAAATCAGACGCCATGCTAAGACTTTTACACTCTACGTTTCATTTAAATTTTATCAAAATCCTTTGGAGTGTGTAGTGTTGTCATCCCGTTTTACACACAAAGAAACTGTAGCTGGCAGGTGGAAAGGTCTGGGTTGGCATCCTGTGTTTGGATTCTGCAGCCCCTGTATAAATAGGAAGAAGGGCAATTCAGACATAGTGAATGTTGAGCTGGGAGGAAGACGAAGTGTCCTGAGAAGCAATGCCTTATAGGAAAGGTTTTGTCAAAAGAAAGGTGAAAACAATGATGAATCACAGAGTAACTGGTAGGAAAAGTAAAAGGACTAAGTGATTAGAAGGAAGCAGTGAGGGAAAAACAGAATGGAAAAGAGAAGGAAGGCATGAGTGTGGGAGAGTGAGGGAAGCTAGGAAAGTTCTGGAAATGACATCGTCATGTGACCTGGCCTTGAAGTTCTGACTTACTCAAAACCAAAGAAATGAGGAGGTGGCAGAGAGAGGGAGTTGAGAGGGAGGGACATGGAGAGAGGGAGTGAGAAAAAAAGGGAGCGAGAGAGAGATTCAGCAAAAAGACAAATTATCAATAATGGCCATTTTTTAAAATGAAAAATGCTAATAGTTTTATTAGCAGTATCTAGTCAAATGTAATATGAAGACCTAGCCCCAGTGGAACTTTAAATGAGAGAGATTTTTAGAGGTAGAAAGCATCTTTTTAAATGGAGTATCCACCACCCCAAGCAACTGTACATTCTCTTATAAATTGCACATGCTACTACTCAGAAAGTTGTGGTGAAACAATTATTGTTAGAGTTGCATGTTCATATTTGAAGAAGATTGTCTAGTACTCGAGTGCTGTACTTGGAGAAAAAAAGTTTAAAAAAATATTCAGCATCTGATGCTTTGCATTTTTCAAATTAAGAAAGTTTTTATTGTTGTATCTGAATATGGCTTAGGCATTAATTTTATTGCTCACTCTCTTGACTTTCACCATTTGCTATTATGACAACTTGCTTATTAACTAAAAATGGGACATAATGAACCTTCACAATATGTGCCGGGTATTTTTGTTAGAGCCATCTGGCGACCGTAGCGCACATCTCATTTGGAATTGTGCCAGCTATTGATGATGGCAAAAGGCATTGCCCATTCTCCTAATCTCCCTTCCCACTTGATAATTTCCTTCTATTTCTTCATTTCCCCTTATAATAGAAGCTTTCTGGGTTGTTTTACTCCACATCACCTCCTCTTCTTCCTTCTCATTGGACATACGTTACCCAGACTTTTGTCTTCACCACCCAACTAACATTTTCCTTGTCAAGGTCACTGGTAACTTACATGCTGCCCCATCCCAGGATTACTTCTCAGCACTCATCTTACTTGCCGTATTGGCTAATTTACTCCATCTTTGAAACACTTTCTCATGTGGCTTCCAGGCCACCATACCTTCTTGACTTTTCTCCTGCCTCCCTGACTGCTCCTTCTGGATCTTTCTTAGAGGGTCCTCCTCCTTGTCCTGGCTTCAAAGCTCAGTTTTTTTTGTGTGTTTTGACTTTTTGAGACAGATGTTGCCCTGTTGCCCAGGCTGGAGTGCAGTGGTGCAATCATATAGGTCACTGAAGCCTAGACCTCCTCTGCTCAAGCAATCCTTTCACCCCAGCCTCCTGAGTAGCTAGGACTATAGGCATGCACTACCACGCCAGGCTAATTTTTTTATTTTTAGTAGAGACAGAGTCTCGGTCTCGTACTCCTGGCTCAAGCCCTCCTCCCTCCTCCACCTCCAAAAGTGCTGGGACCATGGGTCTGAGCCACTGTGCTGGGCCAAAACTCAGTTTTGAAGTTTTCTGTTTTCACTGCTCTGCTCCACATCTTCAAGTGGCATCTCTAGCCCAATGTTTCCCAAATTGACCTCTCCAGCTCCAGCCTCTGCCTTGAGCTCCAGACCACACATCCAACTCTGCACTCTGCATTTCCCATTGGATATCTAGCAGGCATCTCAAATTCAGCATGCTTCAAACCAAAACTTTTTTAAAGTTTTTTTAAAAAATTAATTGCAACCATAAAAAAGGATGATTTCATGTCCTTTGCAGGGATATAGATGAAGCTGGAAGCCATTATTCTCAGCAAACTAACACAGGAACAGAAAAACAAACACCGCATGTTCTCACTCATAAGTGGGAGTTGAACAATGAGAACACATGGAAAGGGGAGGGGAACATCACACACTGGGGCCTGTCGGGGGGTGGAGGGTAAGGGGAGGGAGAGCATTAGGACAAATACCAAATGGATGTGGGGCTTAAAACCTAGATGACGGGTTGATAGGTGCAGCAAACCACCATGGCACATGTATACCCATGTAACAAACCTGCAAGTTCTACACATGTGTCCCAGAACTTAAAGTAAAATAAAATAAATTGATTGACACATGCCAATTATACATGTTTACGGAGTACAGTGTGATTATTTGGTACTTGTATAAAACGTGTAATGATCAATTAGGGTAATTAACATATTCATTGCCTCAAGCATTTATCATCTCTTCGTGGTAAGAACATTCAAAATCCTCTCTTCCAGCTATTTTAAAATATACAATATTTTAGTATTAACTATAGTCATCTTATTGTGCAATGGAACACTAAAATGCATTTATTTCTCTTATCTAACTGCAACTTTGTACCTGTTGATTAATGTCTCCCTCTCTCCCCTGCCCCTGCCACTCCCTTGGCTTCACAGCCTCTGGTAACCACTGTTGCACTCTGCTTCCAAGATGTCAACATTTTTTTTTTTTTGGATTCCACATTTGAATGAGATCATGCAGAATTTGTTTCTCTTCATCTGGCTTATGTCACTTAACATATTTTCCTCCCTCATCCATGTTGCCAATGACAGGATTTTGTGCTTTATGTGGCTGAATAATATTCCACTGTGTGTGTGTGTGTGTGTGTGTGTGTGTGTGTGTATTACCTATTTTTACCCATTCATCCACTGATGGACACTTTGGTTGATTCCATATCTTGGCTATTGTGAACAGTGCTGCAATAAACATGAGATTGCAGATATCTCTTTGGCACACTGATTTTATTTCCTTTGGATATATACCTAGTAGAGGGATTGCTGTATCATATAGTAATTCTATTTTAAATTTTTGAGGACCTCCATACTGTTTTCCATAATGGCTGAACTAATTTACATTCCCACCAACAGTGTATAAGAGTTCTTTTTTCTCCATATCCTTGACAGCATTTGTTATGTTTCATCTTTTTTATAACAGCCATTCTAACTGGTGTAGGTTAATATGTCATATGGTTTTGATTTGCATTTCCCTGATTATTAGTGATGTTGAGCAGTTTTTCATATACTCATTGGCCATTGGTGTATCTTCTTTTGAGAAATGTCTATTCATATTACTTGCCTCTTTTATAATCAGATTATTTGACTTTTTTCCTATTGAATTCCTTGTATATTCTGGATATTAACCTCTTGTCAAATGCATAGTTGGCAAATATTTTCTCAAATTCTCTAGGTTGTCTCTTGACTATATTGATTGTTTATTTTGCTGTGCAGAAACTTTGTTTTATATAATCCCATTTGTCAATTTTTACTTTTGTTGCCTGTACTTTTGAAGTCTTATCCAAATATGTTCTTGCCTATACCAATGTCATTAAACCTTTCTCTTATGTTTTCTTTTGGTAGTATTATAGCTTGAGGTCTTACATTTAAGTCTTTAATTCATTTTGAATAGAGCATTGTAAGTGTGAGAGATAGGAGTGTAGTTTCATTCTTCTGCATGTAGATATTCAGTTTTCCCAGCACCGTTTATTGAAGAGACTGTCATTTCCCCAGTGTATGTTCTTAATGTCTATCAAATATCAGTTGGCTCTAAATATCTGGATTTATTTCTGTGTTATCTGTTCTCATCCATTGGTCTATGCATTTAATGCCAGTACCATGCCATTTTGGTTACTATTGCTTTGTAGTATATTTCAAAGTCAGGTACTGTGATGCTTCCTGCTTTGTTCTTTTTTGCTGAAGATTGCTTTGACTATTCAGAATGCTTTGTGGTTCCATACAAATTTTAGGGTATTTTTTTCTATTTCTGTGGAGAACTTCATTGGTATTTTGATAGGGATTGCATTGAATCTGAAGATCACTTTGGATACAAACTAAAACATTTCATACATTCTACAAATCACTTCTTTCTCAGGCTTTCCCTTCTCAGCAAATGGTACCAATAACTTAAGAATCATTCTTAATTCCTCTCTTTCTTTCATACCTTCATTTAATTCATTATCAATTTCTGATAGTTCCACTTTCTAAATACCTGAACACAGTCACTTCTTCCTGAAAGCCACTGCCACCTTATGCATTCAAGCTGATGTTTCTTTGCCTGAACTATCACGCTAACCGTATTGGCCAGTTTCCTGTTTTGGCTAGTCTTGTTTCCTATCAACAGGCAGAGAGGTCTTGTTTCAGGAAGACCAGGTTATGCCTCCTTTTTTGCTCAAAATTGCCCAATTCCATCTTTTCATACTGGGAAAAAGTGTCGAAGTTTTTACAATGGCTTAAAGGACCCTCCAGCTTTTCAGCCCTGCCTGCTTCCTCCGCTTCATTTTCCATCACTGCCCTCGCTCTTAAATCCTTATTTCATTGCAATCTTATTGGCCTTTTCAACAATATTTGAACATGCTATGCTTGTTTTCACCTTCAGGTCTTCTCCCTTGCTGTTCTTTCTTCCTGAAATTCTCTTTGCCTTGATATTTTTGTGACTGCCTCTCACACTTTAGTCAAGCCTTTCCTCAAATTTTAATTTCCCCGATCAATCGAAAGTAGGGTTTTTTCTTTTTAGAAAACTTACAATTTGGGTTCTCATATCTTGTTTAATTAGCTTTGCAACACTTATAATTATCTGAAATTACATTGTACATTTATTAGCTTGTTATCTTTATTAAACAGTACAACATAGCTTCAGGAAGGCAGGGACATAGATGTTTGCATTGGTATGTTCCTCGTGTTGATACCTATTCATTGTAAATGCTCAATTAATATTGAATCACTAACTCTCTATTGACTGTCACCATCCCTGAATACTCATATGTAATGAGAGTCTCAAAACTCAAAAAGAGGGGGGTGTGTGTGTATGTGTGTGTGTGTGTGTGTGTGTGTGTGTGTGACAGTGAGCAAGAGAGAGAGAGAGAGAGAGAGAGAGAGAGAGAGTAAGGTATCCCAGAATTACCTTCTAAAATAATCTAAAATAACACCCTGGCAGCAATGGGCACACCGAGCACCCAGATATTGATTTCTAAATATTTTTCCCACATAAAGTAACTAGAACGCCTTAGAGAAATGGCTGATTCTGGGCCTAGAGTAGAAAAAATATAATATAAGCCTAAAATATCTTGATAGGCCAGAAAGCAAAAATTGCTCTAAGACTAATGTGAGTGTTTCAAGGTAAAACAGAAAACATAGGTGCGACTTTGGAGAAATTTTCACTAGCCAAATTCAGAGAAATTAAAGCATGAAAAAGGAAGAAATACTATTTATTAAAACAATATGTTCAAAGTTTATGTGGGAAGGGTGAAAAGCAATGTTTTTTTGAGAGACGGAATTTTTTTTTACAAGTAATCCTTTTTTGCACCAGAATCTAATCAAGTTTTTGTGCGTTGTATTTGAATATTAATTAAAGTAATCAAAAACAGCTGAAAAGCAGGAACTGTTTCCTAAATGAGGGTTTGATAATGTAATTTTAGGACTTATTGAAGAAGAGTCTTTCCCCACTCCTTGGCAAGATGAACCCCAGGATCATGGCAACTGCAAACCTGAGTCTCTCTTCAGGGGGCTGGCATCATTAGAAGTAGTGGGGTTGGAGGTAGCAGTGCCAGAGGTGGAGCAGCAAACCCAATCTGTTGGCTGCAGAGACCCTCAATGGGAACAGGTGAAAGCTACTCAGAGAGCCAGCCAAAGGTGGGGGTGAGGTTGAAGAGGTTAGATTGGAGGACTGACCACTCACTACTGATACTGGTACCCATATCCCCTTAGCTCAGCCTGGCCCAGGTGATGATGCTGAAGGTGGGAAATTCATGCAGAGTGCAAATGACATTTTGTAATGACATACCACTCACATATAACACAAGTATATATTTGCCTAAGACTGGAGGGAAAATGCATTTCCCCAAATGTACTATTCCTCAAAATCCTGGATTGCAAGGAGAGAAGAAGGAAGCTCCTGTAGGTGGTTAAAGGACTGCATGAGTTACAGCTTCAGGGAGCAGTGTGTCCCATTGTGTGCCAGCATTATCTGGGCGAATTTTAAGTGATGATAATTTGCTCCTTTCTTCATTCTCTGTAATTCAGAGAACAAGCTCCTCGAGCTAGACAAATGCATTATGCATCTTTTTAAAATGAAGGACCAAAAATAACTCAGGTAGTAACCAAACAAAGTAAAGATTATTAGGAATTCTTTTTTTTTTCTATACAAGGGCAAACTACAAGGGAAAAAAAGAAAAATCAACAGCTTTTCTTCATCGCTAATTAAAAAGTTATCTTAACGGCATAAAAAATATTTAGGAACAGTTGTAGGACTAAGGAACATGATGGAACTGAATAAACGCCCACACATCTTTATAATGTAATCGAAACCTCACATGAATGTTTACGAAAGCATTTAGTGGGCAAAACTCGAAATTGCTCATATCTGTACTTAAGCATGCATTAAAATCATAATGAAGTAGAAATCTCAGAAGAGAGGTTGGTCTCATTATTGAATACTTTGGTAAACAGAATCCGTTTTTATTTTTTTGTTTTATTTCTTTTATATCTTATTTCTTTTTATAGTGTGATAATCATCGTAAAGAACATCAGTGTGCTTAGAGCAAGTATGATACAGTGAGCATGAATTCATTCTGTAATGGTTCAGGTTCTTGTAATGCCCTAGGGTTACCATTACTGCTATTCTCTCTGCAGTAATTATGCAAGATTGCGTGACTGAGGATGGTGTAGTGCATAAAACCAAATGGTTATTAAACTCAGAACAAATCATGGATGTCCGTTCCTCCTATGAACAGGGTTTTTTGTCATTTGTCTGTCTCTTCACTCCAGCAAGATAATGGAATCACTTTTTGCTGAAACATCATTTTCTGGTGTTAACTCACTGATACTGCTCATCCCACTCTGTCCTGGGGTACTGCAATACCTCCTTGTCGTGGAATCTTCACAGCCCCTGTATTTCTCCTCTACAGTGAAAGAGACTCAAGCCCAATGCATAGGACAACCACCTCACTGAATCCCTGGTTTCAAGAAAAATTTTGCACTACTTTGAAATCAATTCAATGTGGTTACAAGAAAAGAAATGCCTGTTTAAGTCCATTTGTTACATAATGTTTTCTCAAATATGACCAGAAAACCTAATAAATTGTTGAGCATGTATTAGCTACTAATAAAGGTTATGGGTTATGAATAAAGAGGCATTGTTCTTTTTCAGCAGCATTGTAGATGTATCAAGTGTCCTAATTCTGTTGTAATTTAGGTTCAAAGTCCTTTTTTTTGAGAATTTCAAAGGTGAGGGATCCTGAGGCAAGCAGAACCCACGGCACTGTCATCTGAAGTCAGTCATTCAGCAATGAGGAGCTGAGGTTTTGCTGTGAAGTTTTATGCAGTTGTAGGAACCTACTGGTAAAATCATAGCCTTTGTATATTAATGTTGTAATATGCTCTGCTACCATCACTGGGGCTAAATCCCGAGGACAACCTCCTTCTCTGGCTCTCTAATAATAATTCTCCTGGTCCAGTGGTCACTGCCATGTCTCAGTACTTAGATTGCCCATCCATGCTCATAATCAGAGTCGGTCTAGACAAAAATGGAACTGGGTGAAGTTTCTGTTTGGCATCTTCTGTTTACTCCTGTGTTCCCCTTTAGCCCCAGCCCCAGGCCTAGCCCCTTTCCTACCCTTTGAATATTAACAATTTTCCCCTCTGACTCTATACTTAGCCGCCATGATTGGCTCTTTCTGCTCCTGTTTTTTCTATTGCTTCTCATTAAAACATCCCGTCTCATGTTCCATAGCTCTAAAATATGCTAGGAGGCTGAGGAGGCAGGCTTAATATTTTCTGACAAAAATGCTTTGTTCAAATTCAATTTCACATAATATTTTTATTAAGCACCTGTTCTTCAAAATAACAAGCCATAGAAGAAACGGCACGGTTTACAGAGTGGCCGGAGCTATTTTCACACTTCCACCCTGACTCTTACTGCCTATGTGATCTGATGCTGGGAATGGTGATGTTAAGTGAAATAATTTTAAAATGTTACCTCGGTGGAAAAGACGCACTAGGAGATTAGGGACTTTGAATTATCACTGTACTTGGGCACCTAGAACAGTGTTTGGCACAGGCTAAGCACACAATAGATATTTGTTCTGTTCTTGTGTTATGTGCCACCCACTGAGCTACAGGCAAAGAGTTGGTTCAATGACATGTTAGAAACAGCCCAGCCTGCAAAGGACGTGCTGTGCTAGCCCAGCAATGGGCCTGCCTGTCACTCTTCAGGAGCTTTAGGAGGCAACAATTACCGTTTCTTTCATTGGGAGCTGCTTATTCCTAGCGCGTCATGCTCTGCAGAATGACCCATTACCTCGGGCCACAGCCTGTCTGATAAGGGGTTGGTGTCTGACCCACCTAGAAGATGCTCAGTGGCCTCAGAATTGTTGTAGTTCATTAGCTCTGCCAGACAGGCTCTGTCTGCTAGAGAAGGGGTCAGCAAATTTTGCTGTAAACAGCCAGATAGTGAATATTTCAGGTTTTCTTGTAGAGACATAAAAATCGAGAATATTATGTAGGTACTTCAATAACAAGAGGGAGAACTGCTGCCTTGCTCTGTCCTTTCTGCCTGGGGAGAGTCATCCCTGGTGGTGAGCTTGCCTTGTACCCCTGGCATCCACCGGAAGAAGAGTGACTGCTGAGGGGCAGAGCCTGGCAGGCCAAGTATGAGGTGAGTTGGTGGCACTGGTCAGTTTCCCTTTCTATACTGTAACACCCAGATCTGGTGGGATTCCCTGGAAATCATGGCTGTCTCACCATGAGGAGCTTGGCTGGAGCGAGGTGACTGCCTGAGTCACTGTCTCTGGACTGCCACCACTCGGTGCTCAGCAGTTGCCAGCAGCAGGGTCCTTAGTGTGTCAGTGGAAACCAGTGCAAGTTGTAGGCAGTGGCAAGAGGTAGCCATCAACAGGGAAGCCAGAGTTGGGGGTAAAGGGGCAGTGATGTGCTGGCTTTGTGTCCGCTGCTCTACGTGCTAGTTGGTGCATGCCTGCCGTAGGTGATATCAAAGCTGTTGGTGGATGGATTTGGCCTGCAGGCCATAGTTTGCCAACCCCCAGATGCCTGCTGGCTGAACTATTAGATATGGTTGCTTGGTCAGAATTTGAACTTCAGGCTTAGAAAGAGGGAGTCCATTATTTGGTCACCCTATGTAAGCAGACTCATCATGATGGACAAACACTGAATTAGGGGCAAGAACTTCTGCTGCAGAAGGCTGTCTGGATAACCTTCCCTCCCAAAGTCCTTTCCTCCCTGCATGGTGTCCCAGTGTGCTGTGGCTGGGGTGGGGGTGCCTAGCTGGGAGGTGGCTGAGATTACTTTCCTGGATTCCTCAATTCTTTTTGTGTTTTTGTGAGAACTCAGGTCACTTCTGTCTTCCTTGCAGCCTTAAAATTCCTAACCACAACAAAGCATTTACTCTTCCCTGTCTGTTTCCTTCCTTGACCCTTAAGCTATTTTTTACTGCCTTTATCAGAACTCTCAAAACAAAGTGTCTCCCTCAGGACAATTGTACTTCTTCCACCTGAGGTTGAGATGTGTTTGCCTTTCCCAATCTGAGAGATCTATATCTGTTTTATCTCCTAAACTTTGATGAATGAATGAATGATTTATAAACCAAAGGGATGAGGCTAAGCCATGTGCTCTGTATTATAACAACTCTTGGCTTGAGGCTTTCTCTATGTAATAACCATGCCAAAGACGTATATTTATTGGTTTGTTTATTGAAATTTTTCTTATATATCTTTTATTTATTAATTAGAAGTTTTCAAAGAAAGCTGGAAATTGTCTTTATCACTGGCCATTAGACAGAACATTTAGTATGGCTAATGCTGCTTCACCATAGACACACAAATGCCCCCAAATTCCCTAAAACCATGTTCAGCTCCATTTATTTAACAAATCAGAACAAGATTCAGTAGAACTCTCTGCTCCTCTTCTTTTGGGAACATCAAATGCTCAGGGTGTGTCCTCATCACTGCTCATGTACAGATTCATTGTGACACTTTAGGCATGAGTGATTAGGCCTTGGAGAAATGAATTGCTTAACCAAATGCATAGGAAATTGGTGATTAAAATACGATATTAAATTTAAATTTGATAGTTAGCAAGGTAACTGCCAGGTAGTCAAAAATACTCTCGCCTACCGGGCGCAGTGGCTCACGCCTGTAATCCCAGCACTTTGAGAGGCTGAGGCGGGCAGATTGCCTGAGATATGGAGTTTAAGACCAGCCTGGCCAACATGGTGAAACCCTGTCTCTACTAAAAATACAAAAATTAGCTGGGCGTGGTGGTGGGTGCCTGTAATCCCAGCTACTATGGAGGCTGAGGCAGGAGAATCGCTTGAACCTGGGAGGTGGGGGTTGCAGTGAGCCGAGATCGCGCCACTGCGCTCCAGCCTGGGCTACAGAGTTAGATTCCATCTCAAAAAAAAAAAAAAAAAAAAAAAAAAAAAAAGTCTTGCCTGCATGTTGCCCCTGTCCCAACCTGGGGACACAGCAGGAGGACCAAAAGACCTGAGTGTCAGCTCAGGGGTCCTGGGCAATGTTGACAACACATTGAGAAACTCCCAGCACTTGCCTTTCCCATTTCTAGGCATCTGGCACATCCCTCCCTGCTGACTTCCAAAATCATCTAAGATCAGTTTGATCAATTGTGTCACAATTCATCTTGTATTTACCACATTTTTTCCCTTTTGTGGAAGTTGGAAATATACGTTAGTTTAGGTATTCTTAAAATTTTTGTGTTGGGACCTCTTGGACTCTCTGATGAGGGCTGTCTCCCAGCTGAGCATGTAAGCTCACATTCCCTAGGCCCGCCCTTGCCCCCAGCATTGGCACCCACTCCAGAGAGCCCATCTGCAGAGTCCTGCAACCCCAGCCAGTCTTAGCTCTTTCCATACACTGTGGCAAGATATTTATCATTGGTAAGTAGTTCATAAATTCCTTGCATATTAAAATGTCAATCATTTACTTTATCAGTTTAAGCTGAAATTTACTTGCTTTTCTCAAGACGATTAAAGCTAGTGAGAAATATTTGAATGGTAATACTTCATTTTTAATATTGGGCAATTTAAAATTGATAACATGGTTATTAATGTGGTGAGTTCATGAGTGGAAACAGTGTAGTTTGTTGTAATATTTATGCTTTTTTAATGCTTTCCTCTAGCTTGCCAGCTCTAACACTAGAAGCAGCCTCAGGAAGAAGAGGGTTAGAAGGTGGCTTTGGCCAAGGTCTTACCCATGATACAATTAGCTAATGTTTCATGAGAGTTTACCTTGTTCCAGGCACTGTGCCTCACCAGTTTCCATGCCTTATTTCATGTTATCCTTATAACAGCTGATGATCTGGGTACCATTAACATAAGCGCCACTGAGCAAGGATTTTTATTTTGTTTGCATGTGATCCTCACCCCAATTAGACTGCCTGGTTGATGTAGGTATCATCTATACATTGTTGTTGAATAAATGAATCATCCCAATGGAAAGGAGGCTTAGAGAGTTTAAGTGACTTACTGAAAGCTAAACAACTTGTAAGTGCTATAATCAAGTCCAAATCCAGATTCAAGTCTTTAACCTGTAGGTTGCACTTCCTTCTCTAACTAGACAAGAAGAGCAATGGCCCCACCTCTTACTTCTGTGGTTCTTCAGTTTCCCCTGGCCTTTAATGCATTCTGTGCCTTTTGATCCTCATGGTCATTAGAACAGGTGTGGTCACCCACGGTGAGGAATCTGAGGGTGGGGAAGTTAAGAAATGATTGGCAGCCTGGTAGTGCACACAGTTGGAACTAAGTGAGGCAAAGTGCCTGCAGCTTCATAAGATGATAAGGTTCCAGTAGTGGAGTTCAATCTGCTTTAGCTCTGAAATAACAATACCAATCATCACAATGGCCAAACAATGTTCATTTGATTTCTCTGCCCATAAATCTTCTTGCTCATCAGTCTCTCAATTTTCACACTGTTAAGGTTCTTCTTATGTGACAAACTGACCACACCCATTGTCCTGCATTCACCTACATGCTAATAACTCCCAATCTCGATCCCTAGACTTCTCCCTTGAGGAGCAAACCTATATTCCTTAGTGTGCAGGAGAAGCCCGTGGATGTCTCTTATCTGAGTGGCGTGTAGTCATTGCAACTTATCCTACTTCTGAGGAACTTATTACATCTGGTCTTTTGCCCTGTCACCAAGTTTATACCCATCCAGCACACACTAATTCGACTCATCCCAACCTCATCCAGCCAGGCTTCCAAGATAACACCTCACAATCATCTTTACCAATTCTCTGCTCATCCAAATAGTTGCCAAGTCCTGCTCAGGTCACTTTCCAATACCATCCCCACCTCTGCACCTCCGGGGCCACTGACTAATTGAGGCTGTCTTCATCTCCTGCGGATCTACCACAAGTCTTCGAACACTTGATGCCCAACCTTCACATTTCATCTTCTTAAAACAATCTGACCATGCTACAGACTGAGTGACCTCTCCTGGGCTCCTAATTTTTGGGGAGGAGACAGAATTATAGGCTTAAAATACCTTACCAGCTTTTAATCCTACTCCTGGACAACATGAACTCTAGCCTGGGGTTGCCCTGTTGTCTTTCATATTTCTGAATTTTAGTGTTTACCACTTCTTCTCCTTCCTTTTACAAGATTCAGCCCATATGTCGTCTCCTCAATGTGGGGCTGTCTTCACCTTCCCACCTTCCCTACATCCCTATGTCAACACTAGCTTGCTTGCTTTCTGGTTTTTTTTTTTTTTTTTTTTTGAGACAGAGTCTCACTCTGTCACCCAGGCTGGAGTGCAGTGGCAGGGGCTCACTGCAACCTCCATCTCCTGGGTTCAAGAGATTCTCCTGCCTCAGTCTCCCAAGTAGCTGGGATTACAGGCACCCACCACCATGCCCGGCTAACTTTTGTATTTTTAGTAGAGATGGGGTTTGGCCATGTTGGCCAGGCTGGTCTCAAACTCCTGACCTCAGGTGATCCACCTGCCTCGGCCTCCCAAAGTGCTGGGATTACGGGCATGAGCCACCACTCCCAGCTGACATTAGCTCTCTATCCAGTGCTTTCTTAAAGTCCTTCTAATGTACATGCAGTCGTGTGAAGCATAATGACATTTTGGTCAATCATGGGCTATATAAGTGACAGTGGTCAAATAAGATTATGATATTGCATTTTTACTGTACCTTTTCTATGTTTTGATATGTTTAGATCCACGAATACTTATCATCGTGTTACAACTGCCTACAGTATTCAGTGAAGTATATGCTGTAGAGTTTTGTAGCCTAGGAGCAATAAGCTGTACCATGGAGCCTAGGTGTTCAGTAGGCTGTACCATTTAGTTTTGTGTAAAGTACACTCTATGATGTCTGCACAATGACAAAATCACCTAATGATGCATTTCTCAGAATGTATCCCTGTCATTAAACAATGCATGACTGTATATATACACAAATATGCATATATTTGTATATGCATATACATAGGTATGTATATATAAATATACATAAAAATTTGTGTATTTTATATATGGCTTTTATTATTCATTGTATTGAATTGTTATTGTATGGATCTGTTTCTTTTACCTTTTTTTTTAATCTCCTTGTCATGTTTCTTAGCACGCAAAGACAATTTTCTTAAATGCTAGACCATTTGTATAAGTTGCAGAGGCTCTGGATGATATTCTCTTCTTCCAGAGTGGCTCCTTTGTGTCCTTGGAAGGCAGATAGATAGAGGTAGATTATCTCAATCTAAACTGAGCAGACGGTGTTGTAGTTTTATGAGAACTTGTCTACCTCTAGTCCATTCACACCCTCTTCAGGAGTTCCAACCATGAGCCTTAGATATCTACTGGGGCCTTTTCCCTTTGGTGAAGTACTCCCCAGTCCACAAAAACAGCAAACAAAAACTTTATCAGCAGCTTCTGCCTGGTTTTTTATCCCCTTGTCCTTTGCAATTCCAGATGTCAGCAAGTGACTCCAGGGGAATGAAGCTGAGAGCAGGATCGCCTCACTGTACCCACTTTGTCACCTAGACACCGCTTCCCATGCCTTGTTGACGTGGCCAATGTCAAGTCCACTTTGTCTTTCCAGCACCATGAGATTGCAGAAAGCTCTGCCTGTTCCTTTCAGTGCTGGCAGTGGCCTTGTAACCAAGCCCTCTGCCTGCATGCCCGCTCTCTGCCTCCCACAGAAAGCTGGCAAGGTCTCCAAAGAGAAAGGAGCAGTGTCAGCACCTAGGCTCACCTCCCTAAAGTTCCTTCTTACAGGGACTTTGGCCACATAACTTCTCGTTACCTCAGCAAATCATCAACACCTTCAAGCGCTTTCTCCGTCTCTCTCTTTTGTATTTCATCCAGTTTTTCCAGGTGTTCTTAGCGGGAGTGTTGGTCTGCTGCGAGTACTTCAGCATAGCCAGATATGGAGTCTGAAATCGATTCTTTCAAGCAATAGTATTTCAAATCAGAATGTGCTACATTTTCTGTTATTTTTGAAAGAGATTACTACTTTTATAGAATGAAGTTCTCTCTTCATAAATCTATAATGGGTAATGCTAAGGAACTAGACAAATAGTCAAAACTATGCATTTCTTTATGCTGTATGTTATTTTACAGTAATCCAGAGAAGTCTTTTGTGTTTGTACACCATGCTAAATTTCCCAAAAGTCACACAGACAGGCCAGGAAAGTAAGCCTGCTGGAATTTTTTTGTTTATTTGAATCTATTATATCACATAACCATAAACATAGTCATGCCTAGCAAAATATTACAGCAAGTCCACATACACTTATATCATCATATCTAAATAGCATTGGAGATATACTTCAACTAGTAAAAAATTGTAGTAGGAATCTAACTGTTGGAAATTCAAGTTTAAAATTCATCAATCAAAGGAGACAGAAGTGTAATTATTCAGTGTTAATGCTTTGCTTATTACCCTATCTTAAATAAGAAAATTCTGGTTTCCTAGGATAAAATTCAGATGACCTGGATTTATGTCCTTGTTATCTGGCCTTAAGCCAGTAGCATTTTCCCTGGGTCCATTTTCTCCTTTATAAAATGGGCCAGTATTATTTATTTTACTCTTTTTGTGTGTCTGTTTAGAGAAAACTAGGTCATTATATACAAATGTACTATGAAAAGTTAAGAGCACTTATAAATATATGATATTATTAGTTTTTAAAAGTTTTGAGGAATTATTAGCAATACATGAATAGAGAAGTTCTGACAAACGCACACCTGGGCATCTGACTCAGAAAATCACTTTTAAGAAAAGCAAGCTGGGCTGCAAAGCAAAAGGAGGTTCCCGCAGCTGAGTCTTAAGGTAGTGTAGGTGGTCATATACCTGTTCTGATTTCGAAGGAGCCAGGACCTTTTCTGCTTCTCTACTTCTGGTCCTCTTCCTCTTCTTTTATCCCCAGTCTCTCCCAAAAACATAAAAATACACAAGCACACACACACACACACACACACACACACTTGCACTACTCTAGGATTTAAGCCTAAATTTGCATCCTTACATCACTAATTCTATGGGGACAAGCACATGTAGGGAGGGTAGAGTTTTAGATTGGAGTCATTTGGTCCCTTCACACAAGCAAGGCTCACATCCTTTCCTGAGAACACTATTTGTGATACTGGAAGTTCCAAAGGGCCTGGGAGCTCAGAGTTTCCAGGAGGGACGGGCTGAAGCACTGGAAATGAGGAGGAAAGTAACAAAGAGGTTCAGCAGAATATGAAAAAAGCATCTGCCTCACTTGACATGAGGCCTAGGGCTACCTTTAGGTGTGTGGAGATGAGAAAGAGGCAGAGTCATGTGGCATGGGTGGCTTTAGCCCTGTCTGCGAGATTCTGGAGAAATAAGCATTAGCCCCTCCTTGTGGGACACACTCTGTACCAGGTTCTCCACTGAGTACTCTGACTTTTGATCTTCACAATAACCCACGATCTAACCACATGTAATGGGCTGAATTTTTACCCCCGCTTCCCACCACATGCATATGTTGGAGTCTTAACCCCCAGTACCTTAGAATGTGACTGTATCTGAAGATGGGGTCTTTAAAGCGATAATTAACTGAAAATGAGGTCATGGGGGTGGACCATAATTTAATCTGACTGGTGTCCTTATAAGAAAAGATTAGGACACAGGCGCACACCGAGGGTTGCCCATGTGGAAACACAAGGAGAAGATGGCATCTACAATGCAAAGAGAGAGACCTCAGAGGAAACCACTCCTGCTAAGAACACCTTGATCTTGGACTTCCAGCCTCCAGAACTGTGAGAGAATAAATGTGTGTTGTTTGAGCTACCAGTCTGTGATATTTGGCTACGGCAGTCCTGGGAAACTAACGCACCACAGTATACAGCAGAAAATGGAGTTCAGTTCTGGATGGGGAGAAAAAGACACTCGCCATTGTCTTTTAAGCACTTTTCTGGTACTACATATAAATATCAGAAAAATACTTCTTCATCTTATTTTCAGTTTTGAATAGACACTTCTATTTAAGCTTTATAACTAAAAGAAACTAGGTTTTTTTCATCTCATTATTTTACGCGTGCTTTGTAAACTAGCTTGGGTTTTCTTGGTAATCTCTTCTTTCTTTTAATTTAATCCTCTAACTTTGAAATCAATAGAGAAGGTTCACAGAGGAATCTTCTTAATCCTCCCCTAATCATTACTGTAAAAATTGGGCTTGCATTGAAGACTTGTTTTATTATAATCTACTTAATGTTCTCTTAATATTCCTCTTGTACAGTAATAATTAGTGATAGTGATAGAAACTAATATTAAGTAGCCATTTACTGTGTAGAGCACTAATATATGACTTCATTTTTAAATAAAATATATATTTTTAGAACAGTTTTAGGTTTTCAGAAAAATCTGTAAATCTAAAGATAGTACATAGAGTTTCCATATACCCTACACCTAGGTCCTCTTATTACTAAACTCTAAGTTGTGATGGAAATTTGTTACAATTAATGAAGTAACATTGATAGATTATTATTACTAGCTAAAGTCCATGCTACATTAGAATATCCTTAGCTGTTACATAATGTCCTTTTTCTATCCCAGGATTCCATCCCGGATACCACATGACACCAAGTCATCCTGTCTCCTTAAGCTCCTCTTGGCTGTGACAGTTTATCAGACTTTGTTTGTTTTTGATGCCCTTGACCCTTCCTTCCTTCCTTCCTTTCTTTCTCTCTTCTCTCTCTTTCTCTTTTTTCTTTCTTTCTTTCTTTCTTCTTTCTTTCTTTCTTCTTTCTTTCTTTCTTTTTCTTTCTTTCTCTTTCTTTCTTTCTTTCTTTCTTTTTCTTTCTTTCTCTTTCTTTCTTTCTTTCTTTCTTTCTTTTTTTGAGATGGAGTCTCGCTGTGTTGCCCAAGCTGGAGTGCAGTGGCATGATCTCAGCTCACTGCAACCTCCACCTCCTGGGTTCAAGCAATCATCCTGCCTCAGCCTCCAGAGTAGCTGGGACTTCAGGCACCCGCCACCATGCCTGGCTAACTTTTTTGTGTTTTTAGTAGTGTCAGGGTTTCACCATGTCGGCCAGGCTGGTTTTGAACTCCTGACCTCAAGTGATCCGCCCGCTTTGGCCTCCCAAAGTGCTAGGAGCCCTTGACACTTTTGAGGAGCTCAGGTCAGGTATTTTGTAGACTGTTTCTCAACTGAGATTTTTCTGATATTTTTCACATGATTAGACTGGGATTATATGTCTCTGGGAGGAAGGCCACAGAGGTAAAGTGCCATTTGCATCACATCGTAACCAAGGTACACACTATCAATATGACTTGTCATTGTTGGTGTTGACCTTCACCATCTGGCTCAGGTAGTATTTGTTAGGTATTTCCACTGTAAAATGACTCCCTCTCCCTTTCCATAGTGTATTGTCTGCCATGGGTTACTATGTACATCCCACACTTAAGAAATGAGGAGTTATGCTCTGCATAAATTATTTGCAATGTTTCTGATATGGAAATGTGTCCCCCTTCTCCATTTATTTCAATCAGTTGTATCAGTATGGACTGGGGGATATTTTACATATATGGTTTTAAAATTTATTTTATTTATATGTTTATCTTAAACATCAAGTTATCATCTACTACCACTTTTGTGGCTCAACTATTGGGAGCTCTTTCCATTGGTTCCTGTATCCCTTTGTCATACTCCCATCATCACTGTGACATTTTTGGTTTGCTTGCTTTTTTTTTTTCTGAGCATGTCTTTAATTCTTGGTACTATAAGATGCTCCAGGCTCATCTTGTGAATTTTGATTCAGTTTTAGAGCTTACTCTTTCTCAAGGTTCCCTGATTCATTTTGCTGGAGAATAGCACTAGAAACCAAGCTTTGCATGCTAGAGGTACTGGTGCTACTCTGACTGATGACTTCCAGGCCCTCTTGACTGACAGGGCAGGGCAAGAGATGTCTGTACACTAATCCCTGTATGTACATGTATCCATAACTATTTCTGTAAGTAACTGTGCATCTGTATTAGTCTAAACATGAGTTCATACTGCTGTTTGCAACTCCATTTATGACCAAATGGATTATTCTAATCTCCCTCTTGCTTAGCTGTAAATCCTTACCATCAGCTATCTATTTAATTGTCCAATTTTAGTATCCATGTATAGCAGTATGAAGATTATGAAACTCTGCCTCTGTGGGAAATAACTTTACCATTCAGAGTGTAGTGCTTTGTGCTATCTCCTTTGCTTTTATTACAGATTTAAAGGTTTTTCAGGTCGCACCTTTTCTCCACCCACCACATAGTAGTAATACGTTAGATTGGTTGGTGACATCCTGCACTCTATCCTGGGATCCTATCATTTTATTTTTTTCTTCACAATACACCTCTTAAGGAGAAATTTTAAAAATGCTTGTTTTCCAGATGAGGAAACACAGAGAGTTTAATGTGCCCGAGGAATTCACAGCTAGTAATTAGTAGAGGTTAAATTTGAGGTTAGATTTATATGTCTCAATTTGAGGGTTAATATTTTCCTTGAAAAGGTAAACACTGATTACTTTTTCATAAAACAAACCCAAATGCATGCTTGTTGATGAAGGGCAGCCTGGAGATGAAGACATGCCACTGCGGTGATGGGCCATACTCAAAGCCACAGCATGATACTCGGTCACAACCCACTCAGTCCTCACACAAACTGATGCTGGAAGGAGTCATCTCAGGAAAGTGTGTGGTTTCAAATATTTCTATATCACATGAAGGTCTGAGGTAGCAAAATAGGAAACCTGAGCATTTAAGGTAGATGAACCATTTTCCTGCCCCTGATGTGTGGAGGTTCGCTAAGGAAGCAGAACCAACATAATATATGTATGTACAAAAACTTGCAAATAATTAAGATGAAACCCACTTTATTTTTAAAGGGCTATTTTGTTCTATAAGGTTAAATGCGTAGACTTGTGCTAGGAGAATTAGAATTTCATATATATGATTTAGGTTATATTTATCCCATACATATATGACATGTGATTTATTGAAAAGAATTAGCTCTTGTGATTATGAAAGGGCTGAGAAGTCCAAAATCTGCTTCATGGTCCAGCAGGCTGGATACCCTAGAGACCTGATAGGGCAGATAGTCTGGTAGGCTGGCTACTGGAGAATTCCCTCTTGCTTGGGGAAGTCAGTCTTTTTGTTCTGTTCAGGCCTTCAACTAATAGGTTGAGGTCCACTTACATTATGGAGGGCAGTCTGTTTTACCCAAAGATTATAAATTTAAACGTTAACCTCATCTAAAAATACTCTTCAGGCTGACACATAAAATTAACCATCATCCCTGAAATGGCTACACAGAGCCTGCACTTTCCTTAGGAGTGGAAGAAAAACATTAGGAAAAACGATGCCTCTTATAAACTATATGCAAACAGGTCTCATCGGAGTAGCATTCGTACATGTTTAATTGCAGCTAATTGGAGGACCCTAGAAAGATTTGAACTAGCTTATGCCTGAGTTAGGCACGTTTGTGAAGAAAGAAACACTTTTCAAAGAAATGAACAACTTTCTTGTTATGCCTAAGCAGCTGCGGTTTCTATTCTTAGCAGACAAGGGGATCATTCACTAAACAAAAACATATCCCGGCATTGAGGCATTCATGCTTCACAAGGTGAAGCATTATTGCACTGACAACTTTATTGCCTTTTTTTTTCCCCTCTCGCTGAAATGAGTTTCCTGGGGATGAGGGCTGCCTCCTTCGGTTCACCAGCTGCCGTGTGCTATATCGTGCCAATGATAATGAAGATCCCCCAGAAGACCGTGGCCGACACAATCAAAATATGACTTACTCATTATGGAGATTGGTGGAAATAGTCAAATTTCCTGTGATATAAGATGAGGCTGACAACCAGCTTGTCTCAGAGAAACTCTGGGCTCTAGTGGATTAAGATCATGGTTTCTGAATCAATGATGTTATCAGAGACACCGGCTGTAAGCAAATATTTTTCCTGGATGGGGCTAGAAATAGTCTGAGTGTTGCAATTCAGAATCTCTGGGGCCTTTTTCTGCTTCCAGGAAAGCAGCATTGATGATTGGCTTTAGTGTTATTTCATATTAATAAATTTTTCAGATATGCACAAAAGTAGAGGGAAGTTAATGAAACCCTATTGTCCATTGGCCACTTCAACAATTCATTTTGCTTATCTTGTTGCAATATGACTCCTCACACTTCCTGCCATTCCCGCATCCCCCTTGAAGTGTTCTAAAGAGATCCCAGACATAATGTCACTTCATTTATAAATACTGCAAGATGTCTCTTTAACAGGTGAGACTTAAAAACATAACCATAATAACATTTTCACACCCAACAAAACTTAAAATAATTTCCCATTATTATTATATACCTGGGGTGTGTACAAATTTCTACTTTTCTGAAAAACATCTTTTTACAGTTGGTTTGTTGGAATTAGAGCCCCAAAGGTTCCTGGGCAGTATTGCTTGACTTGCCTCTCAATGTCTCTTTTTTTCTTCCCTCTGTAGTAATTTCCTCTCCATCTTTTTTCCCAGGCCATATATTGCATGATGGCAACCAGATGATTTAAATGAAATAGAACCAGCTATGTTCTGCATTGGCAATGGCTTCTTCAACATGTAGTTACTCATGCTTATGCTTTTACTAGTACAGAGGTTGGACTAGAATGAACCACTTTCTTACTTCTCCAGTGACACTGGGTGCTTCCTACAGTGTTACAACAAGAGGCTCCTGAGACCTCACGGTCCTACCTCCTGCAAGGTGTTTGAACAGTGGGTTCTAATGTTGTCAACCTGATTCTGCATTCTAAAATTGCCCTTTAACTTTTCACTAAATGGTTCCCACAGCCATTGATGAAAATAGTCTAAATCCACTACTTCATTAGGAGCTGTGAAGTGGTGATTTTTTAAATTAATTTTTATTATTTTTATTTTTTTGGAGACAGAGTCTCAGTCTGTCACCCAGGCTGGAGTATGGTGGAACCATCTTGGCTCACTGCAACCTCCACCTCCCGAGTTCAAGTGATTCTCCCGCCTCAGCCTCCCAAGTAGCTGGGATTACAGGCTATCATGCCTGGCTAATTTTTGTATTTTTGTAGAGGACGGGGTTTCACCATGTTGGCCAGGCTGGCCTTGAACTCCTGACCTCAGGTCATCCACCCACCTCGGCCTCCCAAAGTGCCGGGATTACAGGCGTGAAAGTGGTGATTTTCTAATCCTGTCACTTAATAATTAGAATTTTTTCGTACAGAATTTTCTATCATTAACTATGTGGGTACCAGAAGTATGTCTGTATGGAAAAGATAGGATATATGCTTGACTTTTTCCCTTTATTTACCAGTTTTCAAAAAAATAAAGCTGATGCCTTAGCAACTTCAAAGAATAAGCAAGGATTTTTTTAATCATTATGAGCAGACGAGTTTTTATGAATTTGATGTTTTAATCCATGGCAGACACTATTTTATTTTTTGATGTTCAGAATATCTCATCTTGATTTTGGGGAACTCCTTTAGGCTGAATCTTTGCCATGACTCCTGTGGTTGTTGGGAGCCCTGGTGCCTTCCAGCCACACACGATGTTCAGGGTTTACATTACGTATTTCTACCTTAGACTTAGAGCACTGTTCCTTTAGTGGGAAATGGTAGTCAGAGGCCACTATTATGTGTGGGGGATGCTAACTACTGTTAGATTCTCCTTACATTTTCTTGGCCTTTCCAGTGGACAGAACTGGAAAGTCTTTGTTTTATAAGAACAAGAAAATAAATCATGAGCCCATAATAGTATTTCTAATTCAAATTTAAGGTGGTAGTTTTCATGTTATTGATTTTGTATTTATACCTCTTTCATCTTACACTAAAAACTTTGTTAACTACATTAACATGATTTGCTTAACAATTTAACAATTACTTGAAAAATTACATGTTTTCTCTTGTACGTATATGTTAATTTCAAAATAGCACTAGTATATTAATAACTATGATTACTAAATGCAATTTAAAATTCCTTTGTGCATGTGTGTAGATGAACATACTCTAAAATTCCTGTATTAAAGTCACTGGAAATATTTTTTTCTTTATGGCAATACACTAACTTGATATCCAGTTAGGATTATTTAATTTTCAAATTGTGATTTCATTTACATTTTTGATATGGTGGGGTGGAGAAAGTGCACACATTTCCTGGCCGTCTCTCTGTTAGCTTGTGCATGGCCCCAAGGTGTTTCCTGGGTCAGGCAATTTCTCAGGTTCCCTCTAAGCCCAGAACTTTGCTTCACCTCCACACTCCTCTCAAGAATCCTTTGGGATGGACCGGACAAGTGGGGCAGTCAGTGTTGACTCAGTCCCTTCTTACAGTGCTCATACGCGGCCCGTCTGGAAACCTACTACAAATTATACTTCAAATTGGATATCACGGTTGATCATGTGTTTACTTCCAAATCCACGTCAGATGGAAATCTGGCATTGCAAATGTGACTTGCTATCTGCTTCAGAGTCTGCCAATACTCTATCATCCTTCCAAGTGTTCTCTATTTTCCCAGTACCTGAGCGACTTGATCTGAAGTCAATTACAGAACTGTTGAGCCTGAACTCCTATGGGCCTGTCTACCATTCATAACCCAAAACCCCTTAATCTTCCCCCAGTCGACTCCTTTGCTAAGGCCAAGTCTACAACGTGATCAACACTGCCCTCTGGGCTTCTCCTTCTCCTCACCCCATGGGTGGAGATTTGCTAGCCTTAAGGGTATTAAAGAACAGATGTTCACCTTCCTCCTTCCAGCCTGTTTCCCCTTCAAATTTCTGTAGAACAAGCTGGAGTTGTTCTGTCCTATTACCCCAACAGAGACGTTATAAATTTCAACCAAGTTCCAGGACGCAGATGTTTTTCTCAGTAGTCCGGTGGCATTCTCTGTCATCCATACTCGAGGTTCCCTTTTACATTCTTCTTTGGCTACTGTAATTCACACAGGCCCAAGGGCCTCACTGTCTCTACTTTATATGGAGCAGATACTTTCTGGACATCTGAATTAACCTTGTAAACACCTTACATGGCTGAACAGAGCCACTCAAGGGGCTGGATACTATATAGAGATTATTGTAAAAGCCATTTTATTTCCAAAAATTTAGAATTTCTTAGACATACTTGCCAAAATAGGAATCTTGGGTGATAAATAGTCATTTAGATATTCAAACTTTGCATGATTCATATCCTAGGAGAATAACTTTGCTAGCTGAGTAGACACTAGTTTATGTTAAGGATTTCTTCACTTGGCCATAGGTAGAAGACATTTATCATTTGTTATCTTTAGGCCCTGTTTCTCCTATTTCAGCTCTAGAAATATATTTCAGCTAAGAGCTGTCCAGGTAAATGGATGATGTTGCTGTGTGTTAAATTTATGGCTCAATTACAATCAATCTTATGCTATCACCTTCTAGCGTCTGTATGTAATTAATATAAACAAAGTAGTAAACCAACATTTCTTATGCCACCTTGTTTCCTGCTGGTAAAAATAAAATAAAATCAATGCCTGCTTTCAAAGTAATTGGCTCCAGAATATGATCTTAGATTGTCCAGATAGGTGTGATGGTAAAGAGAATTATTTCCTTGGGTATCATTTATTCTAGTATTGTAGGTTAGTAAGTGATGTTTACCTGGCTTAAATTGACAGCTCAAATTGTTGCTTTTTTCTCTGCCCAGACTCCCATCATTCCTGGCAGGTTAATTGGGTTGGGGGGATCAAACGTACAGAGGTCAGCTTCTAAAGCTTCCACTAGCAGTATGGAAAGACAGCACAGTGGCTAGGTGAGCTGTCATTTGGGGATTTCCAACCCAAACAAAGTCACCATCTACTTTGCCCAGCCAGAGTCAATCCTGAGCCATCTTGGATTGGGATCTATGTTTTGCTACACATCTATCATGATAAATCATTAAAACAAAGCCTTGTAAATATTTGCCTTTTAAAGTAAAAGAATTCTACACTGTAAACCAATTGAACACATTTCTCTTGTTATAACCAGGCCATTCAATTAAAACAAAATGGCTCACTCGGAGTGACTTCCTGGCATTTAGATATTTAGCATTCTGTATCCGGATGCACTGGAAAGCTGAGCTGCTTACACTTATGGTCCATGGCACATTAGAGTTGCTGAAGATATTGGACACTAATTTTTCCACTGAAAACTTTATTAGGCATTCTTTTGTTTGGCCAGATAGACATCTGTGTTTCTAGATTAATGTATTAGGAATTTTTAAATCCTAGAAACACATTTAGCTGCCTTGCAGAAATTTCAATATGTGCTCAAAGGATTATCACAGATCTATAGCAGGTATTATTATGTAGATTCATTTGTTCACCCTGCAAAGACGGAGCCTTACAGCAAATCTTTATACATATAAAAAAAACAGAGTTGGTGTATTTTGGCAAAGCTCCAGATTCGTTGATAACGGGTGTCACCTTGGTACTTCATCCCCAGTGTTCGTCTCAAAATATGTTTCCTCCTGAATTTAAATAGCTCATATATGCAAGGTGGCTATATTTATGCTATTTTTAAGAATAGCATAATATTTAAAGGCATAAAACTAAACAATTTGGAGTTAACCTGATTAATATGAAAAAGAAGGTCAAATGAAAACTGGCATCAAATTGCAATATAAGGTAATGTATTCACATTCCTAACATATAAAGAACATTTTTTAAATGATGTACAAAATAATTAGAAGTTAGGAGAGATCATGAACAAGTTGTTTATAAAATAAATTCGGATAGGCAATAAAAATACAAGAAGTGTTAGCCTTGTTAGTAACCAGGAAAAGGCTGATTAAACAATGAAAATCAATTGTTTCCTTAAGAGAGCCCAAAGATGAAAACAAAAGAGGAGCCCAGCATCAGAAGCGTTGGGGAGCACATGTTCACTTCAGCACTGCTGGTCTCGTTGACCAGGGAGCACCCCCAGAGAGTGAGTTGTCAGCACTTATTTCAAGCTCTAAATTAATGAGTATTCTCCTGATCCGCCAACCAAACAAGATTACAAAGTGTATATAAAGCATTTTTATGTCACAGTGTTTTGAGGAGAGGAGAAAATAAAAATAACAACCTAAATCTCTAATGATAAGATCTTGGTTAGATAAATTGTGGTATAGTCATATAATAGGATAATAGGCAGCTACTAAAATAGTTAATAGAAGTCTATTTCTTGACATGAAAAGATGTTGATTGCATATTTCACTGAAAAAAAGTTGTAAGATAGCTCTGCAGCAACAAAAACTATTTTAAAATAAATTGTAGCACCAAGAATATCAGAAAGTCTAAAAGCACGTACATTTCCGTAGCAGGCTCAAAGATGGATTTTTTTTCTCCATTTCGCTAATCTGAATGTTTTTTTCCTCTCTGCCTTTCTCCCCCCTTTTATATTTAATAATCAAATATTACTTTTGCAATATGAAAATAAATGTAACATATTTTAAAAACAGTATGCATGCATCCATCATCTGAATGAGCATTATCTCTTGTTGTCACCTTGGGAAACAATAAAAGTCTAATGATTGATATAAAACTACTTTTGTGCCTTTTCACTAGAATCATGTTCCATACTGAAAAAGGATCAGTTTTCATCAGTCTTGCTGAGATGACATCTTAGTATTTCTTATTTCCTGTGTTTTCTTGCAGGAAGGCTGCAACCCCCAGAGTGACCTGTGTACATACCTGTCTTCACAGCTGGAAAGAACTTAATGCATCTATGTAAACTGATTAAGAATTACAAATCACAACGATGAAACCATCAATGAGATTCCTTTAATAAGTTCCACATATATTTTCGAGGCCATATATTGTTTTTCTCATAAATGTAAGCATGCAAGCATTTAAGATACATTTTGAAGTAAGTCACACATTCATGATTTTAAAAAATGAATACAAACAATGTAAGTTTATCTTGATTCAAGAACACACTCACAAACACATATATTTCACCATTAACTATCTTTAGATTGTACCAATTGAAACAAAAGGCCAACCCAAGAGGTTTTGAAAATGCTGTAGTAGTAACTTAACATCAGGAAGCTGGGAATATGGGAATCCAATCTGCTGCACATCTGTCTGGGATAAAAGATGAGCAGACCACTATTAGCTACCATTTATTGACCATACGCTCCATGCCATACCCTTTATATCCATGATCTCTCTTAATCCTCATGACACTCCTGAGAGGAAAACGGTGTTGTCCTCAAATGCTGAGGCCTAGAGAATCTCAATGACTTTCTCAGTTTCACATTCTATTAAGTGGCAGAACCCAGGAAAGTCGGACTCCAGTGTTCTTGCTCTTCATGAACTAGTGGTGATGAGGAAAACACAATTAGAAAAATCACTGATTTGCTTATTGCATTTCTCTTGCAGAGGTAAGTCATTTCTTTCTTTCTTTTTTGGTACTTTTAAGGAAATAAGTCCTGCTTTCCTTAATGTAAATACCACCCATGAACAAATGACAGAGTAGGCACATTCCATAAATGTATTTAAATTTCAAATGTTTCCATTTTCTAAAGAGACCCAGGATCAGTCAATTATTTTTTCCTATACAATATTCTACTGATATCTATAATCAAGACAATTATTTGTTACCATGTGAAATTGTACTGCTTCATATAATCAAAGCAGAGAATTTTTGACACGTTGACAAGTGATTATATTTTGCAATAGGAAAATCTTCTGGGGCCCTATAGAACACTCCCTAATTGTTCCTCTTCTGTTTTACTTAAAATATTCTACCCTAAATTATAAAGATGAATGTGAATGTCATTTCTGTTGCTAGAAAGTTTTGCGACGACAAGCACTTTTCATGTGACACCAAGTGAGGTGAGCAGGCATGGGAAAATGTGCAAGACCCAGACAGGGCAGGCAATAAGACTGAAGTATGCCAGCCATTAGAATTGACAGCCAGCACAGCAACCAAAATCAAAGCAAAATAAAACCAAAGAAGCAGACATCCCCAGGAGGAAGACAAGAGTCTTTCCTCTGAAATTCCCATGATTTTGGGTTGAGTGAGGAACCCTGAGTCTAGCACAGGATTGAGAGAGATGGCACAGCTGCCTCCGCTGGCTCAGACCCTTCAGGATGGAAAGTAACTGCTTTGGAGAACAAGTGACCTGTCTTCCTGAACAGACCATGCAGACAGCTCACGTCTGTGTGGTCCTTTTGCCTGGTTTCTGTAATGCCTTCTGCTCACCACTCAGACTGTAGGGCACTCGGGAGTGCGATGGCTTATTATCTTCTTTTTCAATATCTGTTGAGGACTTGGTGGCAGAGGGCAAACTTTTGCATTCCAGCACCCAGCGCAGAGCCAATGATCTCCAAGGTGAGCAAGTGTCCTCAGCAGTGGTGACTTCTCTCTCCAGGTGCTCCAAGGTGTTATTCTGTGGCCGGACCCACCATGGGCTGCCAGCTTGCTGCTGGATGGTTCCTATGCTTTCGTGGTCTACTCCTCTGCTTCTGAGAATAGCAATTTACCCAGCATAGGTGGTTATTCACCTGCCTACTATTCAGGCCTTTCTCTTTTATTGACAAGTGCCTTTCATTTTCAACCTAAAGTATTCTGTCATACTGTAAGAGTCAGCACAGGGTGGTGATGTGATCTTGAATTTTCAATAAAACAGATCTGGTTTGAATTCTGGTTGGGCCCTTATGCTGCTTAGGCTTAAAGAAATGGCTTTCCCACTAACCTTCAGTTTCCTTCAAATGGACATAATGATACCTTACATAGGCTTATTGAGAGGAATAGATGAACAGAGAAGGTGAAAGCCTTGTGCTCTTCATGATAGAAGCTCATCATATGTTTCTGTCCTTCTCCTAACCCTTCATCTTCCATTTACCCCAAGACTACAGTCCAAATAAAGTTTGGCTATGGAGAAATACCAAATAAATTTTTAAAGGATGGTGTATTAGTCTGTTCTCATGCTGCTAATAAAGTCATACATGAGACTGGATAATCTATCAAGAAAAAGAGGTTTATTGAACTCACAGTTCCACAAGAGGGCTTATGCAGGGGAAGTCCCATTTATAAAACATCGGATCTCATGAGACTTATTCACTACCACAAGAACAGTATGGGGGAAACAGACTCCATGATTCAATTATCCCCACCTCACCCCACCCTTCATACGTGGTGGTTATTACAATTTAAGGTGAGATTTGGGTGGGGACACAGCCAAACCATTTCAGATGGAAAGCAATGAAGAAATCCACAAAAACATGCTACAAGTTTATTAGGATAGCTTTGAAATCAGCAATGCAAAAACTTAGCTAGCAGCAGCTCCGTTAGAGTGAAACAAACATCTCAAGGTGGACATTGAAAGGAAACAAAATCCCCTTGGTTGTAAAAACTTGAGCACATTTGTTAAAAAAAAAGACAAGAAAAAGTCAGTCATGCTCTTTTATAGCTGCGTCTCATACATTTTACATTTCACATCACACTTATACCAACAGATAAACGTTTCTTTGCAGCTCTCCAAAAATGTTTTACATTTAAGTACCACATGTTTAGCTCGACCCAGTTTTCCACTAGAATAAATAACTTTCTTTAAATAGATGATAAAAGTAGAGATTATGCTGTCCAGTATTTGACATAAATCCAGTCATAAAATTTGGGGACAAAATGATACAGTTAGATTTTTCTTTCAAATTATTCAGTGGAAGAACTGCTTAGAATTAGCTTCATGTTTAGAATGAAACTTTTATCCATGAAGTGCACATTCATTTGTAGCCTGATCAGCAATTTGCATTTCTGCCATTCTTATTTCTCTGTTCCCCTGATGATCCTTTACTTGTGCAAAAATTCTTAGAAATTGACAAGGTGTGGGGGCTCACACCTGTAATCCCAACACTGGGAGGCTGAGGAGGGGGATCACTCGAGATCAGTTCGAGACCAGCCTGGCAAAACCCTGTCTCTACTGAAAATACAAAAATCAGGGGTGTGGTGGTCTGCACCAGAAATCCTAGCTACTTGGGAGGCTGAGGCATGAGAATCGCTTGAATCTGGGAGGCGGAGGTTGCAGTGAGCTGAGATTGCGCCACTGCACTTCAGCCTGAGTGATAAAGTGAGTCTCTGCTTCAAAAATAATAATAATGATAGTAATAATAATAATAAACTCTTAGAAATTGAGGTACCTTTCACCGGATTCCTTCCCATTGCTTCCTGCAGGGAAGTCAAAAACTGGGATGCAGAGGGCACTCCGGGCACTCACAAGGGATGTATTTGAAATAGCACCCATCCCCCATGTTAAAATATTTTTGTATTAGTAATTCATTTGTATAATTTAAACATCAAAAATTTTAAATGGGAAGACAATGAAAGGCCCCTTTCCTACCCTCCCTGTGCTCCCAATCTGTCTCATTTCCAACACCCACAGTAGACAAATACTGTTTGGGTCCTTACTTATTCTTCCAGATAAATTTTATGAATATGTTAGCCTTTCTAGGTAAGTATACACAGATACATACACACACTTATTCACAAATATTCACACACATGGCTAGTTTTCTATTGCTACAAACTTAGTAGCTTACAAAAGTCATAGCTACTATCTCACAGTGTCAGTGGGTCAGGAGTCTGGATGTGGCTTTGCTGGGTCCACTACTCAGGTTCTCACAAGTTTGCATTCAAGGTGTCAGCTGAGCTGTGTTCCTTTTGGGAGCTAGAAACCCTTTTCTCAGCTGTAGATGAGGAAAAATATCTGTTCCTCACTCATCTTACTTAGGTTCATGGTTGAAGACTCTATAACCAAAGATAAATCAACAAAAGAAAAGCATATGAATTTATTTAATGTAAGTTGCACATGATGCAGAAGCCTCCATAACAAAATAAAGACCCCCCAAAATTGGTAAAACTGTGTATTTTTGTGATAGGTTTGATGAAGAAGTGAATAGTCATAGAGAAGTATGATTGGATTAAAAAGTGTGATTTATGGTAATAAACTGGAGGAAACACAGCAAAGCCTGCTCATTCAGATTATTTTCTGTCTCCCTGTATCACCAATAACAGGATGTTCCTTTCCTCTGAATATAGGGAAGGTACCGCTTTCATGAAGGACTTACGACCTGCTTCACAGGAAGGTCAGAAACTTCTTCCTAGGTTTTAATGGCCTGCTTCAAGGGAGAAGGGCAGGAGGAAGGCAGAGAGAGAACCTCCTGTTTCTGCTGTTTTCTCAAATGCCAATGTGCCATATTTTAGGATAATGTGTCCTGAACCTCATTAGAGCACAGATGATTGTTAGCAGAGTTCAGTTCCTTGTATTAGTAGGACTGAGGCCTCAGCTTCTAAAAGCTGAGCATAGTTCCCTAGGTGTGGCCCAATCACATTAATTTCACTTAATAACAGCTTGCATCTTCAAAGCCAGCTCAGAAGCCTTGCGGATCCACTGGAAGGGCCCAGACCCTCTTTTAAGGACTCCATCTAATTAAATCAGGCTCAATCTGGATAACCTCTCTTTGCATGGACTCAAAGTCAACTGATTTGTGGTTTTCAGTTTTCCTTTTGGACAGATAAAAGTTTGGCAGTTAACACTCTCATTCTCACAAAGCAACAACAATAAAAACATGAACAAACTGAAAATTAACATTCTTCTTAGATCATTTAGAGAATTGAGGTCACAGGGCAAACCATCATTGGAAAAGTGGTGATAAAGGCAAATGCAGAGAATCACATCCTGATGTGAGCACAAGCCTCTGGAAGCTCATAGGAATACTGGAGTAATTGAAGACTTGGTGGAGTCTGAGCGTGAGCTACCTTGAGAGAGAAAAATGCCTGAAAGCCTAGTCTTAAAGGTTGGAGAGGCCCACACTTTCTTGAATTTTACCTCCAGCAGCCTTACCAGATTTTCACTGTGAAAATCAAAGAAATACCTTCTGGAGGAAGGAGAGGGGAAAAGTAACATTTTTGGAATATGCCCAGAGGTTCCTGTTCTTCATGACACAGACATGTTCCTTAGGGAAACTAATTTACATGAGCTTAGAGGAAGGTCAATGCATGTCTGCAGCCCTCTCTGGCTTTCCTGTCTCATGTAACGTGAGGAAATCCAAAAAAGCCTAAAAATTTCTTCTGGAAATCAAGTCCCAGGGATGCTGGCCCACCAAAAATGAAAGATTTAATCATATAGTGCTTCCCCTCCCTAATATTTTACCACCACGTCAACAGGGCTTCAGTGGAATAATAGCAGATCACAACTGAGAGAGCGCAGAATTAACTCCTAGCCAGATAAGCATAAAACCTCATGCTAACGGCCTATTTACCTCAGTTCACTTTACCTGCTACAACATGTCTATCTATCAATAAAAAAATACAAAGGATGTTAAAAGGCAAAAAACACAACCTGAAGAGACAAAGCAGGCATCAGAACCAGCCTCAGATATGACAGAAATGTTCAACTTATTATATTGCAAATTTAAAACAACTATGATTAATATCCTAAGGGCTTTAGTTGAAAAAGTGAACAACATGTAAGATCAGATGGTTTATGTAAGCAGAGAGAAGGAAATCTTAAGAAAAAAAGGAATTGCTAGAAATCAAAAACATCGTAAAATAGAAATTAAGAATACTTTTAGTAAGTTCATTAGTAGACTGGACATTGCTGAGGAAAGAATCAGTGAGCTTGAAGATACATCAGCGGAAACTTTCAAAATTAATATGCAAAGAGAAAAAAGAATGAAAAAATGGAACTGAAATAGAATATCCAAGAACTGTGGGATGATCTCAAAAGGTATAACATACATGTAATGGCAGTATCAGAAGAAGAAGAAGAAGGAGAGAAAGGAACAGAACAAATATCTGAAAACAAAGACTGAGAATTTCCTAAATATTAATAACAGACGCCAAACATCCAAGAAGTTCAGAGAACACAAACCAGA